>NC_000008.11:36526769-36829799 GCF_000001405.40 Homo sapiens
TCTCCTGGAATATTGTGTAGTCCCCATTGTATCCCTCCTCTCCTTTTGGAGTTAAACTGCGCATATAATAGACCTCTATTTTTCATGTATCTTACTCACTTTTTATATTTTTTCTTTCTTTTTCTCTGTTCTTCAGTCTTAAAATTTTCTTCAGAACTATTTTCCAGTTTTCTAATGCTCTCTTTAACAGTGTCTAATCTCCTGTTTAACCCTTCTATAGAGATTTTATTTTCAACTATATAGTTAATTTATAGAAGTTCTATTTGTTTTTTTGAAATCTACTTGATAATTTTACAGTCTCTTGATTCTTAATCATATTTTAATCCACTTTTATTTCTTTAAATGTGTTAAATATACTTATTTTATATTTTACATTTAATAACTTCAATATCTGAAGTCTCTGTTTTATTTTCTGACTTTTGATTATGGTGTTCTGTTTATACCTGTGTGTGAATATGTGTGTCTTTGTTCTAGGCTTTTTATTTTTTAATAGTGGGAGGGTTGTTAAATAAATCTAATCTACTATGCTATCAGGTATACAACTGAATAAAACACAGTACATAAGTATCTTATGAGGTTAAATTTATAGGCTTTAGTGTCAAAATTAATGCAGGGTTTGAAAGAAACAAAAGCACTGGAATGACTCCCAAGTTTTTGGCTTGACATATTAGGTAGCTGCCATGAATTAATATTTTTAAAAACTAGTCTGGGGTTAAAGATTCCGGCTTTAGACATATAAATATCCAACTGAAAGTATAAATATGGTTTTCTTTCAGCATGGAGGTTAGAGATTTAACTGCAAATTTGGTAGTAAAGCAAGATATAGTCAATGGTTGGGCCCATCTAAGTTACTAGTATCAGCCATTGGGCCATGTAAAACAAGTGGAAAAGAGATTAAATGACAAAGAAGCAAGAACCAGAAGGGGAGGTTAAGAAACAGTGAAAGAGTCAGAAATGTAGGATATCCAGGAGTTAGTAACAGTCCAGAAATCAATGGAAGACCAATCTTAAATGAAGAAAGCATTTAAAAAATCAGGAACTATAAAAAACTTGAGTAGGATTATATTTCATAGATATTTATCATTGAACTTTGGCAACAGGTTTGGTTTCCTGAATTCAAGGAGTCTGATAATAAAAAGCCAAAGAATACACAGTGACAGTTAAGATTTTCATAGTTCTTGATTTTATTATTTGCTTCTTGGGGGATTGATCAGATTCATAAGCAGAAGGAACTGGACCAGTAAGGAAGGAGCCATGAAAGTGCATGGGAGAAGGGATGACTGGTACAGCAAAATCTGGGAGGCTTGGTGGAAAGAATAAACTACAAGATACAATAAAAAATCATTAGAATTGTAAAAGAAGAGGGATATTTCTTTCTGTAAAAATTATGGGAAAGGAGGTGAACTTTAAAGAGGATTTAACTGTGTATTGTCAGGAAAGCTGAAAGTGTTCATAATAATTTTTTTCCCTTCTGCATAGTAAGTTATCCACTCAAAGCACGAATGGTGAAGATAGGAAGCTTAAAGGAAAGAAAGGCTTTTAACAGCCATGTGATCAAGGACAGAGAAATTGACCGAAAAGAAGGAAAATGATTACTGAGCTGTGCCACTTGGTTCTTAAATTTTAGCATGCATCAGAATCAACTGAAAACCCTGTCAAAATAGTTTACCGGATGCCACCCCCAGAGATTCTAGTACAGTAAATCTGAAATGGGATCTGAAAAGATACATTTCTAACATCTTTCCAGTTGGTACAGACACTGCTGGTATAGGAACCATATTTTGAGAACCATTGCTTTTAGGTGGTATAAAGTGAATAGAAAGCATTTTCAACCAAGATAATTTCTCTGTAGTTACTTTAAAGTATGCAATTTTATCAGATTGATCTTTGTAGCAAAGGTTCATGAAATTTATGAGATTTATTTTATGCATTTTCAAGATTTCCTGACTTCATTCAGGCTCTTTTCTTGGCCTGGAATGACATTGCCTTTCTAGATCAATGATGCTTGTACACATCCTTCTTAGACCCTGCTCAAGTGCCACCTTCCTGGGAATTCATGTCACTACATCTCCCTTTGGAATTATCTGAGCTCTGCTTTTTGCATCCACATAATTTATTGGCACCTAAATCCCATTCTGTCTAGTATTGCTGTTAGCATCCAGATGTCTGTGTCACTATACCTCTAAACTGTAAGCTACTTGAGGATAGAAAGTGTCCCATTATCGTATCCCATTCCTTATAATATTTAGCACAACGTCTGGCACAGAGAGCTGTCTCATATTTTCTCTGGGATTGGAAAATAGGCATGCTATGTTTCTAATAATAAAAGACTGCTTAAGAGACTAAAATATCCAGTAAAACAGGCAGGGTAACATTAAATCAGAGAACATCAGAAAAAAATTTTGCTTAATATGATTTGCCTTTTTCCCCTTGACAGAAGTTCTTATTAAAATAACATTAGCCAAAAATATTTCTGTGCCAAAAGTAATTACGATAATGCTTCTCTGCATTTATATAGTTCTTTTTAATCTAAAGGTTCATAGTACACTTGCCTTAGCTTAGGAGGAAAGAAAAGCACTGAACTGGACTTGAACTTCTCCTTCTCTTCACTGGGCAGCCTTTTTTGTCTCCTAACATAGCTGTAGGCCCACTACTGTTGCTGATGTCTGAGTCAAGGTTTCCATGTTTGACGTCCTCATTGATTCTACTTGGGCATGGATTCAAAAGAGAAATTCCAATTAGTTTCCTCAGAGGATTAAATGCTGTTTAATCCCTCAGAGGATTGAATTCTATGTCCCTCTAGAGAACCCTGACTAGTACAGATTTTGGTACCAGGAGTGGTTCTAGAGAAACAGAATATTAAGGATGAAGTTCTTTCATTGGTTTTGGGGTTTCTGGAGTTGGCTGCTTAATATGATTAGACCCCAAAATGCTCAGGACACTACTTCTAGCACTATGGAGAACACTGATAGTCCTTGGCATGAACTGTTTAGAGATTTA
Source organism: Homo sapiens (assembly GCF_000001405.40). Taxonomy (NCBI): domain Eukaryota; kingdom Metazoa; phylum Chordata; class Mammalia; order Primates; family Hominidae; genus Homo; species Homo sapiens. Next base: position 36,529,770 of record NC_000008.11, read on the forward strand.
TGCAAAGTAAATGCATTAGACACTCCTGATTCACTGCTCCTGAGAGGGAAGGAGTTCAGTGACTCTATACATAATACTTTTGACCATACGTGGAGAACCAATGAACATAATGAAGGTGGTTGGTTGCTCCTAAGTTCAGTAGACAAAGTGATGAAAGAAAATGATAAACTTAGGGATTCTATCTCTCAGCTTCAGAAGCAGATACTGAGCCTCAGATCTGCTAAGATTGCCCTGGGTGAGAGTCTTATCTCCTATAGAGAAAGAGCTGAAATTGTGGAAAAACAGACACAAGCTCTTATCATGTGAGTGGCTGACCTGCAAGGAAAGGTGCATGCACAGCCTCACCAGATGTCTACTTTTAAAGTGAGGGCATTGATTGGAAAAGACTGGAACCCTGAAACTCAGAATGGGGATGTGTGGGAGGACTCTGATGAAGCTAGGGACACGAGTTTGTAAACTCTGTTGAACCTGTTTTGCCAGAAGAAACAACTTCCCTATCCCCAGTAGTGGCAACGTCCCCTCCCTGACTCATACTGGCATCAGCCTTTCCACCTTTGTCTGAGGAGATAAGCCCTGTGCTGCCTGAGGCAACAGTGATGTCCTCCCCTGAGGCAGTTGCCAGGCAAGATAATGTTGATTCTCCTCAGAAGCCACCCCCAACACTCTTGTTTTCTTCTAGAACTATAACTAGACTAAAGTCCTGGTGGGCTCCTAGAGGTGAGATTGAGAGTGTGACCCATGAGGAGGGGTGCTACACTCAAAAAGAACTGCTTGAGTTTTCTAATTTATATAAACAGAAATATGAACAGCAGGCATGGGAATGGATATTAAGGGTGTGGGGTAATGCTGGAAGGAACATAGAGTTGGATCAGCCTGAATTTATTGATTGGATCAGGCTGAATTTATTGAATCAGGCCCACTAAGTAGGGACTCTGCATTTAATGTTACAGCTTGGGGAGTTAAAAAAGGCTCTAATAGTTTATTTGCTTGGTTATCTGAAATATGGATTAAAAGATGGCCCCACTGTGAGTGAGCTGGAAATGCCTGATCTCACTTGGTTTAATGTAAAGGAAGGGATCCAAGGGCTTAGGGAGATTGGGATGGTGAAGTGGATTAGCCACTTTAGACCTACTCATCCCAGCTGGGAGGGTCCAAAAGATACATCCTTGACCAATGCCCTGCAAAATAGATTTGTGAGGGCAGCACCAACATCTTTGAAAGGCCCTGTAATTGCTCTTCTCTGTACCTCAGATCTAACATTGTGAACCACAGTCACTCAACTACAAAATTTAAATACAATGGGAATAATTGAATCCCAAGGTAGCAGGGGTCAAGTGGCAGCACTCAACTGTCAAAGGCAAGGTGGGCATAGCTACCATAATGAACAGCAGAGGCAAAGCGGCCATCAGAATAGTCTGACTTGTGTAGAGCTCTGGCATTGGCGAATTAATCACAGTGTTCCTTGAAGTGAAATTGATAGGAAGCCTACTGCATTCCTACTTAATTTACATAAACAGAAAACTTCTAGGTTGAACGGACAAAAGCTTAATTTGAATTATAAAAAACAGAGAATCAGGGCCCCTCAATCAATTTCCAGACTTGAGCCAGTTTACAGACCCAGAAGCCCTTGAATGAAGGGGAAGTCGAGTCCCCTTGAGGAAGGACCACACTACATTACTTGCAGCTTGTGCAGTGAATCTTTCTCCTATCCTTCCCCAAGGAGACCTCCAGCCTTTTACCAGGGTAACTGTACACTGAGGAAACAGAAATGATCAGACATTTTGGGGACTACTGGATACTGGTTCTGAGCTGATGTTGATTCCAGGAGACCCAAAATGTCATTGTGGTCCCCCGGTTAAAGTAAGGGTTATGAAGGTCAGGTAATTAATAGAGTTTCAGCTCAAGTCCTACTTACAGTGGGTCCAGTGGGTCCCCAGACTCATCTTGTGGTCATTTCCCCAGTGCCAGAATGCATAATTGACATAGACATACTTAGCAGCCTACAGAACCCCCACATTGGCTTCTGAACTGGTAGGGTGAGTGATATTATGGTGGGAAAGACAAAATAGAAGCCATTAGAGCTTCCTCTAATAGAAAAATAGTAAATCAAAAACAATATTGCATCCCTGGAGAGATTGCAGAGATTAGTGCCACCATCAAGGACTTGAAATACACAGGGGTGGTGATTCCCACCATATCCCCATTCAACTCTCCCATTTGGCCTGTGCAGAAGACAGATGGATCTTGGGGAATGGTAGTGGATTACCATAAGTTTAACCAAGTGGTGACTCCAACTGCAGCTTCTGTACCAGATGTGGTTTCATTGCTTGAGCAAATTAACAATCTCCTGGTAACTGATATGCAGCCATTGACTTGGCAAAATTTGGCCTGTGCAGAAGACAGATGGAACTTGGAGAATGACAGTGGATTATCGTAAGCTTAACCAAGTGGTGACTCTAATTGCAGCTGCTGTACCAGATGTGGTTTCATTGTTTGAGCAAATTAACAGTCTCCTGGTAACTGGTATACAGCCATTAACTTTGCAAATGTCTTTTTCTCCGTTCCTGTCCTTAAGGCCCACCAGAAGCAATTTGTCTTCAGCTGGCAAGGCCAACAATATACCTTTCCTGTCCTACCTCAGGGGTACATCAACTCTCCAGGTTTGTGTCATAATCTTATTCAGAGAGACCTTGATCGCTTTTGGTTTCCACAAGATATCACACTCGTGCCTTACATTGATGACATTATGCTGATTCGATCCAGTGAGCAAGAAGTAGCAAACATACTGGACTTATTGGTGAGATATTTGCATGCCAGAGGATGGGAAATAAATCCCATCCAGCCTTTCAGCCACCCTACCTATGTTTTTGAATTCAAGGACCTTCTAATTCAGTAAAATTTCTAAGGGTCCAGTGGTGTGGAGCCTTTCAAAATATTCCTTCTAAGGTGATGAATACTTTGCTGCATTTGGCCCCTACTACAACCAAGAAAGGGCCGCAATGCCTAGTGGGCTATTTGGATTTTGGAGGCAACACATTCCACACTTGGGTGTGTTACTCCAGCCCATTTATTGACTGAACCAAAAGGCTGTCAGTTTTAGTGGGGTTCAGAACAGGAGAAGGCTCTGCAACAGGTCCAGGCTGTTATGCAAGCTTGTCTGCCACTTGGGTGCTTGAGGTGTCAGTGGCAGATGGTGATGCTGTTTAAAGCCTTTGGCAGGCCTCCATAGGTGAATCAGTGTCTTCATTTTATTTCCTTTCTCCTTTTTCATGTGACATAACATTTATTGACTTCACGTTAGCATTTAATATGTATATTTAATATGTATATCTATTAATTATGTAATAGAATTTGGGTTGGGGATTGGTGCGTTTCCAGTTGTATGAAGGACAGTTGTATTATGTTAGGCATAATTATGACTTTATTATTGTCTTTATTTGAAGATTATGTATGATCTCAGAAGATGTGTATGGGTTCAAGTCGACAAGGGGTGGACTTGTGATAGTTAACATTGTGCGTAGCCTCCCAGCCTACATCTTTCTGCCACGCTGTATGGGACGTTGTGATCATGTGAGTTAATACTTAAACTCTTGTCCCTCTAGAGAATCCTGACTAACACAACTGTGGTACAATAAACTCTATATTTGGTCTTGTCCTCTTGCTATTGGCATGAGTTTCAAAAATCCTTGAAATTTCCAGAGTGATAGGAATGTCTTTTATACAATAATGAAGTGACTCATGGCAGCTCCTAGATACCTTCATGATGGGGATGGGGACTGGTCACCAAAAAGACCAGACACATGATTAGAGGGTTGGAACTTTCAGCCACGCTACCTCTGGGGAGGGGAGGGGGCTTGGAAATGAAGCTCAATCACACAAGCAATACATAATTTAATCAATCATGTCTACATAGTGACATGATTTACCCCAGTAAAATCTCGACACCAAAGCTCAGCAGAGTTTCCTGTTTGGTGGATCACAGATGTGGGGAAGTGGTGACATGCCTGGATTCCACCAGGGGAGGAAAGGGAAGCTTTGCGCTTCCTCTCTGATCCCACCCTGTAAGTGTCCTATTACTACAACACTGTAATAGTAAGTGTAGCATGCTCAGTGAGTTTTGTGAGTCGTTCTAACAAATTATCAAATCTGAGGTGGTTGTAGGAACTCCCAAATTTATATCCAGTCATTCAGAAGAGTAGGTGGCCTGGGTACCCCACTTGTGGCTGGCATCTGAAGTGAGTGCAGTATTGTGGAGAACAGAGTCCTTAACTCATGGAGTCTGCCCTAAGTCCAGGTGGTTTGCATCAGAACTGAACTGCAGTATGCTCCAGTTAAGGTTTATGTAGGGAGAACTCTCTCTAATCATGTTTTTCCTCTATTCTTATGCCACGACAATCATTAACCCAGACGAAGACTTCTGTCACCAAATGTATAGGGATTTTTCCTCCACACACCAAGCGGTGGACACCAGCTGAGTGTCCTTTCATGTAGTTCTGACACTATCTGCAGATAGCATCAGGTCCAACTGATTGAAGGCTCAGTCCTACAAACTGCCCCTTCCCACATACCAATAGCAAGTCTAGGCCTCAGGAACTTCTGGCCGACTACTGGCTTCCAGTTGAGATTTCCATGACCCCCTCTTTGGGTTTGATTAATTTGCTGGAGTGGCTCACAGAACTCAGGGAAACACTTACATTTACTGTTTTACGATAAAAGATATTACAAAGGATACCGATGAAGAGATGCACAAGTCTAGTGATGAGAAAAGGGGCATGGAGTTTCAAAGCCCTCCCAGGGTGCCACCCTTCAGGAAGCTCCATGTGTTCAGCTATCTGGAAGCTCCTGGAACCCAGTATGGAAGTTCTGGAATCCCAGTATGGAAGAGTCATGATGTCAGCATTCCTTCCTCCAGGGTGTAGGGTGGGATTCTCTCATCAGAGGGTCTTAAGACTCACAAAAAGAAAGATGGGAAACATTAGAGTCCTTTTTGGGAGGCAGGAGAAAGGAGGGAAGAATGTCAGAGACCTGCCCTTGAGGTCTAACATATCCAATATTATAGCAAAATACCGTAACAAGGGCTATGGGAATTATGAGCCAGGAACTGTAGATAAAAAACAATATATATCATTACACCACAGGGTTGAAACAGAACAATGATACAGTCAGTGAGATCTGACTAGCTTCTCCCTCAAGTTTCCTCTCATTTCTGCACCAAGGACACAGCTATTGCCAGGGCACTCCTAAGAGAGTCATGTCTAGAACATCATGTCCATTTGTTCTGTGATGCATAGCCCAGAACTGAATGAGATCAGAATGAACTCTACTTGCTATTACATTGTCCATGAATTATTAACTAGCTCTTTGAAAGCCTTTTAAAAAAAAAAAAAAAAAAAAAAAAAAAAAAAAAAAACCATCCAGCAGGGATGTCTCAAAGTCTACTGGGTAGACCTCCTGCATGAGAATCACCCAGGGCACTTGTTGAAACGACAGATTCCAGAGACTCAACCATGAACTGCTGAATCTTAATTTGGGATGGAGAGATAAATCAAAATTAGCATCTTAAAAAAGCTCCAGCATTGATTCTTATATACAATTATGATTTGAAAAAACCTTTTGGTATACCTGATTGTCTCAATAAGACTGAAAAATAGTCTCCTTGCTTCTTTGAGATATTGAGCCCCAGAGGCATGCAATACTTTTTTTTCCCTTTGATCTGGATTTTGGTTTTTAAATTAAAAAAAAAAATAGCAAGAAGGAGATGTGCTATCAGTTGTCCAAAATAACAAAACATTTATCTGATTATAGGATAGTTTGTCATTGGACAGTTGCCTATGCATAGTAAAATCTGAAACTCCAGTTGAGTCTACCTTGGATGTTACAGGTTGTCAGACCCTTGCATGTGGTCCTGGGCTTGGACTTGGGCTGACCAGCCAAATAGGTAATAACTTAGAATGCAACCTAAAGGGACCAAAAGATTATATACTTCAAGAACCTTAAGTCACAAGACAGAATACACACATACTTGCATAGCTTTAGCTTAAAGTTTTTATCTTTTGTGAATTTCAAATGCCAGGAAACAGTGGTGTGGAGGTGGAATAACTGGTCATTTATGAAAAATATCTTAAGGTTGCAAAATTTGATAGAGTGAAGGGAGGGAAATATTTCAATCCAAGGGCACTAGGAAAGGATAATCAGGAAAGGGAAGTGACAAGAAGTAAGAGGCTGGAGGAACAAAATATATATAAAGGAAAGTAAACTCAAGCTTTGTCATGTTCACAATTGTGTCCCAGGCTAGCTTATGTATGGGTCATGGATTGAGATGACTTGGTAAAATTAGATGAAAGGAAAGGGGTATAAGAGAGAAAACTGAGACAAGCACTATGAAAGCAATCACACAGATATCTAGGCCCTCCAGTACTTCTCAAGGAGATAGGGGTCAATAATTCAGCTAAATGGGCATGGGAGCTGATAGGTCCATTAGGAGACTCAGGTCCACAAGATGCTTAAGGATGCATAGGAGAGAAATATTTGGTCAAAGAAAAAAGAAAAGCCCCTATATTTGATTTCAAAAAGCTCTGATGTTTATCAAGGTTATCTTTTAGTTTAGTGTAGGTAAGTATGGGATCTAATACTATCAGGGGAACCAGCCCCCAATATTTCAACGTAGTTTCTTTCTATTTTCCCTAAGTGTAGCTGGTCTGAGAAATAAAGAGAAAGAGTACAAAGAGAGAAATTTTACAGCTGGGCCTCCGGGGGTGCCATCACATATTGGTAGGACCGTGATGGCGACCCCGAGCTGCAAAACCAGCAAGTTTTTATTAGGGATTTTAGAAGGGGAGGGGAGGTACGAACAGGGAGTAGGTCACAAGGATCATATGCTTATGCTTCAAAGGGCAATAAAGATCGCAAGGCAAGGCAAAATTAGAATTACTGATGAAGGTCTATGTCCCGCTGTGCACACATTGTCTTGATAAACATGTTAACAGGAAGCAGGGTTCAAGAGCAGACAACTGGTCTGATTAGAATTTACCAGGCTGGAATTTATCAGGCTTACTAGGATGATAGTAAGCCTGAGGGTACTGCAGGAGACCAGGGCGTATTTCAGTCCTTATCTCAACCACATAAGACAGACACTTCCAGAGCGGCTGTCTACAGACCTACCCCCAGGAATGCATTCCTTCCCCACAGTTATCAATTATTAATATTCCTTGCTGGAAAAAGAATTCAGTGATATTTCTCCTACTCACATATCCCTCTATAGGCTCTCTGCAAGAAGAAAAATATGGCTCTATTCTACCTGACCCCACAGGCAGTCAGACCTTATGGTTATCTCTCTTGTTCCCTGAAAATTGCTGTTATTCTGTTCTTTTTCAGGGTGCACTGATTTCATATTGTTCAAATACACATATTTTACAATCAGTTTGTACCATAGTGGTCCTGAGGTGACGTACATTCTCAGCTTATGAAGATAACAGGATTAAGAGATTAAAGTAAAGATAGGCATAAGAAATTATGAGTATTGTTTGGGGAAGTGATAAATGTCCATGAAATCTTCACAATTTATGTTCAGAGACTGCAGTAAAGACAGGCATAAGAAATTATAAAACTATTAATTTTGGGAACAGATAAATGCCCATGAAATCTTCACAATTTATGTTCTTCTGCCTCGGCTCCAGCTGGTCTCTCCATTTGGGGGTCCCTGACTTCCTGTAACAAATACAAAGCTCATTTAAAGTTTTCAATTTAAAAAAATATGTAATTGAGTAAGAAAATTATGATACAAAGAAGCACAACAGAATATATGTGCAATGTGTGGCCCACATCCTGATTTACATTATTGTCCCTCTGAATATGTGTAGCATGTGTGTGTGTGTGTGTGTGTGTGTGTGTGTGTGTGTGTGTGTATATATATACACATCATATATATATGATATATATAATTTTTTTTCCTCTCATCTGGATTTTGGTTTTAAATTAAAAAAATAGCAAAATGAGTCTTGCTATAAGAATATATATATATATATATATACACATATATATATACACACACACATATATATATATATGAATGGCGGTGCTTTATGTAGAAATGCTAAGCAGGTGATGCAATGCAAAACCTTAATATGAAACATGCTTCCTTCTCAAAGTTTCTGGTATAGCTCCAGGTGGCTCTGATGCATTCCACACCAGACAAGTTTAAAACATTGTAACAATTAAAAAGGGTGAATGATGTCATTGGTTTGGGTTTGGATGAAGTAAAAAAATAAAGCTGTCTCACAAAGATTTGGAAGATGATGCTAAACATAATTTAGATTTTTATGGAGCAGGAATTCTGAAGCAAAATCAAATGTTTAGAGAAGAAAAAAGCTAGAATCTAACACACATTTTTTTTCTTTTTTTTATTAACACCTCTATCTGTTCTCTCATTCTTAATTATCAGTGCTGTTGTGGCTGACCTATTTATGTTTACCTCAACTCTATCCAGAGTTTCTGTTGCTCATATCCTCAAGCCACGTTAACTTATTTGTAATTCTACATGTCACTGTCCCCAGGACATAAGAAAAACATCAATGTGGTGGAAAAAGCATGAGCTTGGAATAGATCAACTCATAAGCCTCAATTCATAATATAAGGTTTGCTGTAGTCTTGAAATCTTCAATACAGAGGATATAAAAATATGAAAAAGGAAAAGTACAGACCAATCTCATTACATGAACAGATACACGAACACTGTAAAGGAATTATTGGCAAGTTGTACATATCCCAAGGATGCAAAGTCATTTACACAAATTCCAATTAATGGACTCACCAAAGTATCAGTTTGGAGCAGAAAAATCAAATGACCGTCAACGGATGCATTGTATTGGGCAAATTCAACGTCTATTTGTAACAAAACAACAAAATACAAATGTCCCTGGAAGTATAGCATCTGTTTTTGGTGCCCACGTGTTCTGGTTCTCACTTGAGCCCACTCAGGCCAGACTTCCACCTGCTGGCATCTGCCTATGAGCTTTCTCTGGCTTTGTAGCCCAAAAGTGCTAGAAAATGAGCCCCCCTGCAACCCCCACAGCCCTGCCCTTGGCAGCCTTCAACCCAAGGCTCCTTGCTCCCTCATCTCTCAGTTTGAATAACTCTAAGGAGTGGGTTGTACACTGGCTCCCCAAGTTTCCCCAGCTGGATTAAGGAACGGTTGCCCACAGTAGTAGCTGGGTTTATCAGACACTTTTTATTAGTTTTCTTCTCTTCTCTAATTTACTTACCATTCCCTTTGTGGTTTTTCCCAGGATCTTCTCTCAAATAAACTATTGCATTGACAACGTTGTTTCAGGGCCTGTTTCTGGGGCAAACTAGGGCAACAAGCTAAGGCTAGAGGGAAACTTCTTTAATTTCATAAAGAATATTAAAGAAAAAACAGCAAATATCATACTTAATGATGAAATATTGAACTTATTCTTTGTACCAGCCAAAATAAATCAAGTGTGTCCACTATCACAACTTCAGCTCAGCTTCACACCAAAGGTCCTAGTTAAGTGCAGCAAGGCAAAATAAATAAGCAAAAGGTTAAAAGAACTGTAATAATTTGAAAGGAAGAAAACCTGTCATTATTTGCAGATGACATAATTGCAGAAAAAATATACAACAAATTATTTGAATTGTGATAATATTTTAGCAAGGTCGTTGAATACAAAATCAATATACAGATGGCCCCCAATTTACAATGGTCCTTTTTGACTTTACACAATCATTCTCTTGGGAGGTTAACTCCATTGTAAGTTGAGCAGCATCTGGACTTAACAACGGTTCAACTTATGATTTTTCAACTTTATGATGGGTTGAAATGTTTTTGACTCACAATGTTTTTGACTTACAATGGGTTTATCGATGTAACCCCAGTCATAAGTTGAGGAGTATCTATATACAAATCAACTGCAAAGGCAGTGCTCAGGGACAAAAACAAACAAACAAAAAACAAACAAAACAAAACTCCACAATTAATTACAAGGTATGTCAAAGGGACACAGGGGCTAAGTGAAAGAGCTCCCAGTGGCCAAAGATGGGATGATTTTAGCAACAATATAAATAAAGAAGTATATGATTATAACCCAAAGTATAAATTTAACATCCATGAGTCCATAATAATATGAATAAATGATTAAATAAACACAAATTAATAAAATGAAGGAGAAGAGAGAAGCCTCTTGCTAAGAAGAATTCCAAATGATTTATGTAGCTATTCTGCCTCCAATAAGGTGGAACATAACTCCCCACTCATTAGATCTGGGCTGTGCATGGTGACTTCCTTCTAAAGACTACAGAATGGGAAGGGGGTGGGGGCAGTCACTTTACAGTGGAGAAACCTGACAAACAGCATCTCGGATGGGTGATCAAGGTCAACATCCACAATATGTACCCTTGATAAAATGTGATAAAAATGGCACTTTACTTCTGTGGCCTTTCTTCCCAAGCCCATAATCATGAGAAAAATATCTTACAAACCCCACAGTGGATTCTACCAAGTACCTAACCAGTACTCTTCAAAACTGTCAAGTCAACAAATAATAAAACTCTCAGAAACTCTTAACACTAATTGAAGGCTAAGGAGGCAGGTAGGGCAAATGTAATGTGGTATTCTGATGAGACTCTAAAACAGACAAAAGACATTAGGTAAAAAGTAAGGGCATTTGAATAATAACATCAATACTAATAATGTATTAATACTGATTTATTAATTGCAATAAATGCATTATACTAATATAAGAAGTTAACAATAGGGGAATTTGGTACAAGATTTATAGGAACACTGAACTATCTTCATGATATTTTTCTGTAAATCTAATACTGTTCTAAAAAATAAAGCTTATTGAAAAAGAATAAAAAAATCAATTGCAACTAGATACATGCTCAACAAAACATTTATAAAAGTAGTTATTAAAACATAGCTTTCACTTTGGTTTCAAATAAAAAGAAAGTAAAGTACCAAGGAATTAATCAAGCAATATATGTGCAAAATTTGTATTGAGAAAATTATATTAAAGACTTTTTTCAAAGACTTAAATGAATAGAAAATCATACCACATGCATGGTCCGCAAATTAATAACAAAAAGCAATATCTTAAGGATATAAATTCTTGCCAAATTGCTCTAGTGATGTGATTTAATTCTAGTCAAAACACCAACAGATTTTTAGAGGAATTTAATGAGGCAATTTTAAAATTTATGAAGAAAATCAAAGGTACAAGAATAGTAAGACATTGCTTAAAAAGAGCAAAGTAATGAGATTTGGCCTACCAGATATCAAGTATTACTAGAAACTGTAAAAATTAAGGTAGCATAGAACTGTCACAGAACAAACTAAAAACACAGAATAGGAAGCCCAGAAACACATCCAAACATATATGGACACTAGATTTAGACAGAACCAGTGCTGTAGAGCCTTGAGAAGAAATAGATGGACAATAAATAGGACTGGGATGACCGGTTATCTACATAGAATAACATAAGTTAATTGGACTGCTGCATCACAGTATGAGCAAAAAATTACCTCTAGCTGGATTAAATACAGAAATGGAAAATGCAAAACTATAAAACTTTCGGCAAAATAATTTTTTGGCTTTGAATTAAGGAAGATTGCCTCTGTGTACAAAGCATAAAGGGAATGATTGATAAATATGAATTTATTAAGATTCAAAACTTGTGTTCTTCAAAAGTCCACATAAATAAATAACCTCACAATCCATAAGCAGGATGAATTTATTTGCAATAGACAAAATGACAACATTTAATATCCAGAATGTATATAAAAAAAAGCCTACAAGTAGATAATAAAAAGGCAAATTAATAGAAAAAGAGGGCAAAAATAGGCAATGAATAGGCATTCACAGAAAAGCAATGCCAGCAAACATAGATTAAAAGACGTTCAATCATCAATAATCAGGGAAATCCAATTTAATTAATTTATTAAAATTAAAATTAAATTGGAAATTCAATTAAATTAAAACTTCAAGATATCATTTCGAACCAATCATATTAGTACAAACTAAAAATGGATAACAACATCAAATACTGACAAGGACACAGGGGAAGCTGAATAATTGTGCATTGTTATTCAGTATAAGTTGTGGTATAAATTGCACCATTGGCTTGGGAAAACAATAAGGGATTATCTAACAAACCAAAAATGTGTAAACCTTGTGACCTCATGACACTCTCAGATATACTCTGGGGGACATGTACACGTTCTTGTCAGTGTCTTTTTTAAAAATTTAAAAAATAATTTCAACTTTTATTTTAGGTTCAGGGGGTACATGTGTAGGTTTGTTACATGGGGATATTGTGTGATGCTGAGATTTGGGGTATGAGTGATCCCGTTACTCAGGTAGTGAGCATAGTACCTGAGCACTCTTTTAAATAACCAAAAAAAGGAAAACACAAATATTCATCAGAAGTAGAATGAATAAATTAGGGTAAGGTTTTTTAATGGAATATTATACAATAGTAAAAAGAAATTAAATACAGCTTCATTCAATGCCATGGTGAATTTCAGGAACAAGATAAAAACACAGTTTGATTCAATTTATTTAAAGTTGAAAAAGATGCATATCTAAACAATGCTTTATTCATGAATATAAGCAAATATAAAACTATGAAGGAACGGTCCAAAATAGAAGGGAAGGGGATGAAATGTGAAAGAACACTCATGGGAACATAAAGTTTAAAGTAGAGAGGAGGCCAGCAACATGGTGGAAGAGGAGGTCCCAGGCTCTACACTCCCAACAGGAAGATCAACTAGCAACTAGCCACAGACAAAAACACCTATGAAAGCCCCAAAGTGTGGGAATGAATACGAGTCATCTTCATGTTCCATGAAACTGAATGAAAATCCTCATTGAGAGAACAGGAGAAATGGTCTGTTTGACTGTACCTCTCCCCCTCTCCCAGGTTGCACAGTGCCATAGAGAGGATTCCCCAGAACCCACAGTTTTTACAGCAGGAAAAGAGAACCAAGGAGGCAGACATCTAGCTTCCGTGGCATTCTGAGATGCTTCCCAGGGAGTCTACTCTATTCTCACCTCATGGTGGATGGGGAACATAGGAGGAAATTGAATGGCCACCTGGGGTCAGCTAGAAACAAAGCAATGAGTGGCAGTGTGCAGATTTTGCTGAAAGCTCAGTGTACCTGCCAGCAAGGTGCTCAATCTTAGGCACCAGGTCACAGCATCGCTCACCCTCAAAGCCGAGCTGGCTGCTCCCGGAAGAGATGGAAATTGCTATCGGGCTTGAATCTCTACTCATCCAGCCCCCAGGCCCAGCTTAGGCCCTTCCCTGAGACTTCACCCAGGGAGGGAAAAGACCTCCTGTAGCAAATCTCAGCCAAAAACAGGCACTAGTTTTGTCACACTTGGAAGTTTAATCAGTGCTCCCACCCCAGCCCCATCAAGGGAGGGAGGGAAAACTCAACCATACATTTGTACTGAGCATAGTAGTGGGTCTATCCATCCCAATCCATTTAACCTCAGAGTCCCTCCTGAAACCCTGACCAACTGCTGAACTCAAAGAGCAGTTCATTTTGGCCAGGGAATACACTCTATGGCCAGCCAAACCAGAGGCAATTGCAGTGCCCATAGAGCAGCTCAGCTCAGCACGGGGTCTTGCGGGATAGCAGAGTCCAGCTGGCTGGCTACCTCACCCAAATTTAGAGTGAAGAGAGCAGCCCAGTCATCTAGAAAACCTGAAAGCAATTCTGTTTGCCCAGGGCCATTACCAGGTGGCCCACCCAGAATCACAGGTTAGACTAACTAGCGTATGTCTATCCCTGCCAAAGTACTGTAAAAGGCCCCAAAGAGTGGCTGTCTCTACAAATGTGTAAACACCAATTCAAAGAGAAGAGGATTACAAAGATTCAGAAAGTCATGATACCTCCAGAAGAAACTAACAAAGTTCCAACAATAAACCCTAAAAGAAGGGAGATCTATGAAATGACATTTTTCATAGATAAAGAAAAAATAATTCTAGAATTTATATGGAACCACAAAAAACTCCAAATAGTCAAGGCAATCATGAGCAAAAAGAACAAGGCTGGGGGCATCATATTACTTGATTTCAAAATATACTACAAAGTGATAGTAATTAAAACAGTATGGTACATGCATAAAAACAGACACATTAACAAATAGAACAGAACGGAGAACATAGAACTGAATCCATGAATCTATGGCCAGTTGATTTTCAACAAAGGTGTCAAGAATATACAATGGGACAAAAACAATCTCTTCAATCAGTGGCATTGGGAAAACTGGATATCCATATGCAAAATAATGGAATTGGATCTTTGTCTCACACCAAAAACAAAAATCAACTCAAAATGGATTAAAAAGACTTAAACATAAAACCTGAAAGTGTAATACTACCAGAAGAAAACATAGAAGAAAAGCTACGCAACATTGGCCTAGGCCATGATTTTTTAGATTTGACCCCAAAAGCACAGATAGCAAAAGCAAAAAGAGGCAAATTAGATTACATCAAAAGAAAAAGCTTCTGCACAAGAGAGGAATCAAGAGAGAAGAGTTTAGCTATAACTGAGAGAAAATCTGTGTAAGCCATGAGTCTGATAAGAGATTAATATCTAAAAAATATAAACAATCCAAACAACTCTATAGAAAGAAAATAATCAAATTAAGAAATGGGCAAAGGGGCTGGGCATGGTGGCTCACACCTGTAATCCAAGCACTTTGGAAGGCCAAGGTAGGGGGAATCACTTGAGGCCAGGAGTTCGAGACCAGCCTGGCCAACATAGTGAAAACCCACCTCTGCTAAAAATACAAAAATTAGCCAGGCGTGGTGGCACACACCTATAATCCCAGCTACTCAGGAGGCTAAGGCAGGAGAATTGCTTAAACCTGGGAGGCAGATGTTGCAGTGAGCTGAAATCCTGTCACTGCATTCTAGCCTGGGTGACAGAGTGAGATTCTGACTCAAAAGGAAAAAAAAAAAATGGTCAAATGACCTGAACAGACATTTCTCAAAAGAAGACATCTAGCTAACAGATACATGGAAAAATGCTCAACCTCACTAATCGTTAGAGAGCTATAAATTAAAATCACAATGATGTATCAACTCGGACCTCTTACAATGGACGGCTATTATCAAAAAGATGAAAAATAACCTGGCAGGGATGTGGAGAAAGGGGAGCCCTTGTACACTGTTGGTGGGAATGCAAATTAGTGCAACCATTATGGAAAACTGGATGAAGCTTCTAAAAATAAAATTACCATATGATCCAGCAATCCCACCTCAGGGTATCTACCTGAAATACTTAATATCAGCACAGGAGATTCTGCATGCCCATGTTCATAGCAGCATAATATACAATAGCCAAGTTATGGAATAAACCTAAGCGCCCATCAACAGATAAATAGATAATGAAAACATGGAATGTATACATGATGGAATACTATTCAGCCTTAAAATGAGAAGAAATTCTGTCATTTGTGACATGATGGTATTGGAAAACATGGTGTTAAGCAAAATAAGCCAAACACAAAAAGACAAATACCCCCATGTCCTCACTTATATGTGGAATCTAAAACAATTGAACTCGAGAAGCAGAGAGTGGAATTGTGGTTACCCCAAGCTGGGGGACTGGGTAGAATGGAGAGATGACAGTCAAAGGGTACAAAGCCTTGGTTAGATAGGAGGAGTAAGTTTGATTGATTTTATTTCATTTTTTGAGATCTATTGCACAGCATGGTATTCATAGCTAATAATTGAGTACTGTACATTTTAATATCACTAAAAGAATAAATCTTAGTATTCTCATCACAAAAAATGTCAAATACTTGAGATTATGGATAGATTATTTACCTTGATTTAATCATTCTACATTGTATTCAAAAAATCATAACATCACTTTGCATGCCTTAAATATATACAAGTATAATTTGTCAGTATAGACTGAAATAATTAAAAAATTGAAAAATAAGGATTAAGGCAATATTTTATTTATAATACTGAAGCATAAATATTTGGGTGATTTTTATATAGCTGATCTTTGTTTCTGGCAGATTTTTCTAAAATACTCTTTTGTATCTAAACACTTTCTTAAATTAAAAAGAGAAATTGAAACATATGGGTGGAACAGCTTGAACTTTGGAGTCAAAGTTCTTTGAGCTCTATTTTCAACAGTCTCATTCACTAGTGGAAACTGAGCAATTCACTTAACCTATGATTCCTCATCCTTAACATAGTAATAATACAAATAGGCACCTAATTGCAGGTCTTGTGTGGAAAAGACATAAAAGCAGAATATGAAATCACTTTACACAGTGCCTATTGCTGACTCGACATTCAATAGATGTTAGATTGTTTCACTTGCTCACCCATTCACTCATTCCTTCATTCATTTTTCATTCTTCAAGTATTAAAGAATAAAAATCAAGTTAATCAACTAATGAAGGTAATCAAAGTTAGAAAGATAGACTGTCATCTATCTCTCCTCATGTAATTTGTATATTTTCATTTAGGTTTTCTAGAGACAATACTTCTATCTCATTAACAACTTTAGTAGGAAAGTGTCATCTGAAGAATGACGAGGTTTATAAGCTTGGAAAGCAGAGCTTTGTTTCTCATGAAGGATTGAAGCCTCCAGGATGGCCATTCTCACAGGCTGAGAAGCACCGCCTTTGGCCAGAAGCCAGAAACAGACATTTCGAGGGAAGGGCTAAAGGAATGGGAATTTATGCAGAACAGAGTAACCACATATACATATGCAATTAGCTATGGGAGAAGTCATGAATATTTATGAAAGGAGAACCGTGTGTGTGTGTGTGTGTGTGTGTGTGTGTGTGTGTGTGTGTGTGTGCAATTGAGCTTCATTCCCCTTTATGGGACCCATACCCATGATCTGAGCTGAGGGTGGAGTTTTCAGCCTTCTGATGTCAAAAGGTGAAGCAGAGAACACAAAAACCCTTATTGCGCATTCTCAGGAGACTGGCCAGAACCTCTCTAAGGTCAGTGGTCAATTATCACCCAAAAAACGAGGGACAGCATCAGGTGGTTGGCTGACACTAGTGGTGGAGTCTTTTGAAAGGGCTGGGCCAGGCATGGTGGCTCACTTCTGTAATCCCAGCACTTTGGGAGGCCGAAGTGGGAGAATCACTTGAACCCAGGAGTTCAAAACCAGCCTTGGCAATATAGGGAAGACCCCCTCTCTACAAAAAATGTAAAACATTAAATAAAATTTGCTGGCTGTGGTGGTACGTGCCTGTAGTCCCAGCTACTCAGGAGGCTGAGGCAGGAGGATCACTTGAGCCTCAGGTTGAGGCTGCAGTGAACTGTGATTACACTGCACTCCAGCCTAGGTGACAGAGAAAGACCTTGTATAAAATGAAACAGAATAAAATAAAAACAAAAGATAAAAAGAAAGGGTTGGTTTCTGTTTAGTTCTTAGGGAAGTAAGCCTAATCGTGATTAGTGAAAAAGGGGGTATAACAAAGCCTGTCCCACCTCCTGTCCTGTCATGGCTGAGATCTCAGTTTTCAAGGTTCCTCTGGTGTCCCTTTGGCCAAGAGGAGGTCCATTCAGTTGGTTGGGGGGCTTAGGATGTTATTATTGTTTCTCAAAAGTAAAGTTAGGGACTAGGAAGACAGATTTTTGTCCCTAGTCATTTTGGTAAAACTGAAGCTACACCTTGCAAACAACTTGTGAAAACTAGCAGAGTGGCATGGGAAAATAGATGCACACTTGAGCTTATTCTGCAGCTCAGCCTTTGGCTTAAGCAAGTTTTTAAAAATTTCCATGCTTCATTTCTTCATGTACAAAGTGGGGATAATATTTCTTTCACTGCAAGTTTGTGATGAGGAATGGAGATAATATATGCACAATGCCCAGTACAGTGTCTGACACATACTGGGAGCTCAGCAAGGGGTGAAGGTTAGTAGCTGTTCTATCTAAACAGTGATGCAGCTTATAAGCATTTTGTTATTTTATAGCACAGAAATCTTGTATCTATTTTTAAGTTATGCTGTAAAAGCATAGTAGATTGCAGTGGAGTGATTAAGAACTCAGATACTGGTCAGATCTGACTTAGAGTCAGATGGCCTCTATTTAAATCCTGACTATACTAATTACTAGCCAGGTGACTTTGGGGAGGAGTCTTAAACTTTCCATGTTTCCTCATTAGTAAAGTAAAAACAAATAATGAGATAATAGATGTAAAGTGCATAGAGCATATATAGACATATATATATGTGTGTGTGCGTGTGTGTCAATAAATTTTAGCAATAAATGTTAGTTGATTATTCTTGATAATATTTCAATTACTGGCTGGGTGCAGTGGCTCATGCCTGTAATTCTAGCATTTTGGGAGACTGAAGTGGTAGGATTACTTAAGACCCAGAGTTTGAGGACAGCCTACGCAACATATCAGGTCACCTTAAATAATCCACTTGGAAAATAACCTCAGGATAGGACTGTGGTTTTGAACAAACTCTGCGGGAATGCAACATCACTTCAATGTAAATTGGGTTCTAAGATAACCATATTTATTTCCTTGAAACTCTTCTCTGAAGTACAACTATGCATTTATCTTTAAAAGTTGTCTTTTAAACAAAAATAAGAAACACAAACCAGAGTTCCCTTAAGCCAACTGTAATGAGCAATTCAGGATTGTAAAGTTGCCAAGCAGACACCCATACCTCTGACAGAGGTGACAGAGGACTCAAGGGGGTCCCATTTCTACACCCCAGGAGCACAACGGGATGCTCTGTTGCCATGACTATGAAGGTCAGAACTCAGCCTGCTGCCCATGGTACCAAAGATCATGATTCTCTCTTCGTGCATGGCTGTTCCCAATAGCCTGCACAAAGACGTGTCTGCAGTTGCCACTTCTATCCATCTGTCTACTTTTAGCAGGTACTTTAACAAATACTTTGTTTTTCTCTCTCCTTTATTTATTTTTTCTTTTTTATTTTCTTTTCAGTGTTGTAGAGTTAGAGTTATTATTTTTTTCTCTTTTTCTCACACAATTCCTTCTCTGTAGATACAAAGTCCAAATCCCTAGCCGTTGTAATTATTAGCATATTCCTGGAGAAAATTGCAACAGTCTACATTAAAGGACTCCCTGCAGAAATTTACACAGTAGGTATACAATTTCTCTTGAAATAAAAGGCACTCAGAACAGTGAGGGGTTTAAAACAAGAGAAGAAACGGGGAACAAACAGAGCTTTGAGGAACAGCAGGGAGATTTGCAGTGGTCAACAGCAGATAGTCAGGTTGAATTATTTGGATAATTAGTCTTTGTTAGCAAATTGGAGAAAATTACAATGCCACTGTAAGATGTTATAATGTGCCCACAGCCTGGTAGTATTAAGAATCAGGTCTGACCCAGTTCCAAAAGGTTTGGATCTCATTTTGAATATTCTATAGTAAAAAATAAATTCTAAGCCTGTGAGCTCTCTTCAAAATGTTTCCAAAACTTAATCACATTTGCACTTAGTAGAGGTGATCCTGATGTCACTGTGGATCCTTTAGCACGAGGTATATCTTTAAGGACCTCTCTATCAAGAAACTTTCAAGATGAAAGCAAGGAGACACAATGGCAAATGGCAGAGTTAATTTCAATATTCTCTTCCTCAAGATGATGGAAAATATGAAAGCCAGGTTTACTATTTTTATGTTTCAGAAACCCAAGTAGAGAATGTAAACGGTATCAGTAAAAGGAACTTAAAATTTATCTTAAAAAGAAAAATGCAAATCTTAAAAAAAAAGCCCCTTCCCTTGACATGCATCTGGGAAAATCCATTTCTTATTTTCTAGATTTTTGAGCACCTGTGTACAAGTCACTTGTGAAGGACAATGAAATGCATTCCATGAATTAGTACCAAGGAAAAATTCTGATCTGATTAGAATGTTTGCTACTTCTCCAGGACAGGAAATGTACAGAGTGGGCTGAGATGAAGAGGATAGCAGAAAAAGAAAATTAACAAGGCTGGTTCTAAGGACATGGGTAGTTTGTTTCCTGAGAAGCAAATTTATTTTTCGAAGGAGATTTAAAAGTTTGTCACATTGCCTATGCAACACCAGACTAAGTTTCATGCATACATTTGTGCAATATACACACATACACAGGAATGACATTAGAAAAGAGACAAATGGACTCATTTCTATTGGCTGGAAGTTATCCTCAGACCTATCTCAGAGCATGCTGCTTTGAAATTGTCACTACCACTTAACTATAATATGAAAAATGATTTAAAATACAAGAATTAGGTAAAAGGATTTGCAGCATCTTCTTTCAATCTTACACTGAGGCAGTGTTTAACAGTATCAACCAAAGATCATTTATACTAGGGGAATACGGTTGGTTTGACCCACTGTTTTCTACTGAGTAAAAACTTAATACACTATATGTTAACTTACAGATTTTGGTGCAGTAGAAATGTGAATAGCTTCCGTTAGGGAGAAAGGATGACCCCCAAGCAGGGTTGCCTGTGGAACCCTAGTTGGGCTTGCTTTATCCTATTATTCTTGCACTAATGTTGTTTCAAAATGCCCATAAAAATCCAAATTCTCAAAATGCCCTTTGGACCAGACTTACCATCTTAATGGTTTTCTCATGTTAAGTTAAGTTTAGCCTAAAGCTGCCTCCTTACATATTTTAAGTTCAGCCTAGGTTTTTCTGTACATCGTAAACTGTAACAAGTAGAAGTATAAACAGGCCATAGCCTACTCTTGTGCCAATCACTGAGTTTTGGCTGATCAAATGTGGCCAAATGTTCAAACCATGTTCAAATAAGGCAGATGCCAAGCTATAACCAATCCAGCTGTACTTCACATTTGTTTTGTCACTTTCCTTTTTCTGTCCATACATCTTTTTCCACACGTGGCTGCTAGAGTCTCTGAGCCTACTCTGGCTCGGGAGACTGCCTGATTCACAAATCGGTTCTTTGCTCAATTAAACTCTTTTAAATTTAATTCGGCTGAAGTTTTTCTTTTAACACTTATTAACTAATGAATTAAATAAAATCTTTGAAATATTCTCATATAATATTTGTATGAGTCATACTTTTAAGTTTTTGGAAATTATTACACTTTGTCTTTAAAAAGCCACTGGTAAGCCCCACACCACTCAGGAAGATGAGGACAAACCAGGTGAGTAAATTTACAAGACAAGTCTTGTGGCTAAAAATACCTTGCAGTGATCTTGTTGGATAATGAATCATTTTTCTGTCTTATACATAAAAGGAAATGTCATGTCCCTGACCCAGTTACTTGCTTCACCCAAAGATACCAACACAATTGAAGTAATGAACAGCTGGCATCATTAAAGGGAGAGATAGAGGGCTTGATCTTGGATAAGCAATCTAAAAATGTCATACTCTCTGAATCTTAGAACACAGCCAAATTCTAAAAATATAAAATAATAACCATAGCAATCAAAAGTAAATTGAAAAAAACAAAGTACATTGGTCAGTCATTCTAATTGGAAATGCTATTTTTTAACCCCTGCTCCCCTTCCCTCACCCACATTTCTTCTGCATACCTCAAAGGACATTAGAAGTCAAAGGCACATATCAGGAGATTGTCAAAGACAGCATAAGATGATGAGCTATTCTTAGAGTCCCTTTTCTAAGGGCAGATAATTTTAACGTCTTAGAACATTAAGGTAAATGTAATAGTTGTTGAGAGAAAGAATATTCAATCATGGTTGGCATGTGACTTTTCTGGTCGCCAAAATCTGACAATATTATGAAGCACTTTCATCTCCAACAACCTAAGCATCTAAACTATTAATAGCTAATGAATATTTTTTGCTATGGGGGATTTACCAAAACATCTTTATTTTTGACCAAAAAACAGTTCTATAAGATAACAGTTCACCACCAGTAGAAAGCAGAAAAAGTAGTTGTGTACATTTGAGCTACTTGTTGAATATGGAAAGAACAGAACCACTTTTAGTTCTAGGGAGTTCAATGGCTCTTGTTTCTGAAGCCGCATCATAATTATTTATGGAATTAAAAAATAAAAAATCCCATTACCGAGCCTCACCTTATACTTATAGCATCAGAATTTTCATGGATAAAGTCTGGGCTTTGCTACTTTTTAAATTCCTTGGGCAATTCATACACTTGGCTAGGATTAAAGCATCTGGGAATAAAATAACTAAGCTATTAAATGGTCATTTGAGTTTATATTTGGTGTAAATTTTTAAAAATTTTTAAATTTTATTATGATTATTAATAGTCCTACTGCAAAAAGAAATCTTTTTTAGAAATTAAGATATAGTTTACACACTTAAAAAAACATATTTCATCATTTATCAACATGCCTTTTACAATATTACCTCTCTTCTACTAGGGAAATACAGAAACAACATGTCTAAAGCGGAGAAATTCCTATGTGACATATACAGAGGTAAGAAATTCTCTTTAACTTTTCCAAAGATAATGGGTCAAGAACCCATAACAGGTTTAGTCTAGTTGGTAAGGCAACTGGACTGAACACGATGTAACTGACCTCTGGAGCCCTATGTAATCATTCAGGAAGAGAGCTTGAGATCTCCACTAAAGCAGTATCTTCCACAAGGAATGTTCAATTCTGCCTCCTCAGCATCTAGACGGTGCCTGGCACATAAAAGATGGCTAATTAATACTGGTTGAATAAATGAACAAGTGAATAAGTGATGTATTCAGTGAGCTATGTATTTTCTGCTAATTTGAATGTATTGTTATTCTGTTCCTTTCACTTCATTGAACTTTCTTTTCTCCAAGCTTAGGCTATGATTTCTCTAAAAATGAGATATTATATTCTCAAATTTCTTTTTCAATGTGTCCCATAGCCCAAAATACCTTTACCCATTTTCACCTCTGTGGATATTGCTGTTATTATTGCTGTTCCTAAGTTTCTATTGATCCTGCAGAGACAAGCAGATGAAATCTGGGAGGAAATTAAGAGTTTATTCTAACTAAGAAAAAAAAAGAAAGGTAAGTTTCTGCAGTGGTGCACCTTATAAAATCCAAGTGAGCAAGAAAAACACAGGGCTCATAATTAACGACTAGAAAAGCTCTAGTAAAATCAGGGGAGACTTTGAGATTCTAGACTTCATTAGCAGTTAAAGGAGAAAAAAATTCCCATGGCCGGAAGGTTAGAAGTTAATTAGAAGAAGTGCTAAGGGATTTGTTGTCTGACAGAGAGGCTTATGAGGTAGTTTTAGGCTCTTTATTGCCACCATAAAAGTCTCATATTAGTGAGCTCCCAGGAAGCAGAGAGCAAATTCCCGAGGTTGTTTGGAACAGGCAGGTCTTGTGCGTCCAACACTCAGGGGTCCCCTACCCTGCCCAGTAATGGGTGCTTTGGGACTTTTTGTCCATTTGTTCTCAAACTAAACTTTATCTTGAATTAAATAGATACAGTTGGCTGGAGCACCAACAACAGTTAATAATTCAATTTAGATGCATAGGCAGATAACAGTGAAGAAAGGAGAGGAGGACTGGAGGGGAGCAAAGGTAAGCATTACATTTGGTCAAGAAATGGTCTTCAAAGGATTAAGGGACTTCTATCCTTGGGTGACCTGGTGATTCCACAGACTGAAACCTACAATTACCAGTGGCTTCCTTCTCTACAAACTTTCTCTTATGTTCTGCAACAGACTATGAAAATGGGTGTTTCATTTTTGACCCTTAGGTGAAAAGATCAGGTATCACAGTGAGTTGCAAGACAGACCCCACTGTAGAAATGGAAAGTTGCAGGTAGCAGAGAATAGTTGAATGATTCTGATATCTATTACCAACATGCAGGTGTAGAAAAGATCTACACCCTACATCAAAAGAAGGAAATGGGGAAGAGAGTATTTGGAGGTAGCTGAGGGTTTATTGTTGTCTACTTACCCCACACGGAGAAGGAAAATAAGTTATTTCCCTCAATTCAAGTCAGCACGTAAGGCCTTCAACTCAGACCTCTCAGAAAGCTTAGTAGTTCATGGTGTCGAATGGCTGCCTGGAAAATCTAAAACTCAAGTTCTGGCTCCTCCCACCCCCTTAACTCCTATTTCAGCACTAGTGGAACATAGCAGCTAGTGAGTGTGAGAGAATGTGAGACAGACAGAAGATTCTGTCCTCACCTTCCTTCCCTGGCTACAGGCTTTCTTCCTGATACAGGCCCTAGAGTGAGAAGAAGGGAAAAATCCTGGCTTTGAATGGATTGAATTGTTAATTATCCTATGAGAGTAGACAGCCTAATTTGTAAAACAACCAAAATCTAAGTTTTAAGACCAAGTGACTGTGATTTGAAAATATAGATGTCAAAAATCTGTATTTTCTGAGCAAACTCAGAAAACCCATAAAATTACACATATTTTCATTGGGAGTTGCCCTCTTGACTAAATTTAAATGGACATTGAAGGGCAAATTAAATTTACTTTATAATTCCATCCTATGAGTAAGGCTTATTTGATGTATATTTCTAAACCCTTGTTATGCCTAAGAATGTGAGTTTTCTGTGTTAGGGGGTTGGCAGAAAGTGGAGAAGTGAAACAAAAAAGAGAAATTCAAAATAGCTTAAGGTCTAATACAGTATAATTCATACAAGTAAGTTAGGACTGTGCCCTAGATTTGTAGATAGTTCTGTTATTAAAGTAACCTGAGGTTCCCCAGAATTATTATTATAGTAAAAACTCAAACTTCACTGGATCTAGTTCTTACCACCCATTTAATGTCAAACCTCTGACTCCCACAAAATCTCTCACACTCAGAATTACTAAGAACTGCTTTTTTATTCTCTGCCCTTCTGGGTTGACTTTGGTTGCCCAGGAAGTCATTTAAGATCTGCTTCTTACAGATAACATTGCCACTGTCCAGAATTGTTTGAGACCCTGTACCCTGGAACCTCTAAGTATTTCAGTGAGGCTGGCGAATAAGTGTGTTTGTAGAAGGACAGGCAGTTGAGGCAGAAAAGTAGGGAGAAACTAACATAAAAGACCTTAAGTCCTTAAGGTTGTTCAACTCTCATCTTAAAGGATGGAAATGATGTGCTTATCAAAACAGAAATGTGTACCGGAACAGAGGAAGGGAATTTCAGGTATGGCTGAGAATAGATCTTCTCGTGTTTTAGTCCTCCAAAATAAAGAATTGTTTCTCCAAAGCAAAAAGTAATGAATCTGGAATTCCCTTGTGAGTGCTCCTTCTGGAGTAGAAGTGACCTTTGAGGTTGTCTAGTCCGATCCCTTCTTTTCACCCATTAGAACACTGAAATCCAATGAAATGAAATGATGAATTCAATGTCCCCTACTTCGTTAGTGGCGGGAGAAGAATAGAATACTTGTCTCTTCAACAGCCAGACTGGTGGTGTCCTTTCCACGACATATTTCTTCTCAAATTTAGAAATCACCTGAAGATAATTTTTGGCCAAAACATAAGGGAAAAAAATAAAAGGCATACAAATTGGAAAAGAAGAAGTCAAATTATCTCTGTTCACTGATGAGGTGATCTTATATCTATCCAGAAAACCTCAAAGACTCTACCAAAAAACTCTTAGACTTGAAAAATGAATTTAGTAATGTTTCAGGATACGAATTCAACATACAAAAATTAGTAGTGTTTTTATATACCAATAATTATCAAGTAAAGAACTAAATCAGTAAAGCAGTCCCACTTACAATAACAACAAAAATGAAATAAAATAAAATACCGAGGAAGAAATTTAATCAAAGAAGTGAAAAAACTCCACAAGAAAAAATGCAAAACACTAATGAAAGCAATTGTAAATGATACAAACAATTGGAAAAACATCCCATGCTCATGAATCAGAAGAATTAACATTGTTAGAATGACCATACTGCCCATGGCAATCTACAGATTCAGTGCAATCTCTATCAAAATACCAATGTCATGTTTCACAGAATTAGAAAAAAAAATCCTAAAAGTCATACGGAACCAAAAAAGAGAGGAAACAGCCAAAGAAATCCTATGTGAAAAAGAACAAAGCTGGAGATACCACATTTCCTGATTTGAAATTATACTATAAGACCATAGTAACCAAAATGTCATGGTACTGGTACAAAAACAGACACATAGACTAATAGAACAGAATAAAGAACTCAGAAATAAAGCCATAAATCTAAAGCCAAATGATTTTTGGAAAGTCAATAAAAACATACACTGGGGAAGGACACTCTTTTCAGTAAGTGGTGCTGAAAAAATTGGTTATCTATATGCAGAAGAATAAAACTGGACCCCTATCTCTCACCATGTAAAAGATAAACTCAGGATGGATTAAAGACTTGAATGTAAGACCTTAAACTATAAAAATACTAGAAGAAAACTCTTCTGGACATGGGTCTAGGCAAAGAATTCATGACTATGCATCCAACAGGGGACTGATATCCACAATTTACATGGAACTCAAACAACACAACAATTAAAAACCCATAAGTAGTCCCATTAAAAAGTGGCAAAAGACATGAACAGACATTTTTCAAAAGAAGACATACAATGGCCAACAAATATATCAAAAAAGTTCAACATCACTAATAATCAGAGAAATGCACATTAAAACCACTGTGGGATATCATCTTATACCAGTCAGAATGGCCATTATTAAAAAGTCAAAACAAACAAACAAACAGATGTTGGCAAGGATATAGAGAAAAGGGAGCACTTATATATTGTTGGTAGTAATGTAGGTTAGTGTAACTGCTATGGAAAATAGAATGGAGATTTCTCAAAGAACTAAAAACAGAACTAGCATTTTATTCAGGAATTCCACTACTGTGTATCTACCTCCCAAAAATTATATAAAAGTAATATCTGCACTTGTATGTTTTTCACAGCACTGTTCACAATAGCAAAGATACAGAATCAAGCTAAGTGGCTATCAAAGGATGACTTGATAAAGAAAATGTGGTACATTTACACAATGGAAAACTATTCAGCCATAAAATGAATGAAATCATGTCTTTTGCAACAACATGAATGGAACTGGAGCCATCATCCTGAGTGAAACGATGCAGAAACCAACAGTCAAATACCGTATGTTCTCACTTATGAAAGCTAAAGCATGTATACACATGGACATAAAGTATGGGAGGACAAACATCAGAGTCTCAAAGTCTGGGGTAAGGAACAAGAAATTATTTAATGGATACGATGTGCATTATTTGGGTGATGGATACACTAAAAGTCCACACTTCACCGCCACACAATATATCCAGGTAACAAAACTGCACTTGCACCCCTTAAATTTATACGTAAAAAAAATTGGCCAAAACATTGGTTTCGTATGCAGCATATCAGAATTTTAAAATGCCAGGGAAAATAGACAGGCTCTTTCAAAGTTAAGAAATGCAGCACATGTACATTAGATTGAAAGTAAATAAATTTAGATGCATAAATTTGCTTAGACAAGACCGTTGTAAGTAGGGTATTTACTACAGAGATCTAGACTGACCCAGGAAGTGGCTTTTTTAAAGGGAAGATTAATACAGAAACAGAAATATGACAATTACATGAAAAGTCAAAATGAACTCACTGTACTCTAAAATCTCCTTCTATAATAATGTTCTAAGAGCTGTAGCTCTTTTGTGGATGATTGGCTTATAGAGCTGTAAAATGTCTTTAAACCCCATATCCTTCTAGAAAAGCATATCAAACCATAGTAGGATTAGTAGGAACCTGCGGTAGACAGAATATACACATTCTTCCCCCTACATCCCATGTCCACATCCTAATGCCAGGAGTGTGTGAATATGTTACCTTACATAAAGAAAGGAACTTTACAGATGTAATTAAGGTTAAAGATTTTAGGTGAGGAGATTATCTTGATTATCCAGGTGTTCCGCCCAATTTAATTATGAGTCTTTAAAAGATGAGAACCTTTCCCAACTGAGATCAGAGTCAGAGGAAGGAGTGACCATGAAAGTGCTTCCAGGGTGCCATGTTGCTGGTTTTGAAATGGAGTAAAGGAGCCACACGCATCTAGAAGCTGAAAAAGGCGAGGAAACTGGTTCTCCACCAAGGCTTTATGAAAGGGACACAGCCCTGCCGACACCTTCATTTTAGCCTACTTAGACATTGATCAAATTTCTGACCTCCAGAACTGTAAGATAATAAAATTGCATAAACTTGCATAGTTTTAATGCACTAAATTCATGGTAATGTGTTACAGTAGCAACAGAAAACCAGTATAGAAGGTAAGAGGTAATTTGTCAACTCATTCTACAAATCAGAGAGACTTTAAACCAGAGTGGAAGCTAATTCCAATGCAAGGGGTACCTATGGGGTATAAAATCCATACAGAGGATTTGTAACCTCAAATTTAAATGGCAGGCTGGAGACAGAAGACAGAGCCTTATGTGTCTGCTAGAATGGGATCTAGAACAGAGACCCCTGAACAAAGCTGAAATTCTCACCCTCAGAGAAAAGGTAAGCTTGAAAAAATTATTTTACCAGTAAAAGAGAAGCAAGCAATCAGTAAAATATCTGCCTTAGCCTTGACTCATGTGGAAAATAACTATAAACACATACACCATCTTCACCATTAGCAAATATTAGTTTCAGAGATGTCTGAGAATAGAAAACAAATTGCAATGACTTGTAGAGTGAGTGAACCACATGCAAGCCAGTCAGCACCTTCTACACAGCAATCCTACTCACCTCCTCATATCCTTCCATTTCCATTTTTTTTATTTCCATTTGAGACAGGTCTTCCTCTGTTACCCATGCTGGAGTGCAGTGGTACAACCACAGTTCACTGCAGCCTTGACCTGCTGAGCTCAAGAGATCCTCCAACATCAGCCTCCTGAGTAGCTGAGACTGCAAGTGTGTGCCACCACACCTGACTAATTTTTTTTTTATTTTTTGTAGAGATGGGGGTCTCACTATGTTGCCCACACTGGTCTCAAAATACTGGGCTCGAGCAATGCTCCTGACCTGGCCTCCCAAATTGCTTGGATTACAGATGTGAACCATTGTGCCCAGCTTCCATTTCCTCTTTGCTCTCCAACACATATGGACTCCTACTGTCATCCAAGTTGTTTCACTTAAAACTTACCAGGTGATTGATTGGAATATTCTCTAAGCTCTGAAATCTCCTTTCCTGTAATTTCTACCTATAGGCCAGTCTTAATTTTACTTTTTGGAACCAAGGCCACAAAGCATAAATCCTCTTCCACAGTTAACTCTAGAAATTTGGATGCCATAATTACCTCATCTTTAATATCTGATTTCATGGCTATATCCTTCTGCTTACAGAAAAATGAAGTGCAAATAGGCCTTGGCTGGAAACTTGTAAATGGCTTTTACAAAGCAAGTAACAGGGAGAAAGGGAGTTTATATATTAATCTTATATAATAACCCTTACATCCTTATTTCTTTGACAAAATAATGGGAAATGTCACTTTTTATGTAATAATGGGCCATATTTCTGAGAGATTTAAAAATCCTGGAAAGTAAAATCTGGATGCTGCTTTTCTCTCTCTCTCCAGGAAATCCAGCAGGAGCTAGTTCATCTGGAAGAATCAAGTGATTTAAGAAAACAAGCAGACTTACTGCATGCAATTCAGGAACTGGGGGCATTTTTCATTTTTGTTTTCTCTGTTATTTATTTTCTTCACCTCAGGTTTCTGAAAACCAGAAACAGATGGACTAATCCAAACTCCTCAGAACAGACGGCTTATCAAACTCCCCGCCTTGAGGACCCGGGGCTCCCCTGCGGAGTGCAGGGTCCACGCAATAATTCACTCCAACTCCTCCACATCAGGAAGAACACTCACAGAACTTTCAACAATTAGCCTTTCCTTGGCCCCATTATCAACAACTGTGGGAAAGATATGTCCTTATCTGACCCTGGAGGACGCAAGCCACCTAACTGCCAGACACCAGATATTGTTGCAGGGAGCAACCCTCACAAACATATGCAAAGATGAACAGAGGAGGTGGAAATGGGTGGTCTTGATCAATGCATGCCTTGGCATCCGGAGTTTGGTGAAAAATGAGAAATAAAGATGCATGTTGGATGGAAGTACAGTGCAGAGTCGAATAAAATTGCCACCTCCTGCTTTACCTCAATGACCCCAGTTGGTGCCTGTTCTTTCCCTCCTTTACCATCAAAACACAACTACATCAAAGCTGTTTTTACACAAAGGAATAATGCCTAATAAATAAAATCCTATTACTTCCCCTTACATGATAGCATCTTGTTGTTTTTTCTGTTTGTTTGTTTCTTGAGACAGGGTCTTGTTCTGTCCCTCAGGCTGGAGTGCAGTGGCACAATCATAGCTCACTGTCACCTTAAACTCCTGGGCTCAAGTAAACCTCCTGTCTCAGCCTTCCAAGTAGCTAGGACTACAGGACTAAAAATTAGCCAGCTACATGCCACCGTGCTTAGTTAATTTTTTAATATTTTTGTAGAGACGGGGGTCTCGCTATGTTGCCCCAGGCTGGTCTGGAATTCCTGGTCTCAAGCTATTCTCCCACCATGCCAGGTCCCATGATAGCATTTTAACAGAATAGTTTGATGAAGCATAAAAATCAATTTGCTGATGGGTGTTGGGATGTGTGTACCAAAGGAGTTTAAAAATTCTACTATCACATCACATAGGTAGCAATCTTTTTTTTTTTTCAGTTTAACAGAGCTGATGTCGCTGTCTATTCATCTTTGTAACATAAAGCGAAACATGGAGAAGTCAATGGTATATCTAAACAATGGACAGAGATAAAGCAAGAATATATAATTTTTTAGACTCTGGGTTCCCAGGTCAAAATTTGGACAAATGTTTTCTCTCCTTACCAGGGGATTTATGTTCCATTGTGAGTAACAAAATTAAAACACACACAAACACACTCAAGTGATATAAACAAACCAGGGGTTTTACTTCTTCCATGAAACCAGTTAGGTGTTTGTTAGCAAGCACCAGATCAGCAAATCATAACTCTTAAGTCTGAAGTCTCTGAGGTTCTGCGGACCTCTCAGGTTCTGGGAGAGGAGGATGTTGTAGTAACTTGAAAGTGATTTATCACAATGCATTCCTAAGAAAAAACAGGTAGGTGAATGGGGAAGGGAGGCCCAGAAGAGGAGATCAGAGTGTCATTGTACTGACTGCTTCTGTTGCAGATGCCCACATGGGACAACCTTTTTCTCAAAGTCTGAGCAGGGAAAAGCCTCCTTCCCTTTTTGTATATTGGGTAAAGTGTTAAACAGCATTTTTCACCCAGCTGCTTTCTACATGGTGTAGCTCTGTGAAAAATGATTCTTCTCCTAAGTTAAAGAACTAGGTATATTTTAATTTCTTCAGAAAATCTTGGTGGGGATAGGAAAGAGATTAAAGAGGTCAGGACTGGCTTGAAGGACCTGAAGAGGTCTGCCCAAGAAATTGACCATGGATTCCTAAGCAGAGTCACCATTGTTTCTGTAACTACAGAGTAACAGCTGTTGAGAGGAAGCTCTGGCATCCCAGGCAGCAGGTCTCAGTTTTGTGAATTCTGTGCCCACTCTGTCAGTTAGCAAGGGACATAATCTAGCAGAACAAAAAAAGTTGGCACATCTGGTTGTCATTAAATGCATTGCTGAGATGAGATTGATGTTTATTCCAGGCAAGTTTTTTTTTTTTTTAACTTCTTCCATACTCTTCCCTCCTTCAGTATATCTTCTCATCACCCGAAACATAGGTGGTGACACCTTCCCAAGCAGCCATTTCTTTAATCAGATTAGAGGGACGAAGCAAAGGTGCATTAAGAGTAGCACTAAAATTGAGTTGGGGAATCTGTTGTTGAAACGGTTCCATAAATGTGCCCATATTACTCTTGAAAGCAGCCTCTCGGCCTGTGCCACCTGCACCCAAAGGTTGGAAGTTCAGCAGCTCAGCAGGCACTGAACAGATGGAGAAACGCAGTCAGAGCTGCCACATCTGTATTGCTAGCTCATCCTAGGGATCATGTGCCCATGGCCCTGTCCTGAAGCCTCATGAGTAGCTGGTCTATTCTGAATATCAAGAATATCTCTAATACATGGTTTTGCAGAAATTATTATTTTATGTTTCTTTCATAAGATTCAATTTGTGACCTTGTTGGGATCCAGAAAACAATACCCCAAAATGAAGGCCTCAGAAGCAGCCTCAGAAGTAAAATTTTCTCTCTGACTTTCCCCTCCTCTCTTGTCTCTCAGTTCCATTCTCCCCCAAGACTAGCAATAGAACCTGGAATCCCTCCTCCGCAAAGTTGGTCCTAGAAACCAGGACTTCTTTCCTCCAAAGCGACATAAAACCTAAAATTATGACTCTAACTTTCCCCATACATTTCTGTGTAAAAACTGACCATAAAGAAATTATCTGACCTCCCTGATTGGACTTAGGTCATACGACCCCCATGCCAAGAGAGGGTCTTGTCCCACACCCAGGAGGAAGGAGTGCTGCTGAGAGAGGCCAAGAAGAATCTAGACAGCAAGAACTTGCTGTGTGTCCCCACTCCGTCTATCAGCATTAGCTCATATCCTTTTTGTCCAGTCATATTTCTATACGGCTGTCCATACTTTTTTCACCTTAAGCATAAAAATGGACAGTTTCCCCTTGCATCTTTGGGCCTTCATTCTGAAGGCTTCCTTGTATACATGTTAAATAAATGTGTATGCCTTTTCTCCAACAGATCTGTCTTTTGCAAATTGATTTTTCAGCGAATCTTCAGAGAGACAATGAGACCTTTCCTCTTGGCTCCTACAACCTGAAATTTGTAACAGAGCCCTTTAGGCAACTGTGGTAGAAAAACCAGGAACCACCTATTGACACTAAGACCAAACAGTTGTGATTAACTTATCACAGTAACCAGCAATATTAAAATGAGGGAAAGCAGAACCACTATTGGAATATAACACATAACTACTTTATGCTTTACACAATGATTATCCTGATGGGAAGAACGTATCATGAAAAGCAATGATATTAACACATTTCCAGGCCCCTCCAACCCATCCAGAAAAGTATGTGTTAAAATAGTTACCCATTGGTAAGGGCATTTCAAACCTATGAATAAAATTTCTTAGAATTCAATCTGTTGAAATTCTTGTGCCCATCTTTGCCCATGAAGCCAAGTAGGTTTTTATCTATCATGTAAGGTAAACAGTGGTTGAAACTTATTCATATTAACATTTTACCTATACATAATTCATCTAGGTAAGATTTAGCTGCTCTTTTTGATTAGATAGCTCTTTCCATATTTTGATCTTGATAAATAGGACAGCTTTCAATATAGTGTTGAGTTAATTAAAAATAGAGTGAAGACAAACAGGCAGAGCATAGAGGACTTTGAGAGCAGGGAAACTACTTTATAAGATGCCATAATGGCAATGAATGTCATTATATGCTTATCCAAACCCACAGAACGTGCAACACCAAGGGTGAACCCTAATGCCAATGATGGACTTTGAATGATAATTATATATCAAAGTACATTCATAATTGTAAAAATGCACCACTGTTGTGAGGGATGTTGATAATGGGGGAGGCTGTGCAAGTGTTGGGGCAGGGGATATATGGGAAATATGGGTACTTGTCACTCAATTTTCCTGTGAACCTAAAACTACTCTAAAAATAAAGTTTAATTAAAAATTTATAACTATATAGTGAATACATAGGATCCTAGTTATTTTTAGCATCCTTTTGTTTTATGGGTTGAGAGAGTGTATCTTGGGGTCACCCAGAGGCCCTTGAGGAAGTGATCCTTCAGTTCTAGAAGGTAGCTTAATGTTTTTGTTATTCTAAATTTGGGACCTAAATTTGGGAAAAGAATTATAAAAATGATAGGCCTGGCCGGATGCAGTGTAATCCCGCCTGTAATCCCAGCACTTTGGGGGGGCCGAGGCAGGTGGATCACGAGATCAGGAGATCAAGACCATCCTGGCTAACACAGTGAAACCCCGTCCCTAATAAAAATCCAAAAAAGTTAGCCGGGCATGGTGGCCAGTGCCTGTAGTCCCAGCTACTCGGGTGACTGAGACAGGAGAATGGCATGAACCCGGGAGGCAGAGCTTGCAGCCTGGGCGACAGAGCGAGACTCTGTCACAAAAAAAAAAAAAAAAAAAAAAAAAGATAGGCCTTTATTAAGAAATTGAATATATATATTGAAATGAATAGAAATTGAATATATATATGTAAATGAGTTGTCAGAAGACAACCATCATTATGTTGAGAAATGGTCATAAGTTATAGATACCTGAAGATAAGAAATGATTGCTGTTTTGATTAATTTATTTAATCAGAAAGGAAAGATTTTCATATAAACCTAGAATAAATTACTCTCCTAATTATAAGAAACTTTAGTTGTTTTGGAAATGAGGAACTTTTATTTTTAAAAATGATCATTTTGGTAATGAGTTTAGCAGTTTTCCATAAATTTAATCACATACTTAGGATGCAGTATCCCATTCCTAGAAAAATTAAAAATACATGCCCTCCAAAAGACTTGCATGTAAATATCCATAGCAGCTTCAATCAAAATAGCCCCAAAATGTAGTGCAAATGAATCTCAAAACCATTATGCCGTGCAACAGAAGCCAGGCACAAAAGGCTACATACTATATAAACCCAAGTATATAAAATTTTGTAACAGACTAATCAAACCTACAGTGGCAACAACCGATCAGTGGTTTTCTAGTACCAGGGTGGTAAGGAGAATTACTGCAAAGGGGCACAAGGAACCATCTGGAAATCATCGACATTTTCATCTTGACTGTGGTAATGATTGCACAGTTGTATATATTTGTCAAAATTTATCAAACTATACATTTCAAAATGTTCCATATTTTGTGTATGTAAATTATACCTTAATAAAAAATTCTGAGTTTGATAAAGATCATCAAAAAGACACACAGGCCAGGCACGGTGTCTTATGCCTGTAATCTCAGCATTTTGGGAGGCCAAGGGAAGAGGGGTGCTTGAGGCCAGGAGTTCGAGACCAGCTTTAGCAACATGGTGAGACATCATCTCTACAAAAAAGTTAAAAATTAGCTGGGTATGGTGGTGAACCTGTAGCCCCAGCTACTCAGGAGGCTGAGGTGGGAAGATCACTTGAGCCCAGGAGTTTGAGGTTGCAGTGAGCTATGACCAAGCCACTGCACTCTAGCCTAGGCAACAGAGGGAGATCCTGTCTCTAAAATTAAAAACAAAAATAAATTTAAAATGACACACAAATATTAGAAGGCTTTCGAATGTGAGTATATTAGGGGACGAGTAGATTCCATGATATGTAATTGATGATTTTTATTAGCTATGTTAATATCTGACCGAATACTACAAGATGAATTTTCAATTGGTTATAAGCTTTGTTTAATAATTTCAATATTCCTTTACACAAATATATATTTATAAGAAAAATTTAAGGCCTTTAATTTTAGCTTCAATAGATATTAACCTAATCAGAGAATGGCTTTACCACACTGAACTCACCATCTTAATTGAAGCTTTATAAAGCACAAAATTGTTGTATACAGACAAGAACATTTCATCAGAGAGGTGACATTTAAATTTTTACTCAGACAGTGCAAGTAGAAAAAAACAATCCCAGATGATTTGCAGAATTGTCTAAAGTCCACAAAAACCAATCTTTAAGAAGACAGTAATTATAATTCAAGTAGTTACATATGTGTACATTCTCATAACCCTGAATACTGTATGGAAACAATGATAATTTATCTGACTTCAAAACAGACTTGGAAATTTAGAAAGTGAAAGATAAAGTTACTTTCTATAAAAAATACCCAATCTTATATAAAATGCTAAATTTATATTTTATTCCTCATTGTGATAAAATTAGAAAACACGTTGCTAAATTTTAAGACAAAGTTATCAAACCCACCTAATTTATCAAGGGATTTACCTCAATTCATAGGTATATTACATAAACTAGGACTTTATAATAATACCACATTTATTAATTTTATGTGTATTAGAAGCTTTCATTAGTGCATTTTTATGGCCATTTGTTGCTGGCTGATACCATTTGCATTTCTTTGTTTCTTATCTAGTAATCTTTCATTGCCAGCACAGCTTGACTTTTCCTGAGCTGGTAGGGAAATTTTTCTTAAAAGGCCAGTGCACTTAAAGCATTAACGATTCAATTTCTTCCTTCTCTTCTTTAAATTTAAGATGCTGTATTCTAACATGTTAATATCCTTCAGAGTTAGACAAAGGTATGCTAGAGCTATGCTCAGAAACATTTTAAATTATGCATCAGACTAATCTTATCAAAATCTTGGACA
Source organism: Homo sapiens (assembly GCF_000001405.40). Lineage (NCBI taxonomy): Eukaryota > Metazoa > Chordata > Mammalia > Primates > Hominidae > Homo > Homo sapiens. The sequence continues at coordinate 36,566,004 of NC_000008.11, forward strand.
AGTGGGAAATATTGGGGGTTTGAACCTCACGTAGGGATCTTTGTCTGGGTGCCAAACTACTAAGGTAGAGATTTCTAGTTTATTCTCAGAGGGGGTAACTCTTAATATCTTTCAAGAGAAAATCAAGAAAAGGCCAGGTTATATAGATGTCATTCAATTTCTTAGGAAGGTGTTCATCAATAAGATGTCTTCAGACTCCAGATAAACCCTGTGAATTCCATCTGCATTCCCATTCCATCATCCTTTGGGTTTATCCACAGCCTGATAGACAAGCCAAGCCAGGCCCTGTGCTCTGCAAACCATGCCAAACTGTTTCAGTTTGTAAAAAATATTTTCCTATGCTTTCTCCCCTTTAATGGAAGATGTGTGTGTTTGTCTTTAGGTGTGGAAATATGACAGATTCTCATGATCAGCAACTGTCTAAACATGCCCCTTAAAAAAATCTAGCTACAAATGGAGAGGGGTTATAATTAGAAACAGAACATTCATTGTAATTCTATTCCCTCTGTAAAGGGTGAGGAGGTTTTTCTTACAGACACACACAGGACAGCATCAGAAAAATCCGCTTTTACAAAAGCCAGTATACAGAGGATGGTATGCAAGTGCTGGGGATTCGCTGAAAACTCAGCTCACAAAAAGCAGATTAATTGGAGAAAAGGCATGCAAATTTATTTAATGTGAATATCCTGGAGCCTTCAGAATGAAGACTCAAAGATGCACGGGAAATTGTCCATTTATGGGCTTAGGTTTAACAACATTTGGACAGCCATGTAGAAATATGATTGTGCAAAAAGGGTGTGATCTAATGGTGATAGACCGCAGGAGGAAACATAGCAAGGCCTGTCTGTCTAGATTCTTCTTGGCCTCTCTGAACAGCACTCCTTCTTTCTGGATGTGGGGCAGGAGCCCCTCTGGAATGGGGTTCTTTTTTTATACAACTTTTATTTTAAGTTCAGGAGTACATGTGCAGAATATGCAGGTTTGTTACACAGGTAAACATGTGCCTTGGTGATTTACTGTGCAGATCGTCCCATCACCAGCATTCATTAGCTATTCTTCCTGATGATCTCCCTCTCCCCATTCCGCCATAGGTGCCCAATGTGTTTTCGTACCCCCTCCCCACACATGTCCATGTGTTCACATCAGTCAGCTTCCACTTATAAGTGAGAACATACTTACAGTGTTTGGTTTTCTGTTCCTGTGTTAGCCTGTTGGGAATAATGGCTTCCAACTCCATCCATATCCCTACAAAGGATATGATCTGATTCCTTTTTATGGCTGCATAGTATTCCATGGTGTATATGTATCACATTTTTCTTTATCCAGTCTATCATTGATGGGCATTTAGGTTGATTATATGACCTCTGCTATTGTAAATAATGCTGCAGTGAACATATATGTGCATGTATCTTTGAAATAGAACCATTTATATGGAATGGGATTCTTATGCCTACTGTCAAACAAGGTAGGTCAGATAATTTCTTTATAGCCAGTTTTTACACAGAAAGATGAGGGAAAAGTTAAAGAAATGGTTTTAGGTTTTATGATTGGCTTTGAAGTAAAGGAATTCTGGTTTCTATGACTCACTCACCTTGGGGAAGAGGGATACTAGGTTCTATGGGTAGCCTTGGGGGAAAATAGGACCTGAGAGACAAGAGGGTATAAGGAAGTGAGAGAAAAACTTTTGCCTCTGAGGCCTTCACTTTGCAGTATTCTTTTCTGCATCCCAACACAAGCAACCCCTCCATAGACAAGATAATTTGAGACAAGCCATTTGAAAGTGCTTCCTATGTTCCCCCATTCTCCCAAGAAAAAGATCAATGATGTATGATGTGACTTGGAGAGATTTTCTCCACCAAATGTTTAGACTGGGCTGTGGTCTCATAAAATAGCTGCTCCCTTGAAACAGTTGTGAAAAGCAGAGGAAGGCCAGAGGAGATGGAAATTTTGTGAAATCCTGCAGACATAGAACACGGAATCAACCTCTTAGCACTTAACACTGGTGGACAGAAAACAGTTGGCCACTAATTAAGGACAGAAATAATTCAGATCAGTCACAAACCAGAGATAAACCAGACAACCACACAGTTGTGAACCAGAAATAATCCAGAAATGAACTCAGCGAGATTCTGATGTTACTGTCCATGACAGCTCATTCAGACCACCAATTAGAGTGGCCCCACGAAGATACCAGCACCACACCTGGGTGACTTGGACAGCTGAATACTCATGGACAGAAAACTGTTATCACAAATCAAAACCCAAGCCAAAACCTTATGACAGTTCTGGTCACAGAGTAAGGTCCTCCCCTATTCCCACCCCATAATAAAAAAATAATGCATGGCATTGCTCTAGTTTTTCACAACAGCGAGACTCCAAGAATGAAGGTAGAAAGCTGCATCTATAGTTGAAATTATCTTAATAAATAAAAACTAGGATCTTTCTGCTGTTCATGGTGTATTCGGGAAACAAGGCTTTAGGATGTGCTTTTATTCTGGCTCCTGGTACAACCAACCGGGATGCCTTGCTTATTTGTAACTACTATTCTCCTACAGGCTCCTATGATTACGACCCTTCTCAGAATGCGAGATGTTCAGAAACAGAAATCTCTTCCAGCCAAGCTGTGGAACAGGCTCTTTGTAAACAGGCTCTTTGTCAACAGGGTTAAGCTGCTAAGGACAACATGTCAGTTTCACTCTTTCTTGATGGCTTTATTTTAGTATTTTAGTTACACTGCTATCAGTACATGTGACATGTATTTAATAAAATGCTCCTAAAACTAGTAATAAAATGGTTATGTCTATAAATTTTCCCACAAATCAAGAGAAGTGTTCACTTTTTTTTCAAAAAGAAAAAAGCACATCTCTCTTTCTCCTTCTCTCTTCTCTATTTGCATCTCACCTTCCAACGTGCTCTTGGAAGGAAGGGCCAGCCAAGGGGAGGGTCAGGTGGGCGTGTTCTCCTGCAGCTAGTCATGATTATTCTGAGTCATATAGGACATTTATTTCATGTTTTCTTTGGGTGTAAAACTGCCTGCTTCCTGCTGATCCTGTGCTGAAAGTGTTAATCTGCAGTGAAGGCAAAGTTAACAAGGGACAGGCCATAAATGGCTCCAGCTGTGTATAATTAACTGTAATACTGCAGAGTAAATGACTTTTATTGGCAACCATGTCATAACTTCATTAAAAGTCATATTTACAGCCCTCTCATATGAAATGAGTCCTCCTGTATTCTGCAATTTAATGAGCATTCATTTTCACCTTGTTCAATTATCTTGAAATCTCCCCCCTCCCCCAAAACACTCTTCCTCTCCCTAGTGTGGGAAGCATGAAGCCAAAATACAATAGGAATGCAATTAGCACCTGGCAGAGGGCTCCTCTTCTAGGGAGCATTTCCCAAACCACAATAAAACTGTTTCTCCTTGTTTTCAATTATAAATAGGTAACTTCCTTACACAAAAACATTAAGTAACAATCATAAAAACGTCAAATTGATTTGACAGAAAGCTTTAGAAGGATTAGGCCTCTGAAAAGAGGTCATGTCTAAACTAATCAGGAACTAAGTCCAAATCTGTTAAAGTGTAAAGGCGCTGCGAATAATGATCTCAGAGAAGAGGACAGAAAATGAAGTGAACAATAGATTTTTAATCAAATCTTTTCCATTGCAGCCCCTGTAGTCTGAGAGTACATATCTTACATTTTTTTTCTCCTTGAGTGGTGTATCTAATTAAATGCCTCTCTCTCCAGTTCTACTTCCTTTCACTCCCCTCTTTTCATCTCTTCGCTCACGTTTCAAGGAAAATATCTTGTCTGACCCGTGAAGTGATCTAGGAACTCAGTCTCATGATCTCCAACTCAGCTTTCATTCAATCTCAGATGCCTTCTTAGGGTTTTTGGATATATAGGGAAATTTTGAGTGTGGAAGTACAGGATCAAGAGTTGTTTGTCTGTTACTTTTTTCTTTTTTTTAGAAGGAGGGTCTCACTCTGTCATGCAGGCTGTAGTGCATTTGCACGATCATGGCTCATTGCAGCCTCAAACTGCTAAGTTCAAGTGATCATCCTGCCTTGGCCTCCCAAAGTGCTGGAATTACAGGCATGAGCCACTGTGTTGGCTAAAAGTAGTTTTTTCTTTGTGAAAGTTCCAGTTGATGTACTCTGGTTCAAAGCGAAACTATACTGTCTATATGCATATTAGGAAGAGCATGCTCGGGGGACCCAGGCAGGATTGTATTTTCATCCCCACCACCCACTGGCTGCAGAGCTTTGGAAAATTTAGCTCAACCTTCCTGAAGATAATTTTCATATAAATAGGATTAATTACCATTTTTATGGGGTTATTAGTCTTAAATTAAATAATGTGTCTGCCATTGTGTTCCAAAGAGAAGACATTAAATCAATGCTTTTTCCACCATCAAAATAGAATGTTGGACATTAATGTGTTGGCCTCCAGATTAACTGAGAACTACTCTTGACAAGGATGCATGGTGACTGACAAGCCAGAATCTGTAAAACAGATCTGTCCACCATAAAAGGATGCCATGAAAGGTAATGATGACTAACTCAGTCTGGAAGGCAGTGAGAAAAATGATAGCCATGGCTAGCCTTGGACTTGAGGCCATCTCACCTCCCAGACACCCAGTGGTCTAAGGGTCTGAGCAGGGGGGATGGGAAGGGGAGCAGTGCTGGAAAACCATTTAAGCACAGCCAGCACTTACATTTTGGAATGTAAAATGCCCTTGGAAGCTGGCATCATTTTAAACATAATGCCACACGCCAGGGAATACTTTCTGCTGCCAAGCCTGCCGTCTTTAGCAAATTCTTCTGCACAGTTGTGTTGCTGTTCTCAGCCCTGCTACTTTATCTGATTTTAGGCTGACCCTTTATAACGAGCACTTCGGGCTGGAGGTATTGTTTAGGAGCACTGTTTCCATCATTCATTTGGGGTTTTAATGAAGCTTAGAAATGCCATGAGCAAGAGCAGCATCTAATGGAATTTTCTTTTCTTTCTGTTTTTCTTCAATGGAAGATCAAGTTTGCTTATAGAGGTTTAACTGGCTTGCAACCAGCATTTAAACATTAAAAACAAAGAATAAAGTAAAGCAGGGTAGAATGGAAAATAAATAAAGTACAATCATATGGAAAAGTATAGACTCATAAAATGTTAAATGCACAGTGTGTGTGTGTGTGTGTGTGTGTGTGTGTGTGTAATGCTGCAAAATATGGCCCCCGAATTTGAAAATCACCAATATAATGGTTAGCACTCCTACTCAATTATCACTAGTCTTGGGGTAAGTTGCCCTGCACTGCTGTGTTATTGTCTTATTGCAGTTTGCTCCTCAAAGTACTATTTATCTTCTACTTCCTCAATTGAGGCAAGGGGGTCTATTTTAAATTAAGCAAGAAGATGGTTGTCTCCTTGTGGATCATTTGAGCTTCTACAGTTAATCAGTCCTAACCCTTTTCAGTATAAAGAAGCAATCATTTGACTGATCAAATTTAATAAAAATCTCAAATACAAAAATTTGCATTTAGATGCAGTGTGCTACAGTGTGTTCCTAACAAGATAATTAATCAGGAGCATGCAGGGTGGTATTTGATCGCTCTTTCACCAAGTGTTCCAGGACAGCTTATTTCAAATGTTTTGAAATGGGGGACCTCAGGAGAGTTCCACGGTAAATGTCACAGATATATTCTGGCTCAATCTTTAGTGCAAGTAAGGGGACTAGACAAAAGCAATGCTGAGGATAAGGGAAGATTTTAGGAGGAGGTGCCTCCTGGAAGGGGTTATTGCATTGTTGATTCCTGGCCCAGACTTGTACCTCGTTAAAATAATATTTTTTCTAGTATCTTTGATCTAGCATTTTTCTTGCTCTCTGGTTTCCACTGCCCCTTCTCCCAGAGGCTGAATTGTAGGAGTGAGGCAATTACATACAATGTGTGAATTCTATTAAAAGTAGACTCCAGGAAGAGCAAAGGGAACAAACAAGAGAGCTATGGATGATGGCAGATCCCTATTGGACACTAGATTTTCAGATCCCCAGTCTGGCACACTGTTGAAGCAGGCAAAAGACCTCACATGGAAACTGTAAGATGATCTTGCACATTTCCAAACAGATGGCCGGCCAGCAGAGGCATCTGCTCTGACTTCAGGCAGGGCAGGGGAGGCCAGGGAGAATGTCCTCTGGAATCTGGGACAGCTTTTGAAGACCTTCATGACTTTCCATGGCATAGAGGTCACCTCCCTCACTTGCCTTGTCTCCTTTTTCCTTCTTGACTTCTTGATTTTTAAGGACCAATTTGTTGGAAAAGAGAGGGAGGCAAACATATATACAGGTTTTTTTTTCCAGAATTTTTTTTAAAAGAAAGATAGAAGGAAATAGGTAAAAAAGGCAAGATAGAGAAACCAAAAGGGAAGGAGGAAGGGAACAGAAAGGAGAAAAAGACAAAGTTCAAAAATAAAAACCCAGTTTTACATTGTGTCTCACTACTTTCTTCTTCATGTTCTGTTTTATATATATATATATATATATATATAATATTACAGCTATACAGATAGATAGAAGATAGACAGGTATAGATATAGATATATATTTGCAACTTATTGAAAATGCAGGAGCATGGCCAATTATTTGGCTGTGAGAAGTACTGTAATTAAACAATGAATGCCCACTGCTACAGCCTTTTCTCTTTTCTTCAAAGAACATAAAGAAATAATAAAATGAGAAGATCCTGCCCTGTTCCACCTGTGGGTTCCACATATTAGGGTATTTAGGGCCAATTTCCTCCCCTGGATTTCTTCTATCAAGACAATCTATGGTCAGGCTTGTTCTTTGATGACATTTCCAGAGGCTCTAACTAAAGTTGACAGATGTCTGTTTTTATAACCAAGACAATTGCCTCCAACATGTTCATTACATTTTAACAAATTATTGGAAGTGCACTGTCCCTGTTGATAAAGAGAAGGTGAGTCAGTCCGCCAAAGGAAGCATATGCTCCAATACGTCCAATGCTATGTATAGTTGCTGCAAGTCTATGGACAAAATGCCTGTTAGAATCCCAATCCTGCTGAGTAAGCTATGCAATTTTGTGCAAGTTATTTCCCATTTGCTTCATTTTCTGCCTGAAAGAGAAGAGATAATCATTATACCTACCTCATAGGGCTGTTGTGAGGATTAAATGAGTTAATTCAAGTAGCACACCTAGAATGGTACAGATTTTTAATAGTTAGCTTTTATATGATGAGGTGGAGGAAGAAGAAGAGACAAAGCTTTACCCCAAAAGGACACAGACAGTATAAAACAATATAAAACATGGAGTAAACAGAAGTCTTGGACTCTCAGCCCCAGAAGACCATTCATTTGCAATCCGAATTTTCTTTGGAAAAGGAAGGATGATTCAGAAGTTGGAATCAGAAAAAACAACGTGATGGTTAACTTTATATATCAACTGGCTAGACCATGGTATCTAGGTTGGTTTGTTTGTTTTTGTCAAATACCAGCCTAGAAGAAGCTGCAAAGCCCAGAACTCTTGAGTAAGGCATAATGCCTTCCATAGTGTGGGTGGGCTTTTTCCAATCAATCGGAGGCCTTAAGAGAAAAAAAAAATGAGGTCCCCCACAAAAAGAAGGAATTCTACCTCCAGGTTGTCTTTAGACTCAAGACCGCAACATCATTTCTTCCCAGGACCTCCAGCTTGTAGGCCTGCCTTGCACATTTCAGACTTCCTGGACTCCTGTCAAGTTCTAACTGAGGTCCAAGAGGAGCCAGTGGGTGAGTGGCGGTAGTTAGAAAAACACTCAAGGAATCGTAGACAGTTTTGACATTGCTTTACTCTCTCTCTGGGCAAGAGCAAGCCTGAATGCAAGCAAGTCCAGGCACGAGCTGAGCCTGGTTGCAAGCCAAGTTGTATGTACAGCATTGGCAGGGTAATTATACCTTTTACAGACCTTAGTGGCTCCAAGCCAAGCACAAGCTCACATGGGTGATCACCTAATGATCCTCATGTGACATGGTTACGTAATGTGCAGAGTTGTGTGCCTGCACTCCAAACTTGCTGAGTCATGCTGGACAGGATGTCTGCCTCAGCCTATTCTTGCCCGCAGCACATCCATTTTCCTTACACTCCACCTCCTACACCCAAGGGATACATAGGCATTGGATACACAGGTCTGACACATAGGCCTTATATTCCACCCTCTAGGCCGAGGGAGTTCTTCTAGTGGGGAGACATGCCTACAGGGTGGAACCCTGGATCCAGAGGCCACAGCAGTAACACAGGGGGAAACAACTCTAGGTTATGGTGGGCAACCACCCCATGGTGACGTTACCCCAATGTTGCTTTATACATTAAGCCATGTTTTTATTTCCCTACATTTAGGGGCACTGGGGCAGGCAGCAACAGGTTACTGTTCGTCCCCATAGCTAGTTGGAGGAGGTCATCCTTCCTCCTATAGGTTTTGTTACATGCTTTGGCCCTACATGGGCCAGAGACCAACTAGCCACCTCTGTAGCTTCTAGGTAGTTAACCCCAAGGTTAAGCCTCAGTAAACTGCCCAGCTATTGGTGCAGATTACCATAGTTGTCACCTCTTTGGTGATCACCATTCACACTGCCCTGAGTTCAGCCCACTGGCTACTTTGTCCACACCTGGTATCAAACCATATGGTGTCAGTACTGCAACAGCAGTCCAGGCAGTAGCAGCACCCCAGCTAGACCCATCTGTATACTATACTTCATCAGGAATTAGAGGGATGCCCTTTCTTCAACAGTGAAGGCTTGAGGTCTAGTAGTACCTCAGGCCACATGGTCTTATCTTGCATTAGGACTACAGGTCCCAAGACCTCTTGCAATTCTGTTGCTAAAGGGCTCGTATTCAGTGTACTTCACTGTTCTAAGTAAGCACCCCACTTTGCTAAAGTGAATGTCTGTGCTGTCCCAGTCCAGGGAATTGTTACTCATGAACGCACCCATCTTGCTATTGGGTAAGTTATCCACACGACTGCAGCCTGTCTGTCACACTCTCACAAGCCTGAAGGGTGGCATATATAGCTACTAGCTGTTTCTCTATCAAGGAATACTGGGGCTCAGTTCCCTTCCATAGTTGGGACCCAAAGCCCACTGGCATTCTCGAGTACTCCATGTGCTGTCACAGGCCCCAAATGAAACCATCTATGGTCACATGCACATCTAGCTCAAACAGGCACCCCTGGTTAACTACCCATAGGACTTGTGCCTGCTGCAGAGCCCATTTGGCTGCCAGGAAGGCGGTCTCAGCTGCAATATCTTAATTCTAGGCAAGAGAAGCATTGCCACTTCTAAGTCTTCAAGAGAATCAAAGGTTAACATAACATCATCAACAAGACCGTGATATATGGTGGGGCTATGCACATAGTCCTGCGGCAACACTGTAAAAGTCCATTGTGACCCATCCCACATGGAGGCAAACTGTTCCTGGCTCTCTGGAGTGATGTCTATGGAGAAAAATGCATTGGCTAAGTCCACGACATAGTGGTACTGTGCCAGTTCTACCACCAAACGGTCCATCAATTCCATGATTGACAGTACAGCTGCATGCAAAGGGGGTGTTACTTTATTCAGTTCCCAATAGTCCACCGTCATCTGCCAAGTTCCATCAGGCTTTCTAACAGGCCACACCGGAAAATTGTAGTGGCTATGGGTGCCATAAAGTATCTGCACCTTCTCCAGCTTTATCAGACTGAGTGGAGTCTCTGGTTGAGATGATGGACCCAGGCCTGCATTCACAGCAGCCTCTAATTCCTTTTCCAAGCTCTGTAGCTGGCCCTTCAGGTGTCCCGCCTGTGCCTGGAGTTCCCCATTAATGGCAGCTTCTAATTGTTTCTCTGAGTTGTGTAGCTGGGCCTCCAGGTGCCCCACCAGCGTCTGCAGGGCCCTTACCCATGCTGCATCCCTCAGGGACTGGGTGTGTACTTCTTGTGGCACAGTCAAAAACGCCCATCCAACTCTGTCAGCAAAAGCTCGCTCCTTCTCAGTGCTTTGTGCTTCCAGCTGCTTCAGCACCTTCTCCATGCTTGTGGGGACCCATCTACCACTCCCTAGGTTTCTGCTAGAGCCCATCTGAGCAGCACAGCTCAGGATCCTGTTTGTGATGACAATTGTCAGGTTCTAACTGAGTTCTGAGGGGAGTCAGTGGGCAAGTGGCAGGTAGCTGGTAAAACACTCGAGGAATTGTAGACAGTTTCGACATGGCTTTACTCTTTCTGTGGGTGCAACCAAACCTGGGCGCAAGCAAGCCCAGGCAGGAGCTGAGCCCAGGCATGAGCCAAGCCATATGTACAGCATTAGCAGGGTAATTATACCTTTTATAGACAATAGTGGCTTTGAGCCAAGAATGAGCTCACATGGGTGATCACCTAATGCGTCTCACATGGTGTGGTTACATAATGTGCAGAGTTATGCGCCTGCACTCCAAACTCACTAAATCACACTGGATCAGATGTCTGCCTCAGCCTATTCTTGACCACGGCACATTCATTTTCCTGGCAGCTTCACAATCACATATGCCAATTACTTAAAGTAAATCTCTATGTATACACATATCCTATTGGTTCTGTTTCTCTCGATAACCTTGAGTAATATACCAACTCCCAAGGAATAGGACGGAGCCCAAATCAGGGAATCAGTAACACATGCACAACTCAGTTTCAGAATTGTTATGGAACAGTGACTACTGTATGCCCTCCATTTTCCTGTTTGGAATGAGACTATCTATAGGTTTCTCGTGCCTGTCCCACTATTGTTTGCTTGGTGGGTGTGTCAGATATAACTTGTCTCTTTAGGTCACAGGTCTTCAGATGGAGAGGAACCACACTTAAAGACTCACACCTGAAGAGCTTCATCTGCACCTGGACCTGATTTAGTTGACCAGATCCTAGGCTTTGAGTTGGTGCTACAATTTGATGAGACTTTGGGATCTCAGGACAGGGAATGAGTGCATTGGTTCATGTGTCAGAATATAAATAATTCATAGCCAATATGCTAGTTTTGGGTATTTTTTCCCCAAAGGTCACACTTTCTTATTTGAAAGTTGGGCATCTTGTTCTCCTCATCCAGAATCTAGTCAAGGCTTGTGACTGCTCAGGTCACTAGGATAGGGTGGGCATAGTACTTTATGCTTTCCAAGACTGGGTAACAAAAGGAAAGTAAATTTCTGTTTAGTTTACTTGGAAAACTCACACGTGAAGCCTTGAACTGCTCTGTAGCAAATCTGGCCATCCTGAAACCACCATGCTCCACAGAGAGACCACATTCTAATTTGCAGTCCTAGCACTGATGCTATCCTGGCCAGAGCACCAAATGTGTGAACAAAGAAGCCTTCAGATGATTTCAGCTTTTAGCCTCAGTCAACTTCAGCCATCAAATATTGCCAGGTAAGTTCCCAGATGTGATGGGGCAGAAATAAACCATTGACAGTGTTTAGAAAACAGTGATGGTCAAGAAATCTTCCCACCCTTTGTGTGACAGGAAGCAGCTTAGCACAAAGAACCATCCTCCCCTCATATATTCCAAGATAAAACCCTCTCGATCCCACACCATGACTCCCATAAAACTCGTGGATAACTTCTGTGTTTACCTACTTCTATAAAACCCCAGACCTCCCTTCTTTTCTCTATGATGGTTCTCATTATTAATATTCCCCCATCCTCTTTTTTTTTGGCATTACTCTGAATATGTAAAATCCCATCTTTAATTGCCAGGTGCATTTTGTCTCTTACAGTACCCTCACTGAGCACTTTTCAAATTCCTGGCCCACAAAATATGTGAGCAAAATAAAATGGTTATTGTTTTAAGGTTTTTTTAGGTTTTTTCTTTTCTTTTTTTTTTTTTTTTTTGAGACAAAGTGTCATTCTGTTGCCCAGGCTGCAGTGCAATGGCAGGATCATGACTCACTGCATCCTCAACCCCCTCCCCCTCCCCAGGCTCAAGTGATTCTCCCACCTCAAGCTCCCAAATAGCTGGGACTACAGGTATGCACCACCACATGTTGATAATTTTTTTTTATTTTTAGTAGAGATGGTTTTCCCTATGTTGCCCAGGTAACATAGGTCTTGAACTCCTGGACTCAAGGCATCCTCCTGCTCTGGCCTCCTGAAGTGCTGGGATTATAGGCATGAGCCACTGTACCTAGCCTGTTTTAAGTTTTGAAGTATTCTTTTCTGCAACAAAAATAGGACAGAACTCATAGTCATCTCTCTTTATCCTTCAAAGTAGAAACTTTCACCATGTTAACTGTGGAAGCCAGTATTCTATTTCTCTTACCACATGTACTTATCGGTGTTTCTAATCTGCAGAATTATGACTTGACTTAATCTCATTCAATACATTCAATGGAAATATTTTGTTTATCACATTTTAAATAACCCTGTTTGATTTGTTCTCTTCAGCAGACACATCAATTATCTATATGTTAGACCCTTATTCTTTCTCTTCAATGTATATCATCAGGATTTCATTTTTATCTCTTTCCTCAATTCTGAAATATTTTCAAGTTTGATCTCCATAACACTGATTTAATTTCTGTTATATCCAAATATGATCATTAATACTTTAGTGCTTAACTCTGTGATTATATCTTTAGTCCTTCTAAAATTCTCCTTTTATGGAACACTTGTACATTGCTGGTGGGAATGTAAAGTAGTTCAGCCATTGTGGAAAGCAATTTGTAGATTTCTCAAAGAACATAACACAGAATTACCATCTGGCCCATGACTCCTATTACTGGGTATATACCCAAAGGAATATAAATGTTTCTACCATAAAAATGCATGCCCATGTAGATTCATCACAGCACTATTTGCAATAGCAAAGACATGGAATCAACCTAGGTGCCCATCAACAGTAAACTGGATAAATAAAATGTGGTACAAATACACCATGGAATACTATGCAGCCATACAAAAGAATGAGATCATGTCCTTTGTAGCAACATGGATGCAGCTGGAGGCCCTTTTCTAAGAGAATTAACACAGGAACAGAAAACCAAATATCACATTCTCATTTATAAGTGGAAGCTAAACATTGAGTACACATGGACACAAAGAAGGGAACAGTAGACACCAGGGGCTACTTGAGGGTAAAGGGCAGGAAGAGGGTGAGAATTGAAAAACTACCTATTAGGTACTATGCTTATTAGCTGGATGACAAAATAATCTGTACACCAAATTGCAATACACAATTTACCTGTATAACAAACTTGAACATGTACCCCTGAACATAAAATTAAAGTTTAAAATAAAATAGATACATTTGCCTTTTACTTTTAAAAAATTGTGTGCTTCTCAGCAAGCTTCCATCACATATCAAATATTAATTTTCAGTTTTACTATTTTATCTCTAATGTCTAATTATATAGAGCCTGTATTCCTTTGAAATTTTGGAGAGTACAAAGTAATATATACTTAAATTTGTTTTCTGCAGTGTCTTTTTAAAAAAAACATTTTTTCTATAGTTTGAGTGTTTTGTTTTTCATTTTCTCATGTTAAAGGTGTTTTACTTATTCCATATTTTGTTTTGCTTTCTTTACTTCCAGTTTCCTGTCACTAGACAAAAAAATATATCCAGCCCTGGAATAGTAGTCTATCTGGTTGCTGTTAGAATTTTTTCTTCAAATCTAAGGCTTTGAATTTCAAAGACACTTGAATGCCCTAACTACGCTTCTCATGTTTTGTCATCTTTTATTTAGTGTAAATATACAGCCATGAGGCTGAAGCATCTAATCTTGATACATTACATTTTACTATGTGGAATGAAGTTTGTTTCTGAATAATCCTGAGATCAATCTTCTTTTTCTTCAACTTATTTGTTTTGCTTTTTTTTCTCTCATTATCAACAGAAAGAGTAAATAGCTAACTCTAACTCACAGCATATATACACCTTTCTGAGACTTTTCCTACTTATCTCCTCTTCACTGTCAATTCAGCAAGTGCAAGCCCTATCTAACTCCACTCCCCAGTGCTGGATTCCTGAGAGTTTTTCATACTGTAGTTGCATTAGGAAAGAATCTCTAAGCTTGACTTGTGAAGTCCAGACCTCTATCATTCTTTCATAGCTTGACTATTGACCCTACCAGGGAAACTGGTCTTTTTGCACATTTATTTTTATGTTTCACAACATAAATGTAGGGCATGCCTAGGGCTTGGTAACACTGAAGTATTGCTCTTCTATTTTATCATTTAGTACTGTGGAAGTTCCTGGCATAAAATATGCAAAGTGGTTTGAGAGCCTGTAAAGAGAGGGATAAATTGAAAATTGCTGATTATTAATTATTTTCTTTGAAGGGAAGCCATTTAGGCTTACTCTCCTGTAGCCTTCTGATTAATGCCCACCTCAGCAGCATTTCTCTGGTGACTTTTTAAAGGTTAAAGTTTAAGCCACATCCCCGAACATCAAACCTTCAGTCAATGTAGCCCAAAACTAAGAAGAAAGAAAAAATTCTTGGCCGGGCATGGTGGCTCACACCTGTAATCCCAGCACTTTGGGAGGCCGAGGAGGAAGGATCACTTAAGCTCAGGAGTTTGAGACCAGCCTGGGCAAGATGGTGAAACCCTGTCTCTACAAAAAGTACAAAACATTAGCTCTGCATGGTGGTGGTGTCTATAGTCCTAGCTGCTCAGGTGACTGTGGCAGGAGAATCACTTGAGCCCAGGAGGTTGAGGCTGCAGTGAGCCATGTTCCTAGGACTGCACTCCAGCCTAGGCAACAAAGTTGAGAGCCTTGTCTAAAAAAAAAAAAAAAAAAAAAGAAAAAAAAATTACTGCATCGCGTGAAGGATAATGTTTACTGGACCCCCAAAAGAAGTTCACTTTTACTAGCATCCTCCCATAACGAAAACTGTTTGCAGTTTGAATGTTCTTAAACTGATACTTATGCTACCTACCTAGATGGTAATGAGGGAGGAAAAATAAGCAAGGAAACTAAACTCTATAGTTTTTATTTTGGATCTCGAATATGTGTCATGTCATCTTGTGCCTTGCTTTTCAAGATGTGGACCATGGACCAGCAGCATCAGCATTACCTTAAAGCTTGTTAGGAATGCATAATTCTTGCCTCATTCCAGATCTTCTGAATCAGAATCTGCATTTTTTGAGTGGGGGCTGACAAATACTTTTTCATGGATTTAAAATTTTTTATTACAAATATGCCAGCGGATCATTCACTGGGGCCACAAGTCTGCAGAGTGTTTTTGCAGCTGGTCCTGTGATGACAGAACTTTTCATCTCACCTTTATTGTTCACTATGACCCCTGTATTATCTTCAAGATAAAACAACATGCCATCTTTTCTCCAGTTTGCCTTTTGTTGCTAAATGACCACCACTGGATCTACCTTCTTTCTGAGCTCTGGTGTGCCTTTCTTGACTGTGGCCATCATCATGTCACCCATACCAGCAGCAGGAAGTCTGTTCAGCTCACCCTTGATCCCCTTCACAGAGATGACATACAGATTTTTGGCTTCTGTGTTACCAGCACAGTTGATCATGGTTCCTATTGGAAGACCCAGGGAAATCCGAAATTTCACACCAAGAGAACCCACCACATCCTCACTTTGATGTCTTGAATGCTGGAAAGGAGCAAAAAGCAGAATCTGCATTTTTAACATGATCCTCAGGTAACTCCTGTGCACCTTAAAGTCGGAGAGAAATTGCTTTTTGTTTTTTTTTCTTTTTTTTATTATTATTATTATACTTTAAGTTTTAGGGTACATGTGCACAATGTGCAGGTTAGTTACATATGTATACATGTGCCATGCTGGTGTGCACACCAATTAACTCGTCATTTAGCATTAGGTATATCTCCTAATGCTATCCCTCCCCCCTCCCCCCACCCCACAACAGTCCCCAGAGTGTGATGTTCCCCTTCCTGTGTCCATGTGTTCTCATTGTTCAATTCCCATCTATGAGTGAGAACATGTGGTGTTTGGTTTTATGTCCTTGCGATAGTTTACTGAGAATGATGATTTCCAATTTCATCCATGTCCCTACAAAGGACATGAACTCATCATTTTTTATGGCTGCATAGTATTCCATGGTGTATATGTGCCACATTTTCTTAATCCAGTCTATCATTGTTGGACATTTGGGTTGGTTCCAAGTCTTTGCTATTGTGAATAGTGCCGCAGTAAACATACGTGTGCATGTGTCTTTATAGCAGCATGATTTATAGTACTTTGGGTATATACCCAGTAATGGGATGGCTGGGTCAAATGGTATTTCCAGTTCTAGATCCCTGAGGAATCACCACACTGACTTCCATAATGGTTGAACTAGTTTACAGTCCCACCAACCGTGTAAAAGAGAAATTGCTCTTTTTAATGCCCTTCCTGATGAATTCTAGACAATCCTGAGTTGTCTGAATTATTTGGGCTGCTCTGTCCACATATGTCCATGAGGTGGTCAGGTAGGTGCACGTGCTCTCGACATCTTTTTATTCTTGCTTTTACTAGGGCTCTGGTTAATTATCTGCTATTGCCAGAAAAACAGTGACTAGCTCCTGAGCCTCGTTGCCCAGGCTTGCATGAATGGCAAAAATGTACATTTTGGAGAGAAGACCTGATGGGGCCAATAAGAATTTTAACATCCTCTAGGTGCTTTTACTACCAAGTAGATGGAAGGTTTTTGTTTGTTTGTTTGTTTTTAAATCAACCCAGTAAATGGAGTAGCAGTAAATGGAGCTTTCTGCTGAGTTCTTTTAAAGTAAAATGGCGTTTCTAACCAGGTTCCCTTGCTGAAGAAATATAATATGGAACTTCGGGTTACGTGAGCAGACAAGGCCGTTTCCCCAAACTCTAACCAGGTTAAAGCAAGAAAAGTGAATATTTTCTGCACACTTGTCTCAAGGAGGGAGTTGTCAGAGGGGTTTTACTGCATAGGTGCAGGATGAAGTACGTGAAACTCCTCCTTGGGGTCCAATTCCTGATTGGAGATCAGGGCACTTACTGGGCTGTTTTAATAAATGCGTAAAAGGAATCACAAATTTACAAAACAGATTCATCAGAGGCTACTTTTTACTTACTAAAGAATAACAGCCCTTGGTATGTTTTCCTAATCGCATTTAATAAAAAATTGACTTATATGTTAAAAATCTATTCACCTTCCAATCTAAGAACGTACCTATTATGTTAGCTGACACATAAAACTACAAATCTTCATGCATTCATTAAAGCATTCCATTATTTTACCCTATAAGACTAAGATTGCTTTAGAAGCTGTTTTCTTTTTCTCTTTCTCTGACTCTGTTCTGTTTTTTGTTCTCCATTTCCATTCACTCAAGGTCACTGGGTGAAAGTCTGTCCTTCCAGACGGATTCCACTCTATTGCTTCTTTATTCTATTGCCTGCTCAAAATTGTCTGCTTGCCACAGAATTGCAAAAGTCAGTGGAATAAAAAGGTTTCCACATTTTGGCTGACTTTTCACACAGTCATTTGAAAGCAAAAGCTCTATGCTTTCTGTCTGTGGAAGTCCCAGCTTTGTTTTCTGCCCCTGGCTAAACTCCACACTGAGTGATTTCAACTGCTAGAGGTTAATTTTCCTGTAATAGCCTCATTGTGATGGAGGGTTTTGGAAATTAGGAAAATTAGATGCACTACTAATTGGCCTGTCTTGTTTTGGAGCTGCTCCTTGGGTTATAACACAATCAGAGGAGGCTGTAGTAAGGCCGGATCTGATTCCCAAACCAATACTTAGCAAGACAGATACAAGAAAAAAAAATTGGCCTGAAAAGTATCACATACAGTGTGTGAATTTCTTTCTTTTAATTGGCTGGGAAAAGGTACCAGTGAGATATCTTCCCTTTCTTTGGGACCCAAAGCAGCATTTCAACAATTATTCCTGGGCACCTACTGTGTTCAGTTGTGGGCTGAACCAGCAGTAAATGCAAAAAAAAAAAAAAAAAAAAAAAAAAAAAGATATGCTGCTTCCTAATCTCAAAGTGTTTAGCTTGGTGAGAAGAAAACATTAAATCATGTAGTCACATAGGGTGGTTCCAAATTTGCTGAAAGAACAACTTGGATGTACAAAGAAAATGATCTTGATGTTTTTTTCGGTAACACATGTGATTTTTGTGACAGATACCACTCCACTGGGTAGTAATGGCACTTCAACCTGTCAGATAATAATGCCATCTTTTCTTTTGTGTGTGTATGTGTGCGTGTGTCTCAAAGACTTTTTTTTTAATTTTTACTTTTTTATAATTTTAACTTCTGTTTTGGATTCGGGGGTACATGAACAGGTTGGTTACCTGGGTATATTGTATGATACTGTAGTTTGGTGTATAATTGATCTCATCACCCACGTACTGAGCATTGTACCCAATGGTTAGTGTTCTGACCTTTGCCCCCCACCCTCTCTCCACTCTAGTAGTCCCTAGTGTCTATTATTCCCATTGCTATGTCCACAAGTTCTCAATGTTAAGTTCCCACTTATAAATGAGAAGATGTAGTATTTGGTTTTCTGTTCCTGCATTAATTTCCTTAGGATAATGGCCTCTAGCTGCATTCATGTTATTGCAAAAAACATGATTTCATTTTTTATGCTTGTGTAGTATTCCATGGTGTATATGTACCACATTTTCTTTATTCAGTCCGCCACTGATAGGCACCTAGGTTGATTCCATTTCTTTGCTATTGTGAATACGGCTGCGATGAACATGGGACTGCATGTGTCTTTTTGGTAGAATGACTTATTTTTCTCTAGGTATACACTCAATAATGTAATTATTGGGTCAAATGGTGGTTCTCTTTAAAGTTCTTTGAGAAATCTCCAAACTGCTTTCCACAGTGGCTGAACTAATTCACATTCCCACCAGTGTATAAGCATTCCCTTTTTTCCTCAGCCTTGCCAGTATCTGTTGTTTTTTTATTTTTGTTTTATAGGACCTCATGATTCAATAGTAGATTTTTAATAATAGCCATTCTGACTGGGGTAAGATGGTATCTCAAGGTGGTTTTGATTTGCATTTCTCTGATGATTGGTGATAGTGAGCATTTTTTCATTTTTGTTAGCCCTTGTATGTCTTCTTTTGAGAAGTGTCTGCTCCTATCTTTTGCCTATTTTAAATGAGGTTATTTGGTTTTTGGTTGTTCAGTCGTTTAAGCTCCTTATAGATTCTGGATATTAGACCTTTGTCAGATGCATGGTTTGCAAGTATTTTCTCCCACTCTGTAAGTTGTCTGTTTTCTCTTTTGATAGTTTCTTTTGCTGTGCAGAAGCTCGTTAGTTTAATTAGGCCCCACTTGCCAATTTTTGTTTTTGTTGGAATTGCTTTTGAGAGCTCTGTCACAAATTCTTTCCCAATGCTAATGTCCAGAATGCTGTTTCCTAGGTTTTTCTTCTAGGATTCTTACAGTTTGAGGTCTTACATTTAAATCTTTAATCTATCTTGAGTAAATTTTTGTATATGGTGAAAGGTAGGGGTCCAGTTTCATTCTTCTGCATATGGGTAGCCAACTATCTCAGTACCAATGGAATCTTTTCTGAAAGGTCTAGGTTTCTATACAAAGTTTTCCTCCCAAACATAAGAGTATAGTAATAGTTTAATAGTAACTTTGGATGATTGAGTCTCTTCAAGTAATAGTTCAGTCTTTTAGATTTCATTTTTCCCTTTACTTTGACTGAGCGGTATCTGGATGTGAGAAGGGGGCTCTGCATTTTTATGGAAGTTGAGGAGAGTAATAATTGACCTTGGATATACCTGGATTTATCTAGGTCATCCCTAGATCCCTATGAGGAGTTACCAGTTGTTTTGCTTTCTGGTCTAGTCCCAGTGAGGGGTGAATGGTTGTATCTGCCCTTTGAAGTAAGCTGGTGTTATTAACATTGGCTTCATTTTTGAGGTCTCAGCAAAGAGCTGTTTCTTTTCCTAAACAAGGCCTTCTCCATTTGCCATTGCTCTCAACCTCTCTTCATCTCCTCTAGAACATGTAGGGCTTTATGCATCACAAGTTTGCCACGCCCAGTCTGCAGGGAGCCTAGGACATAATTTCAATCCCAGCTAGTTATCCCAGCTTCACTACTCACCCTCCCATACCATCATTCTCATATTATAGGGAATACAGCCCTAAAGTAAAGGCTTTTATTTTACTAAGGCCATAGAAAACCCCAAGATATGGCCGGGGAAATAAGTCAGTAGCTTTGATTTTCCTATACTTTATAGATATTGTTAAAGTTGCCATTGTTGAGTTTAGACAAGAACAATATCATTAATGTCTGATTTCTCACTCTTACTTTTTTTGTCTCTCGTCTTCATTCCTCTGGTTGAAAAGGAAGGACTCAGAATTTGAACCTTCACTAAATCATATATTTCTTCTATCTTGGGTATGTTTGCCCAAGTCATTGTTGGCAAAAGGAATCTCTTCTCTGTTCAATGTAAAACACCTTGTAATTGGATCCTTTAGGTTTGATTTGTGGTCTGCTAAGCGGGAATTTATCTATTAACATGAACTAAATTTTTTACTTTTACCTTGTTGCAAAATCCAACTTGGATATCAGAAGCTTAATGTAAACTCCACCTCTGTATGTAGGAGCAGTTTAAGAGCACAAGCTCTGAAACGAGACCACTGAATTTGGATCTCCACTCTCACTTACTAGATTTGTAATCTTGGGTAAGCTCTCTATGCCTCAGTTTATCTATAAAATAGTAATAATGCCATCTACATGAAAGAGTTCTTCTACAGATTTTATGACTGTGCACATGTAAAGTGCTCAGAACAGTGACTGGAACATAATAAGCACTATAAAGATGGTGGCTATTATTCTGTGAATTTCTTCTTGAACAATCCTAATGGATACTTCTGGAAAGAAAGAAGAGAGTAGTGGCCAGGCGTCATGGTTCACGCCTATAGTCTCAGCATTTTGGGAGGCTGAGGCAGGAGAATACCTTGAGGCCAGAAGTTCAAGACCAGCATAGGCAAAAAAGAGAGATCCCTATTCTACCCTCCCCCCACCAAAAAATAGCTTGGCATGGTGGTGCATGCCTGTAGTCCCAGCTACTCTGGAGGCTGAGGAAGGAGGATCGCTTGAGCCTGGGAAATTGAGGCTGCAGTGAGCCATGATGGCATTAGTGCACTCCAGCCTGGGCAGCAGGGCAAGACCCCATCTCAAAAAAAGAAAAAAAGAGAGAGGGGAAGAGAGAGAGAGAGAGAGAAGGGAGTGGAGTATGTTAAGGCAGGGAGTTGGTGAGGCAGCTGATAACAAGAAGTATAAGAGAAAATTGCATAAATGATTTTTAAATATCACTTCCGTATACTTACATGAAATAGTTAAAGAATAGTGGAAGGGAACATGTAACTAAGCACTAACTTTTATTCTTTCTATTGCATGTACTGCCAGTATTCAGATAAAGGAGAGGAAAGCAATTTTAGTGGCAGTGTTCAGGGGAAATTTTATAGAGGCCTAGGAAATGAAAGAATGAGTAGGGTTTGGATGAATAGAGAACAAGTGCAGAGCCTGAAAAGATATAAATGAAAAGACTTTTATCTTTATAGGCAATATGTAAAATTGAGTGGACTTTGTCATTGTCTTTGCTGACTTCTTCATTTTATTCCTTGAAGATAGTTCAGAGGAATGAAAGGGAATGGATTAATAGTTTTCTCCTTGAGTGGAGGTGAGATTGCATTAAGTCAGTGTATTCTTGGCTACATGGCAAGTGGTAGGCTAACTAAGGTGGTGAGTTGCATGTTCTCTGGTGATCTGATTCTGTAAGAGGAGGGTTATCAGATGATGTTTCTTCTTCCCTTTTTAAAGGAAATTGTAGGAGGGGACTGGTGTGCTCTGAGCAACTTCAAAGCCACTCAGTCCATGAAGGTGAAGGCTTTCTTTTCTCTCTTGCCCTGCGGCCTTGTATTTTCCTTTCTCCCACACCAGATACTGACCCTGAAAAGTGTTTATTTCACCCCTGAGTTTCCCTCAGGTTTCTTTTTGTCTTGCAGCAGACTCAAGTCCAGAATGAATGTTAAGTAATTTGCTGAGAAGAAACAAGTTACAGTAAGAATATTGTTTAACCCCTTTCTGACCTTAAACCCTCGTAAACCATCAAGACCAGAACTATGATCCAGTCTAGGACTGAAAATTACTCCTGGAAAATAACAGCATGAGTAAAAGTGCTCTCTTAAATTAATTCAAAGCCTTTAGACAATTTTTGCAGCTTTTTTTTACTTTTTTTGGAAAATGCAAAAAGAAAGAAAAATGGGGACTGGATTGCAATTTAATTACCTAGGATACAATTGTTTCTTCTCATTATAGCCATGCTAAAAATCCAACTTAGCCAGCCCTTCAGTGACTCTCCTATTACTACTGTACCCAGAGAAAACCCAGAGCATAACATTCTACCTAGAGTTCCAAGAAGTCCTTGGGCTCTAGTGCATTAGCCTTAATATTCTGTGTTTGGGTGCAAGTGAATGTTGCTATTTATACATTTGTCTCAGTAAGAGTCTCATGATTATTTCTAAGGGGAGGAAAAATCCATGGAGTAGCAAAGTCTATCAGCAGGAATTCTAATCTCATTTTACAATTCTATAAGAAATTGTCATTGAAAAGGCAAATTCCCCCAAATTCGATCAAGGGGGCTTGCCAAGATCCCAGCAAGTGTCTTGAGAACTGCCAGAGGAGCACCAGTTATTAGACAGATTTTAATTTGTGCAAATCCATTAACAAAAATCCCTAATTAAAAAAAAATCAATGGATGCCTATGACATTAACCAGGAAAATCTAATAGAGGGCCATTAAATTTTTTTCTATTCAATTAACTTGAACACAACACGATGGACTCAACAGATACTTTAATTAGATGCATATGAAAAGAAATTTTGCAAAATTAAACAGACCCTGTATTTGCAACTGATATGAGGAAAACTGCCGTAAAAGATTTGCTCAAATCCCTAATGACTGGTAATTTCCTTGAGAGGGACATGAATTCTTAGACAATATCCTTACAAATCAATCTTTCCCCAAGAGGCTGTCCTTTGTCAAGAAACAGTACACTGTTCTGCTTGCTTCTTTTTCAATTCTTTCTTCTGAGCAAGATAGTCATGTGAAAAACACAAAAGGCAAGCTTCAAGGGACTGTTTACCAAACTCACTATTCCAAGCACCTCACAGTAAAAATGGCCCAAAATAAATGGCTCTAATTTACAGGGTGAATTTGTGTCCGAGACTGCCCCAGACAGTCTCAATGTATGCTTGTTGCCTTGGCATAATTATTAATAGTTCTCCATTTTGCTCTAAATAGTGTGCTGGGTTGGTCAATAAATTATATAGTCATTCTACTAATTATCAGCCGTCCCACTACATGTTTCACACTACTAAGCCAGCCCTTTCAACTGCTGGTGGAAATACAAGATTTCTCTGCTCAAAAGAAGAGGCTAAGGTATGGGAATTTGATGAGTACCCATGACCGCTTATTGGAGAGGCATGCAAATTGACATTTGCCCCCTACCTCATTTAGTTGCTCCCCACAACTTTAACTCCAATGCTTTTACACTTAAGATTAATGTTGAAATCTTGTGAATGGACTTAGCATAAAGCCTACTACAGAGGTTCTCAAATCTGAGATGTTTCTCTCCTCTTTAAAGAGTTATCCTCATCTGAAACAATTTACTAACAATATATTACATATGTTTGAAGTGGAGAGCTATATGTAAAATGTTACATCATCCTTATGGAAGCCAGGGTCCAAGGTGGTCCCTCAATGACATCCTAATATTCACACTCTTTTGTGATTTCTGCCCCATCCATTGTACAAAGATTGGTCTTTGTAATTAATAAATCAATGATGGTTTGTCATTCTAAGGTTAGGTAATAAAAGATTGATATTTCTATTTTATATGCTCTAATGTTTACCTGATCACCCCCTGTTGTCCGGATTATTTATGCTGGAGGAAGACATGCTATGAGCTGGATTCTCCAGCTCTATTTGAGCCGGATTCTCCAGCCCTGTTTGAGCCTTAGACAACAGCTTCATGAAACTTAGTGGGAAACCCTGAGCCTGGACAACTCAGATTCTTAACCCTCAGAAACTATATAAGATAACAGATGTCTGTTGTTGTACACTGCTAAATTTGGGGGGGTAACTTGTTATGCAGAAATAGCTAACTGATACAGTTAAAATCCCTGCCTCCTGGGGGATGAGGCAGACAAGTGCCCAAAACATTAGTATCAGATTTCTTGAAATACACAGAGATAATGTGGACATAATCCATTTATCTATTCATTTACCAAACATTTATTAATCACAATGTTCTGGACACTGTACCACGTACTAAGTACCTGGTACCTGATACTGTACTAGACACTGTATCAAGTACTTATTAGACACTGTACCAGGTACTATTTAGTACCTGCTACTGTACTTGATTCTGTACCAGATCCTAAGGATATAGGAATGAGCTGAGTATATAAGGATGAGCACTCGCCTTTGTAGGGGTGAGAGTCTAGTAAGATCTGGGGAAGTTAGAAAAATTATCAATCAGTTTCCAAGTGCATGTCTATTTGGAAGGGCAAGTATGTAAAAGCAGACATAAATCCATTAAATGTTAAACATATTGTGAACTTTTAAAATTCTTGGCTGGGCATGGTGGCTCCATTCCTGTCATCCCAGAACTCCAAGGCAGGAGAATCACTTGAGCCCAGGAATTCAAGAACAGCACAGTGAGACCTTGTCTCTACTAAAAAAACAAACAAACAAACAAACAAACAAAAAAACCCGGCACGGTGGCACATGCCTGTAGTCCCAGCTGTAGTCCCAGTTACTCACTACCTGGGGGCTGAGGCAGGAGGATTGTTTGAGCCCAGGAGGTTGAGGCTGCAGTAAGCTGTGATCAAAGCACTGCACTCCAGCCTGGGTGACAGTGAGAGCCTGTCTCAAAATAAATAAATAATGAACAATTTAAAAATAAATATTTTATTTTTACTACTTAATTTATGCGTGCATATATATATACCAGTCAAAAATCAAGTGATTTTCCTCAATGATAGAAACATTTGACACTAGTTAATAAATTTAAGAATTGTTTTCCCCAATTTGGAGAGTTACCAATATAAAACTATGATGTTTAACACTGAGAGAAGTTTGCATATTAATATATGATAGACTGATTGGTTTTAGCTGAGTACTGAATACATGGTGATAAATTCTACCTGGTGTTAATTAACATATGGCTTAACCAAGAAGAAGAGGGATGGAAGGCAGTCAGTGAGGGAAAGCAGCCCTGAAATTTTGGTATAGCTTCTAAATCTGATCATAAAAATGGGAGTCATGGCTATTTAATCTTAAATTCCAGATTCAACGCTGACTTCTTCAATGGTCTAAAAGAGGCAATTTACTGCTTCATATTTCTGTCCATTAGTGTACATTAAATGGAGATAATAATACCTAGATAGCTATAGCAGGAAGGTTTCAAAACTAAATCTCACAGTGCTGGAAAAGACTTCTGCAAGAGAGAGTGATTGCTGAGTAGGAATTTGTCTCTTCCTTCTCTGTGCTGCGTCATCACAGTTTTAAGGAAATCTACGGCTGTGATTGTGAGATCCACATTCACTGAGTTGTGCTTCCCTCTGCTTTGAGAGTCAGGTTGATTTTCCTTCAAGGTAGGACATTACTTCCACTTGCATTGCCACGAATGCCCTTGCTCCCCACACTAATGAAGAATCAGTGCTGACAACCCCAAAGTAATCACCATTCTTTTCATCTTCCCTTTTCTCCCCAAAGCTTAAACTAATAATAATAACCATTTTAAAGCTTTCTCATGGGAAACTTGAGCATGACTGGAAGGGAAATCAATTGTTCTTAGGACGGCTATTATTGTAAGAATTAATCACTGCTATTTGCAATTACTGTACCATACAATTATCACTAATATTTAGGCCACTCTGACTGCTGCCACAGACTGCATTGCCTTTGCTGTTATTTCCACAGAACAGAAAGGAAGACTGAGAAAATAAATGAAACCAAAGCATAGAGATGACACATTGAGGGGATTGGATTCTTCCACTGTTGAGCCAAGATGTATTCAACAACCACTGCCTGCGCACGTTAGAACAGCAACATGCTCAGAGCTGGAAGTTTTCCTTGTAAAGAAAAGAAGACAACTTAAATATGTTGAAGAGAGTAAAAATTAAAATCATTCTCAGCCTTAAAATCTATTTTATGAGCCTGCACAACTCAATTCTTCTAAAGCATATGATTCTTCATCATACCAATAAAACTCCCAAAACTTCCAAAATACTCCTGCCACTCCCCACTATGAAATGAGCATCTTGCAATATACCAGTAAGACTGCCCATGGTTTATCACCCCGTCTGTGCCAGTGAGAGATACTTGGCTACCCTAATGGAGGAAGAGTACTTAGGCCTTAGATTTCACCCAACAATAAACAAATGACAAGTCGATGTTTCTCATCTATTTTGTCCGGCATCAATTTTGAATTTAAAACTATTTAAAACTTTTTACACTTTTATACTTGAATAACTTTAGACTTATAAAAAACTTGAAAAAAATGTATAAAAAATATCTGTATAACCTTCACCCAGATTCCCCCCAACACAGTGCAATTATCAAAATCAAGAAATTAACACTGAATTGACTGCATTATTTAATCTACAGCCCTGCACATTTCATTAATTTTTCAATTTCTCTGTGGCTCAGGTTAAACCCAGCATTTGGTATTGTCAGTATTTTTTATTTTAGTCATTCTGATTGGTGTGTAGTGGTATCTTGTGGTTTTAATTTGCATTTTGCTCATGACTGATGATGTTTAGCATCTTTTCCTATGCTTCTTTTTTAATTTTGAGGAAGGCCTATTTACTAATTTTTCATTCTATGAATCCTACTTTTGGGGTCACATTTGAGAATTCTTCACTTCACCTTAACTCCTGAAGATTTTTGCATATTTTTTCCTAAAAGTTTTATAGTTCTATGTTTTTCATTCAAGTCCATAATCCATTTTGGGTTAATTTTTTGTCTAAGGTGTAAGACTTATGTTGAAGTTTACTTTTGTTTTTAATTCAGAAATGCTCACTTGTTCTAGCACAGTTTCTTGAAAAAGCTGTTTTCTCCATTAAGCTGTTTTTCACTTTTGCCAAAAATCAGTTGGGCATATTTGTATAGGGCTATTTCTGGGTTCTCTGATTCATTCCATTGATCTATGCTCCCATCACATAATCAATACTTTGATTACCTTCATTAATCATCCATATTCTTGATTACTGTAGCTATACAAAGAATGGAATCATTTCTCCTATTCATCTTCAAAATGGCTTTTTCTCTTCTAGTTCTTTTGATTTTCCACGTAAATTTTGGAGTAGTCTTGTTTATACCCACCAAATATCTTCCTGTTATTTTGATAGGAATTATGGTAAACTTGTATATCAGTTTGGGGAGAATTGACATCTTTACTACACTGAGTCTTCCAACTTATGAACACAGGGTATCTCTCCTTATTAGATCTCCTTTTGTTCCTTTCATCAGCATTTTGTAATTTTCAGCATGCAAGTTTTATACTTATATTATGAAATGTACACTTGTCTTATTTGCTTTTTTTGGCTTGTAAGTTGTACCGTGTTTTCAATTATGGGGCTCATGCTTTTGTTACTAGCATATAGACATATAATTGATTTGACTTTTATATGTTTATTTTGTTCCCTGTGACCTAGCTGAACTAATTTGTGAGCTCTAGGAGGTTTGTTCTGTAGATTCTTTCGGATTTAGTATGTAGAAAGTTATGTCATCTGCAAATAGAAACAGTTTTATTTCTTCCTATTCTCTACATATGTATATTTTATTATCTATTCTTGCCTTATTGCATTGAACAAAACTGCCAGCACTATGTTGAATAGAATTGGAAATCCTTGCCGTGTTCCCAATATCAGGCAAAAAGCATTCAACCTTTCACCAACTGTAACGTTAGCAGTAGTTTAGTTGAATATGTTCTTTATAAGTTCAGGAAGCTACTCTGTATTCATATTTTTCTGAAAGTTTTTATCATAAATGGGTATTAAATTTTGTCAAAATCTTTTTCTATATCGACTGACATGATCATGTGATTTTTCTTATTTCGCCTGTTAATATGGTGATGTTAATATGGTTAATCAATCATTGATGGATTTTTAAATATTGAACAGGCCTTGAATCCATGGAATGAATTTGAATTGGTCATAATTTATAATTCTTTTTATATATTGCTGGGTTTTGTTTACTAACATTTGTTAAGAACCATTGTATCTATATTAGTGAGAGATATTTGTGGGTAGTCCATCCTTCCTTCCCTTCCTTCCTTCCTTCCCTCCCACCCTTCCATTCTTCCTTCCTTCCTCTCAACCTATCTTATGATTTCCCATAGCTATCTGCAATTCCAATTCAACACCATAAGATTTGTTATAGCCTTTCCCTTTTCTTTCTTTTTAACTTTTTCCTCTGACACCCGAGTCTCAGTATCTATAAAAATTATTTATTCAATCATAGAATATACACACAACAATTTAAGAATGTGTAACCTGTACCTCCTTGCAAAATAAATTATTAATATGATTATGATGCTTATGTACAGTTCTTACCTCTTACCTTGGAGATTATAATCAAAATACTGTTTCCCAATGTTACTTAGCTTTCCTTTCCAATCCCTCCAGTGTGGTTGTTTTTCACATTTAACAGAGTTAGAATCATTTGTTTGTGTTTTGATTCTATTTTGAGTTTAACTCTCATTCTCATTGGATTTTGATTATTTACTTACCCTGGGTTCTGACTACTCCATTCTGATTTCTCTACCTCTTCCTCCCCTCCCATCCACACTCTGTAAGTAACTAATATTAGTATTTTCCAATTTGCTCTTTATTTCCATTTCCACTGAATCATGCACACCTTTGTATGTTGACTTCCTTCTTACACAAAAGTAACATACAGATATTTTCTTGAACTTTGCTTTACTTAATATATTCTGGAAATCCTTCCATCTCTGCTCATAGAAATCTTCCTCATTCTTCTTAAAGGCGCATTATATTCCACTGTGGAGATGTATCATAGTTTATTTCAGTATTCTCCCATGTGTGGATATTTAAGTTGTTTCTAATTCTTTGAGATTACAAATAATATTTCACGGAGTAACCTGTGCAAGTGTATTTTTGTATTGTTCAAAGTATACCTTAAGGATAAGTTACTAAAACTGGGTTATTGGAACAAAAGATAACTGACTATGTACTTAATGTCAGTTATGGCCAAATTCTTGCCCAGAAGGGTTGTCTATGTTTGCATTTTACATTCCCACAGCAATGTATGAGACCTTTTGGTCCCGAAAGCCTCACTAACAAGAATATATTATCAGATTTGGGAAAAGTGCCAATATGAAAAATGATAAATAGTATTTTTATGTGGTTTTGATTTATACTTATATCATTATAAGTGTGGTAAAATGCATATTTGCAGGAAATTATTTAATGGTTTTGTGAATGGTCTGTTTATGTATATCCTCATTTTTTTCTGTCAAGTTTCTGGTCTTTTTCTCTTCAGTTTGAAGGGTTCTATATATTACCAGGATAGCAATAAACTTTAACTGTGATGTGTGTTCAGTTGTTTTCTTCCAGTTTCCCAGTGGCTTTTTTTTTAACTTGTTTACGGCGTTATTTTTTATTTTTTATTTTTTCCATGCTTATATCAAATGTATTATGTCATTACATTTATTATCTTTTCTTATATTCTTTTTTTTTTTTTTTTTTTGACGGAGTCTCGCTCTGTCACCAGGCTGGCGTGTAGTCGCATGATCTTGGCTCACTGCAACCTCCACCTCCTGGGTTCAAGCAATTCTCCTGCCTCAGTCTCCCAAGTAGCTGGGACTACAGGCACGTGCCACCACACCCAGCTAATTTTTGTATTTTTAGTAGAGACAGGGTTTCACCATGTTGGCCAGGATGGTCTCGATCTCTTGACCTTGTGATCCATTTCAGCCTCCCAAAGTGCTGGGATTACAGGCATAAGCCACCGCACCTGGCATATCTTTTAAGTTTAAGCCATATTTAAAAAGCTTTTTCCTACACTTGAGGCTAAAGAGAAATATACCCAAGTTTTTCCTATAGTACTTGTGTGGTCTTATTTTTTACATTTAGATCTCTGATCTAGTTTTATCTTTTCCCAAATGGCTCCCATTTGTCTTAATGCTGTTGTGAAAAAGTTTGTTTCCTTAGTTATGTGAGATACTGCATTTGTCATATACCAAATTTGCACATGTACTGAGGTCTAGTTCTGAACATTCAATCCCATTGCTCTGTATACCTAGTTACACTCTAATATCACACTGTCAAAACATATACTTGCCAATACCCTATGTCTCATTTTCTTGCTAGAGGATGTGCACTTATGAAGTGTCTTCTGAACTATGACAACTTACGGGCCGGACAGGAGCCCCTGGGCTGTCTTACTTCCACTGGCATGTGACTTTGTCTCCTAGACTTTCTAAGGCTCAGTTATAATATCTGTAAATTTGAGAGAATATTATATATCTCAAACATTTGTGAGAATTACCAGAATATATGTGAAATTTCACTACTAACTATTATTACCAGAGTAGTAATACATGATGGTGTTTACAAAGCCAGATTCTGTAGTAGGCAGAGATGACTTCCGCTCTGGCATTGAGTGTGTAACCTTGAATCCTAGATTTCTCATGCCCAAATGGAGAAAGCAATTGTAACGATATTGACAGATTGCATTTACTATAATAACATATGTAACACACTTAATACAGTGTCTGACACATAGTTATTGTTTGGTTAATATTAGATTTTTTTCCTTTACTGCTCTAGAGATGTCACTCATGACTTTTGGAATGAGAGAGTATTCCATGAGAGAGCATTCCATTTCCAGAATTTCAGAGGTATCTGTAGACTTTATTCTGTGCAGACACCACAAAGAAGCATCCACTTCTGTGAAATTTGACATATTTTGTCATCAGTTTTATGAAAATATACATATAAATAAATAACTTGCTTTCTAAAGAGAGCCTTTAAAAAATTGTTTTGGTACCTTGTAGACACAGTGCCAGTCTCTGTTGCCCCAACCACATGTGTTTTGTGAAATTATCTCCTGGTCTCAGTTCAGTGCCTAGAGCACATATCAAACAGCTTGACTCAACTGTGGTATATAGAGCCCTAAAACAGACTGCACACTTGGGGAAGCCACTGCATGCTTCAAATTTTGAGATTCTTGCTACATTGGGTCATCACTCCTTTTCACGTTTTGGGTCACAGAGCCAGGCCTTGGACTTTCTAGAGGTAGTTTAAAGCAAAACCTCTTGATTAGAGATGATTTGCATGTTTTCTGCTCCTTTCAAATTGCTCTTTTCTGCAAAGGTTAATTTTAAGGGAAATAAAACAAGCCCAAACATTTCTGTTTTAAAGTGAACTTTTCAGCCTAATGTAAACCTTGTTTTTATTGACTGGTCCTCAAACATATGAATATACTGGAGACTTAATTCTGTATGGAGAATTTCAATTATAATATTTCTCCATTTTTATATACTTGAGAATCAAGGATTAGATTAAACATTTATTTCCTGTCACTCTTTCTTTTCTCCTAACCTTGTTTCTCCTAGCCTTCTGCTTGGCTGACCATAGAAAATGTTTTGGAGTCTTTCCCATTGACCTCATGAAACTTATCCTTTATTAATACCCATCGGCATCCAACAACTTCAAGGTGATAGGAGAACAGGAATGGCATTAATAATTTAGGACTGAATAACTAACTAGAACAGAACACTTCACTTCACCTCCATACCCTCTCTCGACAGCATGGGTGAATTGCCCGTGCCAAGGAAAACAGGGCAAGGCACTGACTGAAATGCAGAGATGGATCCACCTAACAGAAAGAATAGGTCAGCTGGGTTTTCTGATACCTGTTTTCTACCCAGTGAAAAGTAGTCTTCATGAAACTACTTGTGAATAATAAGAGATCATGATGACTCTCTAGTTTGGTGCTCTCTTAATCATAGGAGAAAACTGAGGCTCGGAGAGGTAAAATAATTACTCCAAGGTTATCCAGGGACCTGATGGATGGTTCAGAGCATTTTCTAGGACAAAATAGAGTCATTTTGAATGACTTTCTTTTTAAGGGAATTTAAGGGAAGTAACACATATCTTGAAACTAAGATTTTCACATAGGTTTATCCTAGTGAAATTTTCAGAGCTGAAACTTCATCATACTAGAGAGGAGAAAATGTGTAAAACCACTTAAAAACTTTTCTGCAAGATCCTCAGTATGACTGCAGTGGTTTTCCTCAACTTCTAGGCCCACAAGACTCATCGAACCCACCTCCTGGGTCTTCAAGATCCCTCAGGCCCACAGTATATTCCAATTCATTTCTTTCTGCACTTGACTGACACATATGTCCACATCAATCTGTTAGAATTTTTCATATACTGATGTAAACAATCAACTTACATTGTACTCACATAAGAATCTTCCCAACTAGATTAAAGTTCATTGTCCATAGAGACTACATGTTTTAATTACTTCTAGATCCACGGAGCCTAATTTATTGTTCACATCATAATAGATGTTCAGTAAGTACATGTTAATATACTAAGACGTGCTTATTTTTATGGGTGTCTATGATTATATTGCACTAGACGTAGAGAAATAATCCAGTTGCCTGAGGAGCTAGACCTAGAAACAAATGAACCCCTTCGTGTATAAGTGTCCTCTTCTCTTGAGAAACCTTGAATCCCCTCTAGTATTAATTATTTCTAGATTTGAAAAATTCTTCTGAGTTTACCTATATGCCTTTCTCAAGGCACTTAGGAGCATTCCTGTAAATATGTAACTGTTATTCAACTATCGATTTCTGAAGATTTTCATATCCTATTACAGAAAAGAGCTAATGAAAGGGCATCTGAGTTGTTAAGCAAGTTCATTCCGAGTGACAGATCTGTATTCTGGTAGAGAGGAAATCCTATCATTCATTAAAATGTTTCCAATAAGGCCTAATGAATGCATTACCGTTAAAAATAATCCAATCTGCCAGATGATTGATTTGAACCACAATATGGAGGCTGGCAGCTAAGTTTCTTTCCTTTATCTCCCAAACTTTTCCATGCAATAAAGATTAATTCCTTTTACTGTGTTGGTGAAATAATAATAGAGTCATAAAACATAACAGAAAAAGAGGAAGTTGACAAAGTGTGTGTTTGATTAATTGCCTTAATAGATTATAGGCGCTGACTGAAGTGTTTTTATTTCCCAAGGCTCATTTTTCAATGTTTCAAGATATAATACAAATATATATATATATATATATATATATATATATATATATTTGCCAACCCCTACTCCATGAACAAAAACTAAAACACAAAAGGCATGGGTCAGAATTACTCAAAGCATGAGGAGTTTAATATCTGTTTAGAGAGTATTTAGGTGATTGCCAGCTGACTGGGTTGGCTTATCAGCCAGGACAGGAGAACAATTAACAAAGAAACTTGGCTTGGTATTTAAGACTTTGGACTTTCTTTTCTCTGGTGATGTCTAGCCTTTCTCTCCCTCTCTCTCTCTTTTTTTGAGACATGTTCTCACTCTGTCACCCAAGCTGGAGTGCAGTGGCTCAATCACTGCTCACTGCTGCAGCCTCAAACGCCTAGGCTCAAGTGATCCACCTACCTCACCCTTCCAAGTAGCTGGGACTACAGGCATGCACCACCATGCCTGGCTATTTTTTTATTTTTATTTTTGTAGAGATGAGGTCTCAATATGTTGCCCAGGCTTGGTTTCTCTCATACAAGACAGAAGTTCCAAATTTCTTGGAAAAAAACACAAGCACCATTCTCAGTGGCATCTGCTCCTGAATTTTTTTAACCCTGGCCTCAACCCACATGGGGTGTCTTCATGGGATCCTGTGAGGATCTCAAAGGTCAAGAGATCGAGTAGAGACTCAAGAGCTGTCCAATGAGCTATGTCCAGTTGGTGGAGGCAACGTCAGTGTTCAAGGCTTACAGAGCCTTTTCTCTCTTTCTGCTCTATTTTTTAATCTTAAACTATGTGATTTTCCCTACCAATCTGGATTTATTCACTTTTTCATTCATTTATGTTTATCATTTGTCTACCATGTGGGAGGCCCTTGGATACAACAAAAAACATGAGACACATGATTGCTGTCCTCAGAGAATTTTTAGTCTATTCAGATAAACAGACATTAAAAACATCACTTCAAAAAAATCATGATGAGTGTTGTCATGGTAGGTATACAGGGAAATATAGGAAGATACATCATAAGTGAGTAGACCTAACCTCCTCTAAAACTCAGGAAGACAGATCACATATGGACAAGGATGTTTAATCTCAAACCTAAATATCGAGGAGGACTTAGCCAGGCAAAGTTGTGTTATGTGGTAATGGGTGGATGGTTTACTTCTTTCTTATTCAGAAAACTGTAATATTGACAGCTCTCATTTGAATAATACTGGAGGAGCTGGAATGAAATTAATCCTTTCTGTACAAGCTCTGGACAAAATATTTAAAAAGCGGCTACTCAAAGTCACCGAAAAGAAGCCAAAGGCAGAAAGAAACTTGGAAGGTTCACTATTGAAAGAATAAAATCACATTGAGTGAGGCCCATTATGGTATAGCTTTTCCTCCAAGAGCACATGGTGCTGGACAGTTAGAAATCAAGAAGAAAACCTCAGTCTTATTGGACACAAGTGGCTAGAAATTGAAATGAAGAGGGAAAATCCTTTAAAGAGCATGAGCTACAGAGGGGTGCTCCCACTCTGCTCATAAGATCCCCTCAAAAACTAAGCTAAACCCTGAACTGCACGTGCTCAGCGAAGATTACAAGATGCTTAGAGGAATGCAACAGAATGTCAGCTGTAAAGGCTGAGCAAGAAAGTTCAACTGCCGTCTCACACAGGAGACACAAAGTGCAGAGTTTGAGTCCTATGCATTTGAGAAATCTTAAAGAGACTGGCTTTCAGAATCCCACTAGTCTGAAAATTAAGTCCTAGGTCTGTTTCATAATGGTCTCTACCCTGCTTTTGGAAAAGCTGAGATTCTCTTTATATGCCTTCAACAGGGACATCTGGACTTCACCCTTATCTTTCAATCGACTATTAATTTCCCTTATATTTTTTATTACCTTTTTCCAAAGCTCAAGTAGTTTAGTATAGTTTTGTTTGTTTGCTTTTGAGACAGGGTCTCACTCTATTGCCCAGGCTGGAGTGCAGGGGTGTGATCATAGCTCGCTGCAGCTGTGAACTCCTGGGCTGAATTGATCTTCTCACCTCAGCTTCCTGAGTAGCTGGGACTACAGGCACATACAACCATGACTGGCTAATTTTCTTTTTTATTTTTGTAGAGACAGGGTCTCACTATGTTGCCTAGGCTGTTCCTGAAATCCTGGCCTCAAGGGATCCTCCCACCTCAGCCTCCAGAGTACCTGGGACTAGAGGCACACGCCACTTTGCCTGGTTCTATTGTTCTTATAGTTATTACTTTATATTTTTCCAATGCTTATAAGTTATACAAGCCAGTGCATTCTCTTCTGGTGATATACCAGCCCACTTCACCACTGGTAAGAGTTCTAGCATCTGATCACCAGTTGTGCCAGGGACTGTCTACTTCCATTAAGGGGATCCTCATCACTAGCCTGGCAGCAAGTGATCCAGCTCAAAAACACCCTCTTAATGGTTGCTGTCCTGACCATCCAGGTACCAACGACTGACATTCAGAAGTAGACTCTCAGACAGAGCTTAGCATGCAGGATGTTTGGGAATACCCTTGGGATAAAACCTGTGAAAGAAAAAGAGCAGATGCTGGATCAGAGAGAGTAAGAGGTTGAATATAATGCCTTAGCCAACCAGGAACTCTGGTACAAGAAAGGCCCTTCAGAATTGTCCCCCACTGGGACTAGACAGCCAGGTGTTTATGAACCCATATCAATCAGTCATTGCATACAGGCCACCCCAGAAAGGTCTTGAATTTTTGTAATGTCGCTCTTTGCAACTGAGACAATCCCTAAAGAAGCTGACAGCTAAAGGGTGTCTGCTAAGGCTATTTCCAAAACTAGAACCAACAGGTCCTTTCATTAAAGAAGATTTGAGTGGCTTCTTCACAAGCTACATACTCCATCTGGGCCCCTGCAGTGATAAGCATAATGGTAAAAGCCAACACTCTAAAAATGGCAGAATGGAAAGAGGCTGGTTCTTAGAACTGTGATGTAAGAGACCAAAATAGACACCCATCTATCAACTGAGACAGACCCAAAGGTTAAGGAAACAAAGTTACCTATAGGTCAAGAGCTCAGGGACCTGCTTGCATAGCAAATTTCTGAATGTCTGTGACTAAACTCCTGAACAATGGGAGCCATCAGGTCTGATTTACAACCCAGACCACTAAAACTCTGGTTGGACACAGGACCAGCCTTACAAACATTCTTTTTTTCTGATAAGCAACTGCAGACCTTAAGCCAGTTTCAGCCAGCTTATAGAGGCTGTGCACAAACTGTCTTTGTGTCCTATAGTTCACCTTTTGACATAAAGAGCCATATTCCACCTCATTTTAATGCTAAAACTCTGACCCAAGGTAAACATGGGATGTATGTTACATATATGTTTACCCAATCTGTATGCACTTGACTCCCCTAATAAATATGTATAGCTTTCCCCCCAAACCTGCTGAATATGTATGATACTGGCCCTGTGAGGCATAAAACCCTACTTGTCCTTCCTCTCTTCAAAGAGAGAGCACTTTAAGCACATGCCTAGAGACTGTCTTTTCCTGGTTTGCAAACTAATAAAACTCTTTTCTAGTATAGCTGTCCTGGTGGTCTTTTGGATGACAGAATCCTGGAAATACCTAACTTAGAGCTCTTAGAGCATTTATGGGATACTTATGGGATACTTTAGGTATCTCTTCATTGCAGCCATTATAAGTTGAATTTTCAGTGACTTGCACTGAAAACATCTTAACATATAGAAGACGAAGAGAAGAGCAGGGTAACATGTAGGCAGAGAAACATACAATAGCCAAGATGTGGGCCAGGCATGGTGGCTCATGCCTGTAATCTCAGCACTTTGGGAGACCAAGGCGAGCAGATCACGAGGTCAAGAGTTTAAGACTGGCCTGGCCAACACGGTGAAACCCCGTCTCTACTAAGAATACAAAAATTAGACGGGCTGGTGACGTGTGCCTGTAATCCCAGCTACTTGGGAGGCTGAGGCAGGAGAATTGCTTGAACCCAGGAGGCAGAGGTTGCAGTGAGCCAAGATTGCACCACTGCACTCCAGCCTGGGTGACAGAGAAAGACTCCATCTCAGAAAAAAACAAAAAGAAGCCAAGATTTGAGAGAACACCTTTACACACCTGATAAAGAACTGAAACAA
The DNA here is from genome assembly GCF_000001405.40 of Homo sapiens. NCBI lineage: Eukaryota > Metazoa > Chordata > Mammalia > Primates > Hominidae > Homo > Homo sapiens. The sequence goes on from NC_000008.11 coordinate 36,603,384, forward strand.
GTCTAATAAAAGTAAAGTATATATTATACAGAATAGAGAGGAGAGAAGTAAAGCTGGAGGGGTAAGCTGGCGTGAAATCATGGAGAACTTCTAATAGTTTATTATACAGTTGACTTTACCCCAAGAGCAATGAAAAGCAATAGTAAAGTTTTAAGCAGGAAAGTGGTGTGATAAGATTGAGCTTTTGAAAGATCTAACTCCACTAAAGACCTTTGCTTGGAGGGGCCAAGGTAAGGTACAAGGAAACGTTTGAAGCAGTAATTGCTGTAATCCTGGTGATGAAGGATTGGGGTAGAATGGTAGTAATGTGGATGGGAAAAAAGTAAACAGAATAAGAGATATTTACAGGTCAGAACAAATTGCTCTTGGTGATTAACTCAATGAGGAAGAACTTGGACTTTGGAATGATTCCATAGTTGTTGGCTTGGGTAACATGTACTTGGGTACTCCTTGACCTGGAGCCCAGAGGGGTGGTGAAGGCATGGGCCCTGAAACCAGGCTTTGTGTTTCCTTCCTAACACTGCTACTTCTTAGCTGGATGTCTTCTACCAGTTTTCACCATTTTGTACCTCAGTTTTCAAATCTATAGACTATGGTTAAATGTAAATATCTCCATTAGAGACTTGTTTGAGGACCACATGGGTTAATGCACATAAAATACATAGAAAAAGCTTATTCATAGTAACATACCTCTGAGAAATTGTTCAGTTTCAGAACACTGCAATAAAGCATATATTGCAATAAAATGAGTCACAAACATTTGTTTGGTTTCCCTGTACATATAAAAAGTTATGTTTACAGTAGGTATAGTCTATTATACGTGCAATAGTATTATGTTTGAAAAAAATGTATATGCCTTATTTAGAAAACACTTCATTGCTAAAGAATGCTAACTATCATTTGAGTCTTTAGTAATCTGTAATCATTTTGCTGATGGAGGGTCTTGCCTCAATGTTGATGGCTGTTGACTTATCAGGGTGATTATTGTCTGAAAAAAATGTATATGCCTTATTTAGAAAACACTTCATTGTTAAAGAATGCTAACTATCATTTGAGTCTTTAGTAATCTGTAATCATTTTGCTGATGGAGGGTCTTGCCTCAATGTTGATGGTTGTTGACTGATCAGGGTGATGGTTGCTGAAGGTTGGGATGGCTGTGGCAATTTCTTAAGAAAAAGACAACAGTAAAGTTTGACACAGTAATTGACTCTTTCTCTCACAGAAGATTTTTCTGTAGCATGAAATGTTATTTGATAGCATTTTTACCCACAGTAGAATTCCTTTCCAAATGAGAGTCAATTCTCTCAAATCCCACTAAAGCTTTATTAACTAAGTTTATGTAATATTCTAAATATTTTGTTGTCATTTCAACAATGTTCATAGGAGCTTCACTATGAGTAGATTTTATCTCCAGAAACTACTTTCTTTGCTTATTCATAAAAAGCAACTCTTCCTCTGTTCAAGTTTTATCATGAGATTGCAGCAATTCAGTCACATCTCCCTAAATGGATGTGGGCTCTACTAATTCTAGTTTTCTTGCTATTTCTACCACACCTGCAGTTACTTCTGCCACTGAAATCTTGAACCCCTCAAAGTCTTCTGTGAGGATTGCAATCAACTTCTTTCAAATTCCTGTTAATGTTGACATTTTTACCTCCTCCCATAAACCATGAATGTTCTTAATTGCATCTAGAATGGTGAATCCTTTCCAGAAGGTTTTCAACTTATTATGCTATTTGATACATAATTACCCATCAAAGGTATCACTATCTATGGCAGCTATAGCCTTATGACACACATTTTTAAATAAGAAGACTTGAAAGTAGAAATTACTATTTGATCCATGCACTGCAGAATGGATATTGTGTTAGCAGGCATGAAAACAACATTTGCCTCATTGTACATCTCCATCAGAGCTCTTAGGTGACCAGATATGTTGTCAATGAGTGGGGTAATGTTTTGAAAAGAAATCTTTTTTCCAAGCAGTAGGTCTCAACAGTAGACTTAAAATATTCAGTAAACCATGCTGTAAACAGATGTGCTGTCATTCAGGCTTTATTGTTCCATTTTTACAGCACAGACAGAGTAGATTTGGCATAGTTCATAAGGGCCCTATATTTTTGAAATGGCAAATAAGCATTGGTTTCATGTTAAAGTCACCAGCTCCATTCATTCCTAATAAAATATTCAGCCTGTCTTTAGAAGCTTTGAAAGTAGGCATTGATTTTTTTCTCTCTAGCTATGAAAGTCCTAGATGGCATCTTTCTTCAATAAAAGGTTGTTTTATCTATATTAAAAATCTGTTGTTTAGTGTAGCCACCTTCATCAATGAGCTTAACTAGATCTTCTGGATAACTTGCTAAAGCTTCTACATCAGCACTTGCTGCTTCACCTTTCACATTTATGTTACAGAGATGACTTCTCTCCTTAAACTTCATGAATCAATCTTTGTTAGCTTCCAACTTTTCTTCTGCAGATTCCTCACCTCTCTCAGCCTTCATAGAATTGAAAAGAGTTAGGGCTTTCCTCTGGCTTTGGCTTTGGCTAAAGAGAACATATATATATATATATATATATATTTTTTTTTTTTTTTTTTTTTTTTTTTTTTTTGAGACAGAGTCTTGCTCTTGCCCAGGCTGGAGTGCAGTAGCACGATCTCAGCTCACTGCAAGCTCCGCTTCCCGGGTTCACACCATTCTCCTGCCTCAGCCTCCTGAGTAGCTGGGACTACAGGTACCCGCCACCACACCCGGCTAATTTTTTTTGTATTGTTAGTAGAGATGGGGTTTCACTGTGTTAGCCAGGATGGTCTCGATCTCCTGACCTTGTGATCCACCCGCCTCGGCCTCCCAAAGTGCTGGGATTACAGGCATGAGCCACCAGGCCCAGCCGAGAATATTGTGACTGATTTGATCTTCTATCCAAACCACTAAAATTTTCTCCATATCAGCAATAAAGTTGTTTTGCTTTCTTATCATGTATGGGTTCACTGGGGTAGCATTTTTAATTTCCTTCAAGAAGTTTTCCTTTGCATTCGCAATTTGGCTATTTGTTACAAGACACCTAGATTTCAACATATCTCAGCTTTTAACATGCCTTCCTCACTAAGCTTCACCATGTCTAGCTTTTAATTTAAAGTGAGAGATGTGTGACTCCTCCTTTTACTAGAACATTTAGAGGCCATTATAGAGTTATGAATTGACCTAATTTCAACATTGTTGTGTATCAGGAAATGAAGAAGCCTGTGGAATGGCTGATCAATGGAACAATCAGAACACCCATAACATTTATTGATTAAGTTAGCTGTCTTATATGGGCACTGTTCATGATGCCTCAAAAAAATTACAATAGTAACATCAAAGATCGATGATCACAGTTCACCATAACAGATATAATAATAATAAACAAATTTGAAATATTTTGAGAATTACTGAAATGTGATACAGAGACATGAAGTGAGTACATGCTGTTGAAAAAATGGCATCTATAGACTTGCACTGTGCAGGGTTGCCACAAACCTTCAATTAGTAAGAAACACAATATCTGTGAAAACACAGTAAAGAGAAGCACAATAAGATACAATATACCTGTAAATACGATACATTATTATTACTAAAGTCCTCACTTTGGTTTTCCGGTTCCTGTTTCTTTGGTCTTTTAACCACCTCAACCTCAATGCTTCAGAACCATGTGGAATCACCCACCCTGACTGTCACTTGCTTCTTTCATGATGACTTGCCTCAGCATTCCTGACACCCTGGCCAGGTCCCTTTAATTCCCTCCCACCATGCCAGTGGAAGTGCAATACTATTGCAGGAAAATCACTTCCTACTAAACATTATTCATATTATACTTGGATGTATTTAAAGTATTGTGTTTGCAAATAGAGCAAGCTGACATTCAGTTGTGGAGTGCTCTAGCATCTAGGGCCAATGGCATCAGCCTCACATCCCTGGGCTCCTTAGGCACCTATGGATTCCAAGCCTCATCATATGATTTCTCATTTTTACACTGAAGTGATTCTCTGTACTACTCCTAATCTTTCATCTTTCATTGCCTTCCCAAGCTCTTCCATTGCACACTCTGGAATTCAGAATCTGCCATCAAGCCCCACAACTCCAAAAACATTCTCAAAATGCATCTTCTGGACACTAACTGAAACTAAACCCAAAACCATTTTGCCTGCAACATCTCAGGTATAGATTGTCTTTTTCCCATAATCTATACACCTCTAAGATCTAAGATCTACAGGCCTAAGATTGAGGTAGGAATTCCTCTTGCTTTCCACAGATGTTTCCAAATTGCCTTTCCTACTTTCTCCTTCAAAACTCAGGGCCCCATTATTGTAAATGTCATCAGATTTTACCATTTCTTAATAGGTTGTTTTCACTGCATATCTTCTAATCACGCCCCATCCTGAATTTATAATTTCAACATCTTGTTCACTTTCTCCCTGCCACACTTTTAGTATTAATTTTCAGAAACTAAACCTTATGTAGATGGCCTCTCAGTTCTTGAACTCATTAGTGTTACATTTTATCCTACCTGATACCCACTTCTGGAGTAATCATCAATTACTACATTTCACCAAACTCTTAGTTTAAAGGTCAATCATGCCCTAGTTTTCTACCCCACTTACTCACTCCACCAGTGAGGTCTTACATCTATTGACACTTCCACATTTCCACTCTTCATTTTCCTCCTTACCTTCCTCCCTGTCCTCCTTATCCTGTCTAGAATTCATAAGAAACATCTTCCCTCTTTAATCCACCCCCAATCTGTTTCTCTCCACTCTACTTATCTCACACAACTTCAATTTTATTTAAACTCAAATGTCTACTTATTCAACACTTGTAAATGGTCCACTGAATTTTGCCACTGGGGAGAAAAGTCACAGAACCATGGTGACTGTACTCACTTCAAATTTCAGATTACAATTCTAAAACAGGTACTCAATATCATAAGACTTTGTTTCACTTTACTGATTAAATTTATTTTCCACAATCTTAGGTGATTATTTTATACATGTTTCTCCTCAAATCATCCAACTTCCCACTTTTTATACCCTATATGCATCTGATAACCTCAACATGGACTTAGTAGAGACATTAGATAAGTTATCTCATTTATTCATTATTTCCACCAGAAGCTCTTTCTATGCACAGTGCTCTTTCTTCCTGCCCATCTCAATGAAAGATGTACACTTACTAATATTCTAGACACCTCATTACACTTGAGCCCTGCTTTCTATCCCCAGGATGTCTTATGAAGAACTTCATTTCATCACTGGCTTCTCTCCTGTATTGGTTTCTCTATCTTTAGTAGATGCTACCAAATCCTCAAATCTATGCCCTCTGTATCTACCCACAATGTACTAACAATCTAGTTGTTCCTGCCAGAAATCTGGCTTTCTTTCATCTCTTCACCTTCTACATCTAAGTCATCAGTAATTCCCAAGTCCCATAAGATAGACTTCAAAATATACTCTGAATTGACTGCATTTCACTCTCTCCAATGTCATGGGTCTATCCAAACCCTTGTTTTCTCCAGCATGAACTACTGCTACAGTCTCCCATCAGCTCTTCCTGTCTCCACTCTTTTCATCCAAAGTGCATTTGCCACAGTGCCCTCAGGATATTCTTAAGAATAACTCAGATCATGTCTCTCCTCTGCTATTAGTTCTCCAACAGCCTCCAAATATTTTTTTAAAAAAACAACTGTTTATTATGGTCCATAAACTTACACTTGTCCAGCTCTCCAGTCCCATCTCTCTCTAATATCCCTTTCAATAGAGATATTAACCTTCTTTCCATTCTTCTACTGTATCATTCCAAATCCTTGGCATTTGTTCTTTCCTTTGCACATTACTCAGATGTTAAACCTAGTATCACTTACTCAAAGAGGCCTCTTCCAGCCAACCCCACACTCTAGCTATCTCATTATTATTATCATATTCTTTCTTATCACTTCTTGGTTCTCAACATTTTTATTATTTATTTGTATTGTCTCCACCCTTCTCCCATCAGACACATATTACAGATACCTGTGTATAAGCCCCTTATAGCAGTAACTCTATCTTCTTCACTGCTGACTTGCTAGGACTTAAATTATATTTGACACATCACTTTTGATCTGCAAACATTTTATAAGTGACTAAATGATGAGTGGCTAAAATTTGAAGGCCTACTATTAAAAATCCATACTATTGAGACCTTCTGTTCATACTTGAGAAAGTAGGAGGAGGTATTAAACTAAGTAAAACAAGAGAATGTTGACAGAGGAAGAAATCAACTCTCCATATTTAAGCAGAGACAATGAGAATAGATGAGCTGCATAAAAGAAATACAAGATGGATAGGAGCCACAGAGATATAAAACAGGCATATTTGAGATTTTACTGTATATCTTATATTACCCTGCTTTTTCACTTAATATTTTAAATACTTTCTCATATCATTAAGATTCTTTATAAATATAATATTCAAATGTGGAATAATATTTTACTTTTTCTGGTGGGATCATAACTAATTTAACTATTCTTTAATTTTTTTTATAAATGAATATGCTTATGAATTAGTCTTTTGCAACATTTCTGATTACTTTCTTAGAGTGAACTCTTAGTAGGGGAGAAACTACTTAAAAGGGATAAATATTTTTAATGTTATCAAGTCTTACTACTAACTAGCTTCCTAAGAAGTTTTGTGTAATTTATATTCATAGAATTTATAAGAAGAACAATTTCAAAGTACCTAACATTAATAAAATTTATTTATTTGTTGTTCATTTATGAGAAAAAGGCTAATCTCAATATTTTTATTTACATTTCTGTGGTTACTAGAGTCATTAATATTTCACATTTCCATTATCTTTTATATTTTATGCATTTATATTTTCTCTTTTCTCTTTTTGGTCTTGTTCTCATCTATTTGCATAACATTTTTATACATTAATATATTAACCATTTATCTATACTTGTTTCAAATATTTAACTTACCTACAGATTTTAGAAAGAATATTTGACCTAATATCAGCAACAGTAAAGGCTCTGAAGCCAAAAGATAAATCTATGATAGGATAGAAAAGTACCTTCCTTCAGAGAGCAGAAAGTACTAACAATTGGCCCAGGTGGGAAAACTAAAGCAAAGTGAATTAAAAATTTGCCTGAGTAGAGTTCAAGTGGAGCATAAAGCATTCAGGATTTTACAGATCAAAAGGAAGTAGGATTTAGTAAAGCAAGTTACCCAGACTTGTGCAGATTTTTCTAGAAAAGCAAGGTCAGTCATGGCTGAGACACCAGATGCAGAGCATAAGACAGCCATTTATCTTTAGTGAATTAAGGATTAGACCATCTTTGATATCTTAGACATTTTTGTTTCTAACCTGCACCCTTTAACCTCACACATCTCTGCTCTAAAGCCATAAACATTAAGGAAATACAAAAAGATTTTTTAATCTAATATCAGAGGAGAAGTCAGGGGAAAAGGACAGATGCTAAAGAGAACACAATTAAATTTTAAGACTTCTGTGAAGCTTGGGAATTGAGAAAATATCCCCTGAAGAGCACTTTGGTCAGGGCAGAGAAAAGAGAGAGCTGTGGAGACAAAGTTAGCCGTGGGGTTTAGGACACCCTATCCCAAAATAATGGCACTTTGGAATATTGATTATTTTAAGCTGAAGGATTTTGAGAAAACAACAGAAGCAGGAGGGTTATTCTCACCCTCTCCTGAAGCAAATCATAAAACCTAGGATGGATTTTCTGACCTTCCCTGAAGTGGGGATGAGACCCTCATTAGAGAGGTGCCCTCCCTGTAAGTAAAGGCAAGGAACATCCTTGCCTCTGAAGACACAGGGTCAGAGAGAAGAAACTGAACAAATGGCCTTGCTAAGTATCCCCCAGTTCATTATCCTTAGATCACATCTCTTTTGTCCAATTTCTTTACAACTGTCCACTTGTCGTCAAACTTAGCATATAAATACAACACAAGTTTAACTGTTTCTTAGGGCCTTCATTTCCTTATGAGGGTCTCATGTCACATAAAACTTATATTAAATAAGTTGACATGTGTTTTTTTTTTTTTTTTTTTGTTAGTCTGTCTTTTGTTTCAGGGCTTAAGTCATGAACTTAGATGGGTGAGGAAAAGGTGTTTCTCCTCCCCAACATTAGTCTTGAGACCCTAAATATAGGTGTTAACCCAACCACAGACCAAGTTAGATCTGGGTTTCCCTAGTGAGTTGAATAAAAAAGTCAACAGACTTCAAAAAGCAAAGCCTTTAAAACCCAAACCTAAAATATAGAAGAGGAGGATCTATATTTTCCTTACAAAATCATGGTCTTTGTCATATGTGCATATTCTCAGGATGGAGGCCAGCTGTGCACCCTGGGAGCTGGCACAGACACAGGAACTCATGCCTCCTGGATCTGTCACATTTCCCAACCAGAGTTGAATGCCTTGAAATAGTGCCCATTGAGAATGTCCTTATTAACAACATACCATGCCACTAGACTGTTTTCCGTTTAATTTTATCTGAAATTTATGATGATAAACCTGTTAGCCAATTTCCTGAAAGATATTGCCACCACAGTGTCTTTCTCTTTCCAAGCTCACTTTTTGCATATAGAGTCAATTGCCATTCCACAATGGGAGGAAAAAGATTACCTTCATTATCTCGCTTTCTTTATTTATTCAGATTTCCCTCAGGCATTTTAATGTTGCCCAAAAGTGTCTTGCTCTTAGTAATTCTGTTCTTTTAATATCATGGAAATTGGCTTTAGGATGCAGTGCGTGAAAAGGTAAAAGGAAAAGTTTACTTTAGTTATCCCAAAATTAAAGTGGTTCATGAAAAGGAAATCTGTTTTGTTGTTGTGGTGCTGGTGGTGGTTGTTTGCACGAACACTTTTCTCAAAGTCTGTTTTTATAAAGGTCTTAAATCTTAGAGCTATTCGTCTTGCTTGCTCACCACATCGTTCCTCCTCCTGCATGGAATTCCTCTAACTGCTTTTCTTGTCCATTTCAATCTCAGCCATTTCAATTCTCCTCCAATGCATTTTCACCATCACAACAGTACTCTGAAACCACCTCTGTACTTTCATTCAGTATCACAGAGGATATCTGAGTATCATCCTTCCCCCATTCATTTATTATTTTATTCAACTAACTAATTAGAATCCCTGTTGCAAGTCAGAGTCAAGGAAAATGCAGTCTCATTCATTCACTTACACTGTTTTAGGTGACCTTTTAAAATTGTATGGATAATTTTAAGAAATTTACCAGTTTCATCTGGCTTTCAAATGTATTACTTATGGTAATTCACAATACATGTTAAAATCTCAATAGTTATTTCTTCCTTTTTAGTTTTTAATTTGTAGCTACTTCTACCTTTTCATTCTTTATTTTGCCTGTTAGCATATTTTCCCTCTTTCTTCTTGGTCAGTCTTGACAGAAGTTTGTATGTCTTAATAATCTTTTGGAAGAGTCAGTTTCCCATTTGCTAATCTTCTTTCTCATTTGTTTATGATCTAAATTGTGTTATATCTTCTTTTACCTTGGTTATATTCTTGTTTCTTGCTTCTTTGAGTTTGATATGTTTTTTCCTCTCTAACTTTCTGACTTGAGTGTGAAAATAATTTACCTTCCACCTTTCTTCTTTCTTGATAATTGTACTTATAGCTCTGCAATCTTTTTTAAGCACTGCTTTAGCTCTTTCCCAAAATTTGATTTTTAACATGCTTATGATCACTAATTCTGAAAACTTCTTAATTTTCTTTAATATTTCCTTTTTAACCAAAGGGTTACTTAATAATCTTTATTATTTAGTTTTCAAAAATATTGGATTTTATAAAAACGATATTTTGTCTTATATTGATTCTTTAACATTTATTGAGACTTCTGTTATGTCCTAATACAGACCTTTTTTTTTTGGCCAAATGTTTGTACATGTTTAAAAAAATACCACCTCTGTTGAGTGTAGATTGTTTTTAATGCTTTTTAGTATTCAAAATCTTTGCTTCTTCTGCTAGTTTAAGGTCTTAATTTCTAAAAACAGGTGTTACGATTTCTGATAACTGTTCTCTCTTTTTGTCATCATTTCTGCCAGTCAATGTTTCATACATTTGGAGGTTATATTTCTAGATGCATATATGTGTATGCCACTGTTTTATTATATCTTATACAAGTATATAATATTCTCCTTTGAACATTATGCTACTTCTGCCTTAAATTTTATTTACTCACATATTATGAATACAATGCCAGCTTTCCTTTGGTTCTGTTTTCTTTGAGATATTTTATATCCCTTCACTTCTAATCCTTCTCTTCTTGTTTTAAGTATGTGTCTTTCAGGCAAGTTTTTAGGTTTTGTTTTTAATTTAATCTAAGAGTTTTCATTTTTTTAATTGGTATGTCTAATCCATTTATAACTACCCTATTTTTAGTAGATTTATGTTTCATCATATAATTTTTCATTTTCCATTAACTTTTCTCATTAAATTTTTTTCTGAGTAAAATAAAAAACAAATGTAGACTTAATTAAGAAATGGCTTTATTCAAAAAGATTATAACAATAAGTAAAGAAAATTATAAAAGGGAAAATTCTCAGTCCATAAGATTGGGCAGAAAGGGATTTTCTTTTATAAGGAGGAATAAGTATGCCTACAAAAACTTGGTATAGGATACTGGAATAAAAGGGTAAAGCAATGGAACCGTTAAGCAGGAATGCCTTTCCTTAAATTAAGTTCAGCAGATTCTTGGGAGAGTCCATAAAGGAGACCCTAAACATTCAGCATTCCCCACTACAATGGTGGCTCAGGCTGAGGAAGCCTCACAGTTCAAGGCCCTAAGGAAGGAGAGATGGCTGACAAAAGTTTAGTCAAATCAAGTTAGCAGGTATTTTTTTCTGATTGATTGTGGGTACAAACAGTATAGCTTATTATTTTTGAGGCAAAGAATGGGAATGTAGAGAGTCTGTTTCTGGCCTAGTCATAGGTTTAAAAAAAGAGGGGAAATCTGCGAGTCTTACGAAAATCACATGGGGAAGCGTATTTCTTTGCAATAAGCCCTTTCTTGGGACACAAAAAAGTGGGAAGAGTAGTCTCAGATAGTTCAACATTGTCACCTTCTTTCAATTGAATATACCATTTTCATTTGAAAGTCATATCTTATTGTATTAGATCTTTTTTAAAGATCTATTCTCTGTTCATTTTAAGTAAATTTATCAATATTTATATACTTATCAATATTGTATCAATATTTATACAAGATAAGTATTTTATTATACCCTTGTGTTTCCTGTTCTCAAAATGTGTCTTCGTAAACACTAGCATAAACAAGCTTATATGTTTTTCCTTATCTTTATCATTACAGATTCTAAGATGATATGGCTAATTTCTTCCATACCTTTTTACTTTTAATATTTACCAAATGTAATTCCTGATCACAATGTGATTCATAATTATCTGTCTTTCTCTTCTATCTTAAAAATGTTGTTTTTAGCAAAAAAATTTAGACATGAATTATGTACTTTCTCAAAAAGTCTGTAAGCTATGTGATATAATATGTGCTCTGTACACCTTTCATTAATGACAAAGGATATGTCAAGTGGACGTTCACATAATTATATTCATCAATTGTAACTACAACGTGCCATAGACAGTTTTCTCACATCTGTTAAGAAAATATTACGTATTTCCTCTATCTGGCTGTTGATGTAAAAATATTAATATGATTACACACACACCCACACATAAAAAAATGGAAAGACATCTCATACTTATGGATTGGTAGAATTAATATTGTTAAAATGACAATACTACCCAAAGCAATCTACAGATTCAATGCAGTCCATATAAAAATACGAAAGACATCCTTCACAGAAATAGAAAAAAAATCCTAAAATTTGTATAAAACCACAAAAGACCTCAAATAGCCAAAGCAATCCTGAACAAAAAGAACAAAGCTGGAGGCATCATGCTACCAGACTTCAAAATATAGTCCAAAGCTGAAGTAATCTAAACAGCATGGTACTAGTATAAAAACAAGCACAAACAAACACATCAACCAATAGGACAGAACAGAAAACCCAGAAATTAATCCACCTATCTACAGCCAACTGATTTTTTTACCAAGATGCCAAGAATACTCATTGGGGAAAGGGTAGACTCTTCATAAAGTGCAGTGGGAAAACTGGATATCCACACAAAAATGAAACTAGACCCTTTTATGAATAAGACTAAATGCACTGGCAACAGAAGCAATAATAAACAAATGGGATTATATCAAACTAAAAAGTTTCCTTTTCACAGCAAAGGAAAATGCCAACAGAATGAAAAGACAACCCATGGAATGGGAGAAAATATCTGCATACTACTCATCCAACAGGGGATTAATATCCAGAATATACAAGGAAATCAAACATTGCAACAGCACAAAAAACCCCAATCCAATTAAAAATGGGAAAAATGATCTGAACAGACATTTCTCAACAGAAGGCATACAAATGGCCAACAAATATATAAGAAAATGCTCAACATCACTAATCATCAGGAAAATGCAAATCAAAACCACAATGAGGTATCATCTCACTCCAGTTAGGATGGCTATTATCAAAAAGACAAAAAATAATAGGTACTGGGGAGGAAGCAGAGATAAGGGAACTCTTATACACTGTTGGTGGGAATGTAATCTAGTACAACCACTATGGAAAACAGTATGGAGATTCCTCAAAAAACTACAAATAGAACTATCATATGATCCAGCAAAGTCATTACTGGGAATTTATACAAAGAAAAGGAAATCAGTATATGAAAGAGACCTCTATACCCCCATGTTTATTGCAGCACTATTCCCAATAGCCAAGATATGGATTCAAAATAGGTATCCAACAACAGATGAACAGATACAGAAAATGTGGTGGAAACACACCATGGAATACTATTCATACATTAAAAGAATGAAATCCTGACATTCATAGCAACATGGATGAAAGACATTATTCTAATTAATGTCTTAATTAATGTTAAGTGAAAGAAGCCAGGAACAGAATGTTAAATATTGCATGTCCTCATTCATATGTTGAAGCTAAAAAAAAAGTTGACCTTATAGAAGTAAAAAGTAGGACAGAGAATACTACAGGCTGGAAAGAGTAGGTAGAAGGAAGGGAAAGGAGGAGTAAGTTCTATACCACTGTAGGATGAATATAGCTAATAATAATATATACTCTCAAATAACTAGAAGGAGAATATTGAATGTTCTCAACATGAAGAAATGATAAATGTTTGAGATGATGGATATGCTAATTACCCTCATCTAATTACTATAAATTAAATGTATAAAAACATCACTGTGTACCCCATAAATATGTACAATTTTTATTAGTCAACTTTTAAAATAAGTTAAAAATTAAAAATATATATTTAATTGGATATCTGGAAAGATCAAATCAATTAATGGATATAAAGAATTTATTATTATGACTAAGTAAGTATTCAATTAGTATTTGTTTAATCAATTCATACCATGGTAAGCAATAATTCAAGATATTTACTTCATCAGCCTCTATCCGTTTACTGTTATTCCAAACAATTTAATATATAAGTCAATTATTTATTACATTATTGGGTTGCATTATTGAGGTTTCCAAACACATGACCTAGATCAGCATTATAGTTTTTTTTATTTCCTCATAGTTTTTAGGAGAATATTAATAAGAAAGTAATTTGCCTGCTTTTTAATTGGGTTGTTTTTCGCTTGTTGAATTATTTAAGTTCCTTATAGATTCTGAATATTAGACCTTTGTCAGATGGATAGTTTGTGAATATTCTCTCCTATTCTGTAGGTTGTCTGTTTCCTCTGTTGATGGTTTCTTTTGCTGTGCAGAAGCTCTTTAGTTTAATTAGGTCCCACCTGTCATTTCTTATTTTTGTTATAACTGCTTTTGAGAACTTAGTTATAAATTCTTTGCCTAGACCAATGTCCAGAATGGAATTTCCTGAGTTTTCTTCTAGGATTTTTATGGTTTGAGGTCTTACATTTAAGTCTTTAACCTATCTTGAGTTATTTTTTGTATATGGTGAAATGTAGGGGTCCACTTTCATTCTTCTACATATGGCTCACCAGTTATCCCAGCACCGCTTATTGAATAGGGAGTTCTTTCCCTGTTGCTTATTTTTGTCAACTTTGTTGAGATCAGATGATTGTAGGCATGTAGCTATATTTCTGAGTTCTCTGTTCTTTTCCATTGGTCTATGTGTCTGTTTTTGTAACAGTACTATGCTGTTTTAGTTACCATAGCCTTCTAGTACAGTTTGAAGTTGGGTAATGTGATTCCTCTGGCTTTGTTCTTTTTTGCTTAGGATTGCTTTGGCTATTCGGGCATGTTTTTGCTTTTGTATGAATTTTAGAATACTTTTTTCTAGTTCTGTGAAAACTGATATTGGTAGTTCCATAGGATAGCATTGAATCTGTAGATTGCTTTGGGCAATACGGCTATTTTAATGATATTGATTCTTTCAGTTCATGAGCATAGGTTTTTCCATTTGTTTGTATTATATACACTTTTTTTCAGCAGTGTTTTGCAGTTCTTGTAGAGATCTTTCACTTTTTAGTTAGATAAATTTCAATGTATTTTCTTGTGGCTACTGTAAGTGAAATTGTATTCTAGATTTTGCCCTCACCTTGAATATTGTTGGTATATAGGAATGCCACTGATTTTTTTACATTGATTTTGTATCCTGAAACTTTACCAAAGTTATTTATCAGACTAGGAACTTTTTGGTGGCGTCCTTAGGGTTTCCTAGCTATAGAATCATATTGTCAGCAAAGAGAGATAGTTTGACTTCTTCTCCTCCTATTTGAAAGCCTTTTATTTCTTTCTCTTGCATGATTGCTCTGGCTAGGACTTCCAGCACTACGTTGAATAGGAGTGGTGAGAGTGGACATCCTTTTCTTGTTCCTGTTCTTAAAGGAAATGTTTCCAGTTTTTGCCTGTTCAGTATGATGTTGTCTGTGGATTTGTCATAGATGACATTTCTCAAAAGAAGACATACAAATGGCCAACAAACATACAAAAAAATGCTAAAAATCACTAATCATCATGGAAATGCAAATCAAAACTACAATAAGATACCATCTCATGCCAGTCAGAAAGGCTACTATTAAAAAGTCAAAAAATAACAAGATGTTTATGAGGCTGCAGAGAAAGGGGAATGCTTATACACTGTTAATGGGGATGCAAATTAGTTCAGCCACTGTGGAAAACAGTTTGGACATTTCTCAAAGAACTTAAAACAAAACTACCATTTGACCCAGAAATCTCATTATTGGGTATATACACAAAATAAAATAACTCATTCTACCAAAAACACACATGCACTTGTATGTTCATCACAGCACTATTCACAAGAGAGCAAAGACATGGAATCAATCTAGGTGCCCATCAACAGTGGATTGGCTAGAGAAAATTTGGTACATGTATACCAAGGAATACTATGCAGCCATATAAAAGAATGGAATTATGTTCTTGGCAGAAACTTGGAACCAGCTGGTTATTATCCTAAGCAAATTAATGCAGGGACAGAAAAACAAATACCACATGTTCTCACTTATAAGTGGGAGTTAAACATTGGGTACACATGGGCATAAAGACAGAAACAATGGACACTGGGGACTACCAGAGGGGAAGGGGAAGGATGGGGGCAATGGCTAAAAAACTACCTATTGAGTACTATGCTCATTACCTTGGTGACAGCATCATTTGTACCCCAAACCTCAGCATCACACAATATACCCATGTGATATACCCACACATGTACCCCCTAAATCTAAAATAAATTTGACATTTTTAAAAAAGAAGGAAATTAAAGTCTAGTTAAGTGTCTACATAATTCTACCCTTCCCCCCTGCTCACTACATCCTATTTCTCAGCTTCCATTCTCTATGATCTTAGTTTTGGACATCCTATCAGATAAACTGTTCACCCTAACACACCTATGAACGTTATAAAAACAAAGTTTTAAACTGTACCATTTTAAGTGTCTGCCTTGGACAGAAAGGAGACACGTTCTGACCCAGTTTTACTTGGGGACCATATATCTTGGTGAACAGCCGTTTTTAAAAGAACACAGTAATTCCCAAAATACCAGTTAACCCACTTCACACTGTTACCACACACACAGCCATTTATCCAGTCTGCAAACAATTGCTGGCCTAGTAAACAGAGTGACTGACAGGACAACCCTGATTACTGACCTCTCCAGATTTACAGTTTGGCATTGAAGATATGCATACAGCAGGCAATTACAACAAATTAGAAAGTGGGCTAGAAGTCAGGAGAAAGGGTTTCCCAGGTCAGTGGGACCGCAGAGCAAGGGATCCACTTAAAAACAGCATTTGGGACTTAAACACTGATATCCATTTCCCAAGAATCTCCCCCAGAAAACTTGTTTATTGCAGTCAGCTGTTTTAAATCCTGAAAATAAGTAAATATATATAAATAAGATCATTTTCAAAAATTCTTTAATTGCTTGGAACACCTTCTCAACCATCTAATCCTCCCTGGAGCTCCTGGTAATTACAGCACATTTTCTCCCTCAGTTGTCAGTGGAGAAAAATCCTTTTGTGGGCCATCACTGTCTTATTGTTAGGCTAGTATTAATATATTTTTCTAACAAACCAGCCAAATCAAAAGCCTTGCTACAGCTCTGATACTGAAGAAGTATCTGGCTAACCCAAGTTGTTGTCAGTGGAGTGCAAAGTTCACACCAAAGGAGCAGGCTGTCTGGGAGATAGTGAGTACCACTGCAATAGGAACTAGCTAAGCAAAGACTGATAGTCATTGCTTGGGGACAGGGGACATCAAGGAATGATGGATTTATCCACAGAGTGGAAAGTTAAAAGAATGAGTGATCTCTAATAATCACAATCTTGCAAATTTAGAAAGGATACAAAATTATTATAAAATATATGTGTTTGGGGATATGTACACACACACATATACACACAGTAATAGGAATCTGATATAGCTTGGGCATTTGTCCCCACCAATATCTCATGTTGAAATAAATTCCTTAATGCTGGAGGTGGGGCCTAGTAGGAGGTGATTGGACCATGAGAGTGGATTTCTTGTGAATGGTTTAGAATCACCTTTTTGGTGCTGTCCTCATGATTCTGAGTGAGTACTTGTGAGATCTAGTCATTAAAAGTGTGTAGTACCTCCTCCTTCCTCTCTTGCTTCTACTTTTGACATGTTACATGCCTGCTCTCCTTTGCCTTCTGCTGTGATTGACACTTCCTGAGGCCTCCCCAGGAAGCTGCTCTGCCTCCTGTATAGCCTGCAGCACCACGATCCAATTAAAACTCTTTTTCTTTATAAATTACCCAGTCTCATTGCTATTTCTTTATAGCAATGCAAGAAAGGCCTAAAACAGAATCACAGAAGCACAGAAAAATATTATGAGAGTCCAGGAACACAAAAGATTAATTTTATTTTCATTTTAGAGGAAATTGGGAAAGCTTCATGCAAAAGGTAGTATTTGAGTTGTACTTACTAGTATGAAAACACCTATGGTATTTGGAGTTGTAAAACAGAGCATTTTAGGTGAAGAGAACATCAGAGGCCATCAACAAAATCACAGATAGGAAATTACAGAACATGTTAAGCTCCTCCTGGTTCACTGTAGCTGGAATAGAGACAAATGAGGGCTCTTAAAATGAACATAGGAAGAGAAATTCAATTGTCAAGTCACCCGGGTAAGGGACAAGGCTCCATGATTCTATTTCGGTATTCCTTCAAAATAATCTGATTCACATTTTATCACGATCCTTTCTAGAGAATATCCCTTTGGTCTGAAACTAAAATATACAATTCTATGTTGAAATAACTTCATCTGCATGGATTTTAGTACTTGGAACCTACCCAGAAATTCATTCTGGACACATAGACAGGTATCTCCCCAATACGTATGTGCGTGTGTGTTTTCATTTATCTTTGGAGAAGACTTGATATATAATATTGTCCATAGTCCCTTTTGTAGCCTGGAGATACCAGAGCCAAAGTGGGTTATGACCAGAAGGGTCAAGTGTCCCCTCATCTGAATCTACCTGCCAGTAAAATTATTGGCATGATTCCGGATGTAGTGCTGAGCTCTGGAGGACATCACAGATTTCTTCTCTTATTTTTCTGGAAGCAGATACCAACTATTAGCTGCCGAGATCAGCTCGGTCGGAGAGACCCTAACCCAGCAGCACTAGAGGAATTAAAGACACACACACAGAAATATAGAGGTGTGAAGTGGGAAATCAGGGGTCTCACAGCCTTCAGAGCTGACAGCCCCAAACCGAGATTTACCCACATATTTATTAACAGCAAACCAGTCATTAGCATTGTTTCTATAGATATTAAATTAACTAAAAGTATCCCTTATGGGAAACGAAGGGATGGGCAGAATTAAAGGAATAGCCTGGACTAGTTAACTGCAGCAGGAACATGCCCTTAAGACATAAATCGCTCATGCTATTGTTTGTGGCTTAAGAATGCCTTTAAGTGGTTTTCAGCCCGGGGCAGGCCGGGTGTTCCTTGCCCTCATTCCCGTAAACCCACCACCTTCCAGCTTGGGCGTTAGGGCCATTATGAACATGTTACAGTGCTGCAGAGATTTTGTTTATGGCCAGTTTTGGGGGGGGACTTGCTCCCAATAATCAGCTTCAAATTATTGCTGGTAATTTACCAACAATTTTAGCAGGTCCGCCTAAGAAATGTTTTAAAGATGGAGACAGAGGCTAAATATAGTGGCTCATGCCTGCAATCACATTGCTTTGGGAGACCGAGGCAGGAGGATCACTTGAGACTGGAGTATGAGACTAGCCTGAGCAACGTAGTGAGATCCTATCTCTATAAAAAAAAATTAGTCAAGTGTGGTGCCATGCACCTGTAGTCCCAGCTCCTTGGGAGTCTGAGGCAGGAGAATAGCTTAAGCCCAGGAATTCAAGGTTGTAGTGCTATGATTATGCCACTTCCCACTAGCCTGGGTGACAGAGTGAGACTCTATCTCAACAAAGAAAAGAAAAGAAAATAGAAAGAAAAGAAAAGAAAAAAGAAAGAAAAGAAAAGAAAAGAAAGAAAAGAAAAGAATGTATTTCCTGGAGTATCTAAAATCAGCAGATCAGCACTGTTGGTTTAACAAATACCAAATTTAAGCCAGTATGGCTAAAAAAGACCCTTGAACATTTAAGGATCCAAATTATCCATGTAGAAACATACATTATCTCATTCAATAATCATTACATATCATGTCCTAGAGCAACTATGAAAAAAATGTTTAACTCCTTGACAATATATCAGTGAATAAAAATTCAAAGGTGGAACCCAAAGCAAAACTGTTGTGCAGCATGAAATATTACACAATTGCATATACAACTGCACTGAGTAATCCAAAATTTGAGACTCCTCCTCTAATTGGCAAATGCAGCTTTACAATGCTTTAGAATGGATGATAATGAGGTATGAGGTGGAACTAGACTCTGGAGGCAGGGTTTGGACATGGGACCAAATCAAAGAGTAACTAAAACAGGGATGGGGCAGAAGCAGCTTTCCATAAGATACACCCACCAGTGTGCCATGCCAGTTTACCATTGCCATGGCAACACCCAGGAGTTACCACTCTTTCCATGGTAATGACCTGATGACCCAGGTCATTACCCAGTAGTGACTTCCGCATTTCTGCATAAACACCCCTTAATCTACATGTAAAACACCTCTAGACATTTCTTCATAAACCACCCCTTAATCTACATGCAATTAAAAGTAAGTATAAATCTGACAGCGAACTGCCCTGAGCTGCTACTCTCAGTTCACTGCCGATGGGGCAGGCCCGCTCTGCAGGAGCAGTGACAGAGCTGTAACACTGCTGCTTCAATAAGGCTGTTTTCTTCCACTCTACCACCAGCTCACCCTTGAATTCTTTCCTGGGTGAAGCCAAGAACCCTCACAGGCTAAGTCACACTTGGGGCTCACCAGTCCTACATCAATAATAGTAATTCATTTAATTTGTCCAAACATATATATTAAAGCATTGTTTCACACACTGGAAATACAGCTATAAACATAAACAGCAGAAATGTTTCTGTCCTCATGGAACTTATATTCCAGTGAGGAAATAGCAGTTATAAATAAAATGAGCCAATAAAGAGTAGGTTAGATGGTGACCAGAGTTATGGAGAAACAGAAAGCAAAGAAGGATAAAAAAATTCAGAGGCAAAGCACAGTGGGGAGGGGGTTCTGTTATTTTCATTTTATGTAGGGTTGTCAGGCGAGGCCTCCCTGATTACATGATTCATGAGCAGAAAGTTGAAGGAACTGAGTAATAAAGCCAATTTATCCGTAGGGAGAGAATTCCTGGCAGAGGAAATAGCATGATCAAATATCCTGAGGTGAGAATATGCTTGCAATGTTCAAAAAACAGCAAGGAGACTATTTTGGCCAGAAGAGAATGAAAGGAAGGAAAGTTGAAAGAGGGCGGGGGGCAGTGGCTCACACCTGTAATCCCAGCACTTTGGGAGGCCAAGGCAGGTGGATCACCTGAGGTCGGGAGTTCGAGACCAGCCTGACCAACATGGAGAAACCCCATCTCTACTAAAAATACAAAATTAGCTGGGCATGGTGACACATGCCTGTAATCCCAGCTACTGGGGAGACTGAGGCAGGAGAATTCCTTGAAACCAGGAGGTGGAGGTTGTAGCGACCCGAGATTGTGCCATTGCACTCCAACCTGGGCAACAAGAACAAAACTCCATCTCAAAAAAAAAAAAAAAAAAAAGAAAGAGGTGAAATAAGTGAGGCTGCAGATGACCCGGCTCACATAGGCCCGTATAGGCTATTGTATAAATTTGCCATTTAATCTGATTAAGGTGAGAGGACACCACAGACGTTAGTGTAGAAGAGGGACAGGGTCTCACCTGTGTTTTTAAAGGATCATCTCTCCGCACTGTTTCGAGAACAGACTATAGGGAGGCTTGGGTATGGGAAAGAACAGAAGCAGGGAGAATGCTAAGGAAGCCCTTGCACCACCCAATGAAAGATGATGACTTGAGGCAGAGAGCTAGGAGGAAACAGAAAGAATTAGCTAGATTTTGTATGTGTTTTGATGGCAAGGATCTGCTGCAGATTGCATATGAGTTGTGATTTTGAAAAAAGGAGTCAAAGATGGCTTTGTCTTAGGGATGGAGTTGCCATTAGCTAGCTAGTAGGATCTTTGCAGAAGGGGAAATTAGAAACCTTGGTTTGAAACATGTCAAGTGTGAGGTGCCTATTAAATATCAAAATGTAGCCATTAGGTAGGCAGGAGTGAAGGAGGTATTTAAACTTGGAGGAAGAGTTCACAGCCACAGATGTAGCACTGCCCATCAGCAAAAGGATGGTATTTAAACCTCTGAGATCAGAAGAGTCTTTAAAGAAATCGGTGTAGGCAGAGAAGACACCATGCAAGGAAGCAAAGAAGAATCCATCAAATTGAGAAAGAAGCCCCAAAGTATATATTATCACATCACTAACTCTGCATTCACAGTCTTTTTGTTTTAAGACTATTTTTCATTATTTTCAGTGTGTCCTGTCACTATATAGATTGTCCTCTTGTGTAGATGCAACCGATGCCAATGACTCCTGTCTGATTCATTCATTCAATACAGATTCTCGAGAATCTAAAATGTGCGATGTTTTTTACTTCTCCACCAAAACACAAAGTGCATTTTCTCTAGGACTTTTGGACAGAGATGAGACAACAGACAAGGGCTCATTCTTGTCATAGCTGAGTCCCTTAATGGCTCAATCTTTGCACTAGGTGTAACGGTTAGTTCATAGGTGAAAAATGGCCACACTTCAGAAATTGAAGCACAAAGGCCCAAATAAAAAAGCAAAGCATAGATGGGTTAATAAAGACTGATCTGGAAAGCTAAGATGCCTCCTCCTCATTCCTTCAGTAATGTGCTATGGCAGGCTGATTTTCTTTAGACTCTGGAAACATTAATTCAATAAATTACTTCTATTCATTAATTTAATTATAAATTCATGACTGTAATTTTAAAGCCATCTTTTTTTCCACCCTCTGCTCCAGTGACATCTGAGTGCTATTGATCGTAAATGTCAAATTAATTTTCTAGGCATATTTTCCTTGTGTTGGGATCAATACATAACTTGAAGAGCTCCTTTGATAGGGCATTGAAAGTTATTCCTCACTCCTGTGACATTTTGGCTGATTTTCCCACCCTCCCTTCCGAATTTCAGTTAGACATCAGCAGCTTTCACTTCCTGGGTGTTTACAAGAAAATATAGTCATGCTTTGTAAACCTGAACTTCCAGACTAAGAAAAAGAGATGTGAGATCTTGAATCATATGCATATGAACTTAACTTTGAACAAATCCAATATAAGAAAATCCAAATTTACAAAAGCTCGTTACATTGCTGAAATTGTTAATAATTTATTGATTTTTTTACAAACACATTCTTAGTTTTAAAAAACAATTTTATATAAGATCCCTTCATTCATTTAAAAATGCTTTATTTATAGCTTTTTAAGAATTCAGATTTTGCATATAGAAAAGTCTTTTCAATGAGTTCTAGAGTTTAAGAGATTTAGAAAAATCAATTTGCTTAAAACATTACTTTCACATTCTAGTCATTTATTCATTTACTGAATCAATCATTTATTGATTCAGTAAACATGATTAAGAATCTACTATATACTAGACTTGTAGTCAATCGGGCATGGGAGTTGGGTCTACAGACCAAAGCCCTCCCACCACCAGTGTTGTGAAAACAGAAAGAGATTCTGGAAAACAGTATTGCCTAGGATGGTTCTTCGCATTGTTGAAGGTTATCTAATGTAAGCCCCTCATCAACTTCCTCAATAAAATCCCCAGGAAAGCCTGCATTTCTTACTCTGATCTTTGAGTTAAATTCTTTGGGGAAAACCCAAGAGTCACCAAGTTCTTTTTTCAAGGTTGGCATGGGCTAGAAACAGAGGCAGCATCAGCATGCGCATATGCAGAGGTTGGAATAGCGGAGATGACTCACACTAGGTTGCCCTTCATAAACACTTCTCATGTTAGAATGTAAGTGACTGCAGGCGTGGAGCTATATTTCCAACTACATTCGGTTCCTTTATGGTGAGTTGTGCTATTTTATTTGTCACTCTGGGTGCCTAGCAGTGTGCCTGGTCCTCATTCTTAACTTATAGGTAATTAATGAATGCTCACTGACAGGATGATTGGTTGCTGAATATTTCTCTGTTTCCCACCTGAGAAGTAGCAGGGCATATTCCCAGAGTGACAGCCAGTGCTGACCCGAGACAGAACTGTGAAGCAGGATGCAAAACAACATAAGCAGTGCATGGAGGCACTGAGGCCAAGAGTAGGCAGACCCGATTCCCTCCATGGTGAGGCTGAGTGGCACCGTAGATGCTTCCTCACATTGCGACTTAGGCCAAGAGACGCAGGCTAAACCCAGAGGCTGATGCAACTAACATGATGGTGGCAACTGAGGATACCAATACCAATAGCTGGTATTTCTCTCTTTTTTTTTTTTTGAGACAGAGTCTTGCTCTGTTGCCCAGGCTAGAGTGCAATAGTGCCATCTTGCCTCACTGCAACCTCTACCTCCTTGGTTCAAGCAATTCTCCTGCCTCAGCCTCCTGAGTAGCTGGGATTACAGGCACGTACCACCACACCCAGCTAATTTTTGTATTTTTAGTAGAGACAGGGTTTCACCATATTGACCAGCCTGGTCTCCAACTCCTTCCTGACTTCAAGTAATCCGCCCACCTCAGCCTCCCAAAGTGCTAGGATTACAGGTGTGAGCCACCATGCCTGGAAACAGCTGGTATTTCTCAAAGGGGAAAAACAAGGAAGACAATGCCTTTATTGCCACATGGCTCCCCATCTTTTCCTATTCACCATCATCTTCTCCGTCATCTCGTGCTATAGTATTTTGAATTTGCATCTCCTAATGAGTCAGTGAACATGGGGGAGATATTTCAGCCCATGCTTGTCAAAAATCAATGTGAAGGAAATATAACTAGGTTCTAAAACCAGCCTGTCTTATGTTCTCATTAAAAAACAAAGAGAGAAAAATAATATTTAGAATGCCTTTCATGAAAATGGAACATTTCCATTTTCAAAGACTTTGCATCATTGTAACTTGAATTCTCACAGCGATCTGTCAAGCTGTAAAGAGGCAGAATAATGTCATGAAAGGAATATGGAATTGGATTCAAAAGAGATGGAAGGTATGTCCTAGCTAACCGTACACCAGCTGCAGGATCTTCAGTGCCTTTAAACCTCATTTTTATCATCTCTAAAATGGGGATTAAAGTGATCTTTTCTTTGTAGGTAAAAAGTAAGAAACTTCCGAGATCTATAAAAATGATGACTATATAATCATTAAAAATATTTATGGAGCACCTACTGTGTGTTAAGCACTATTCTTGGCCCCGAGACAGATGAGTAAATAATAAAAGCTTTGTGTGTACATGTCTGTATTTATTTGTAGATAAATAAGCAACATGTAGGGTATAGAGTATGTCTGATATATAAATCTTATGGAAGAAAACAAAGCAAGGAATTCAGAGGGAGAGTGCTGAAGGGCAGGGTGACTGCAATTCTAAATAGGGTGAATAGACCCTCAAAGAAAGGATGTTTGGGAGAAGAGCCTGCCAGAGAAAGGGAACAGCGAAAGTGAAATCCCCGTGAGACGGTGAGGATATCTGAAACATAGCAAGGAGGCCCGTGTGTGGAAAAGAGGAAGTGACAGAGGGCACAGCAGGAGCCACACGGTGGGGCCCTGACCCTGTTTGGCTTTATGGGCAAGGATAAGACCTTCTGTTTTCACTTTGAGGTGGGCAGACATTGGAGAAGAAGAGTTGCACGATGGGACATATCAATCAAATCATTTTTCTCCATTTTGCTGCTTCAAGAATTGAGTCTCAGGGAAGTTGAGAAATTTTCAAAGATTGCATGTTGAATCTGTGATTGAAACCAAAACTCCCAACCTAGTTTTCTGGAGGAAATGAACAAGGTAAAACCACTGGTGTATGTGTGTGTGAATTCATTCCAGGCAGGAAGCTGGTATAACAACGTTCTTGCCACCAAGACCCTTCAGAATGGCTGTGCCAGCATAATATGGGAGCCCATCTGTAAGAATGTCACGTGACCATGAAGATAGCAGCCAAAAGTGTTGGTTCTGCCCTCACGGAGTCTAATCACACTGCCGCATACCTCCCAAATGGGCAATCTAGCCACTAACAGCATCTTACTCTCCTTCTCAATTCTGTATTATGGAAAGGGCAAGCTATTTCTTGGTACTTAAGGCCTAGTATTTCAAATACGAGGTAACTATAGTTTCTAACACCCTGCAAGGAAGGCATTTCTAAAGCGGCTATCAAAAATACATATTCATTTAGTTTTTGAGAATGTAAAAGCAATACCTGACTTCTACCTGGGGGAATATCATTTTTCCAGCAGCAATTTGTTCATAAAAGAACAATATTTGTGCCAAGAACTCAAATGAAACAAACGTCCTTCTTGATGGGAAGTGTCCACACTAATTCGGAGCTGTAAAATAAGAATTTCAAATTCACCTTTCTGTGATTTGGCATTTGCAACTTCGACATAATTTAATCATGTTGAGCCACAATGAAAGGACTCCGTGGATAGCGCTCCATGGTGAAATACCAGGCTGATGTTCTGAAATTTGCACTGTACCTTTCAAAGGTGCTTATCTCTGGAGTGTGCTGTAAGGCATCCTATCATCGTTCTTTCTTTGAAATGTCACTCTTGTTCTGTCAAAGGCTCCTGTCTGCGTGTCTGATGAGCTTTGCAAGTGCCTGACAGGAAATTGTCAGAAAAAAGCTATAAAGGGAGACACCTTTTGTCTCTAAGTGGAGAAGACAGTGATTTTTGGACAGCACAGATTGGCTGAACAAATGCTAGGCAAGTTCACCAGCTCTTTTGAAAGGCATAAAGATATTAGAGGGGTGAGCAATTTCTGAGTCCCACCACTCCCCTGCAATTCTCTGAACACCGCCTCCATCATGTGACTCCAGATAAGCTCTCTAGAGCTTCCTGTGACTTGGACAGCCTGATGTTTCCTCCAGAGTGCAAGTCTTTTCACTACGATACACTTTTGTTTTATCTGGGTACTTATTATTTTTCTCTGGGGAAGATTCTCTTTTTGAAATAACGCAACTTAAAAGGTGTTTTCATCTGTCCATCATTCAGGGACATGTATAAAATTGCCATCCAGGAGATGATGCCATTTCTGGGTCTTATCAAATAATTGTGACTGGCATCTTTACAGAACACAGAGTGAAAGAGAGTGAGATTTCCTGCTTCCATATGTTCATGGGCCTACCAGTTTATTAGAGACATACTTTTGAGCTTTAGAAAGACAGTTAGTGAAGACTCTACAGAACAAATGACCAAATGTCAGACAGCAGAGAATTGCTTGACATATCCATATCAACCTGAATATACGAACATGGTTAGTTTGGAGAGGCCATTGTGGGAAAATGAAACAGGAAGATACACAAAAGAACTACAATCCATGTGGGAGGAGGGTGACCAAACAAAAAGAGTCATGGGAGAGCTGTTTCCTCACCCCTACCTTGTTGGACAATGAAGAAGGTTAGGGGTTAACACCAGAAGATGTTTATGTTTAAATTACTGTTTTCTAAAGTTACACATGTGTATCCTATGTTTTAAGTTCTGACCTTACAAATCATTTTTATTATCTTTTTAAAATGACAAACTAAAAAATCTTGTTCTGGTATGGTTAAGAAGAAATTGGAAATACTTGGGTCAAAACTGACATAGCAATCAAAATTCCAGCACCCAGAAGACATAGTTCAGGAAAATATCACCTCATAGACCCCTGCTAGAGCACAGACAGCCTGTCGGAGCGGGCTAATGTCACACACAGCCGCTGAGCCACTACAGATCAGCCTCACCCAGGCCTGTGTGACCAAGTTAATTCAGCCTTTGAGTGCATGCAGGACATTCCTCACTGACTGGGTGCCAACTCTCTGTTTCCTTAGGTAATTCTGCCACATCTTCCTGGCCTCTAAAGGCTGAGGTGGTCAGGAATGTAGTCTTCAGATCTCTTCTCTATCTATACCACTAAACAGGAGATTTGAGTCACCTTGTCAGTGAGATCAGATCACAGGGTGGTTTTCTGATCAACCCATTTAAATCAATCCTCCCCAAAGTCCCTATCCCCTTACTCTGTGTATTATACTTCATAGCACTTTTTACAATCTGACATATTACTGATTAACCTGCTCGTTCATTGTTTATTCCTCACTGCCCATTAGAATGTAAGTTTCACCAGGACAGAGATACTTTTTGTTCATGGCTCTGTCTCCCACTCTGGAAATACTTAATGGATAGTCAATAAACATCTGTTGAATTAATGAACAAACGATTAGATGAATAAATGAATAGATGCTTGAAAATTGCAAAATTATTATTATTATTATTAGAGATGAGATCTTACTATATTGCCCAGGCTGGATTCAACCTCCTGGGTTCAAGCGATCCTCCTGCTTCAGCTTCCCCAGTAGCTGGGACTAGAGATGCACACCATCAGGCCTAGTTTTACAAAATTATTACCTTGGGAAATGTACTCTAATTCAAAATCTTTACAGTCTCAACCATCATCCTCCTGTTGAAATACTTCTTAAGAAGTAGTGTGTTATCAGTATATCTTCTGTCTCATCTGGACGTGGAAGGACAATCACGGTAAGAAATTTCTCTTGGTTTAATATATTGATTTATTTTCTCTTAAGTAGAAAAATTCTTCCCCAAATTCACATCTCTTTTAGGAATTCCTATATCCATATTCTATATCAATTACCAAGTTATGACTTTCAAATGAGCAGAATCTGGAGGTCAAAAATTTTACTAGGGTGGAAGCTAGGGCAAGAAAAACAAGCTTCGTTTCCTGGAATTACTGACATTTCTTCTGGCAGAGGGTCATCTGACTAACCCGAAGGGCAAAGTGCAAAGCTGAGCTGAAGTTGCTAGCTTGCTAGGGCTGGCATTTCTCATTACTGCCTTATATTAGCTTAGCTACTTACCTTAGCTACTACCACTTTAGTTTTACGTATTTTAATTAGTTCTCTCTTTTCTGTTTCATTTACTTGTTTACTTATTTTTTTTTACTATAGCCCAAAAGTGGGTCAGGTAGAGGGAAAAAAAAATGAAAAGATAACAAATAGATCATTTCAATCCAAATTAACCCTGTCCCGTATTAGTGTACGGAACCAGTCATGGAGGCATGGGATGGCTTAGTGCAACCACGTCACCTTAACTGATATCAAGTTCTCTAGATTTTATCAATTTGCCTAGTTTAGTCAAGAGGAACTTTTGTTATATTTGCTTTTATGGATGTATTATTCATTTTAATAAAGTTTAATGTTAAACATGAAGTTTTTTTGGTTATTTTAAAAATTAAAAATGCAGTATATTCTTACTATAATGAAGAAAAAGAATCCAAAAATGTAAAAAGAGAAAATAAATGATCTCTCTCCACCCTTTGCATTTCTAGTATAACTCCTGACCCAATGGCCCACTTGTTATATGTCTTTATTTTTCTAAACTATATACTCTAAAAAGGAAATTAATATGGTCTGCACAGTGTTCTCCTTTCCTGAATGTGGGAAAATGTGATTCTTCACTGTATATCAGAATACTGATCCCATTCATTTATTTAACAAATAGTATTAAGCAGTTGCAATGTGTTCAAAACTATGATTAGAAGTTGAAGATACAAGTAGGATTTTCCGAATAAGGGAAGTTTGTCTTTATCTGTGTGGGGTAGTAGCATCACTGTGGTGAAAACAGAGGAGATAAAGAGACGTCTTGCAAGAACTGAAATTCCATCTTGATTGTAGAACACAAGATAGAAGAAAAACCCTTACCTAGGATCCTAGGATTAAAAGTAATGTCTGAATTTCTCCACATCAGCAAGACTATTTGAATTCAAGACCTGTGGTGTGATTTTCCTGATAGTCAAAAGTAACTCCTGGCCTCAACCTTCACCCAACTCCTTTGAGGTATCTCAAAAATCCTCAGGAATAATATGCAACTGTGGCATTTTCAATTAAGTATAAATTACACTGTCACTGATATCGAGGAATAGAACTCATATCAAAATCTAACCACTAAACAAGTATTTCTCTCTTGCATAGCACTGAAGAAGATGGATCATTTTCTTAGAATCCTCCACCATCACATAACGGGAGAAAGAGGGGCAGGGAATTTTCTCTATGTGTATTGCTGATGCTTCAATACATAAGTAGAACACAACAGTTGAGTCAATTTACATCTATACTTTTTCTTTCTACCTGTCCAAGAAAAGTGATTGTTTCTAGAAACTGATATCAGCTCTGACATACACAAAATAAGAGCTTGTTTGTCCTATCACGTGTGAGTCCAAGTTTAATCCCCAGGGTTAGTGTGGAAATCTAAGTCAAATATTTCAAGGGACCTTCAGATTGGGAATGGAGTCAGAAAGGAATACAACACAAACATATTAAAGAGAGGCAATTAAATGCAAACAAACACTATTGCAGTTTCCTCCTAAGACAATATAATTAGATTGCCAAGTAGATTGCTTTTGGATTACTTGGATTAAGCGTTGCATTCTTGAAAGGTAAGTGACTTCCTGGCATTTGATTTCCTTGGAAACCACAAGTTTCTGCAGTTATATGCTATGCAGATTTTCTCACATGCTTTGGGCATTTTTCTACTGAGCTTTTGTTTCTAAGATTGGATATCACAGCAGTCGAAAATGGGACATTGAAAGAAGATCAAGGATTAAAGTCAAAAGAGTTCTGGCTAATTTGAAAACCCTGGACAAGCAGTAGAATTATTGCAACCTCGAAATACACACACTGAGCCCTATAATTGAGCAGTGTGAACAATCATTCCTGCTCATAAAGTGGTTTGAAGTAGTAGTAACCTGTACAGCTATACCAAACAGTCCCTGCAATAGTTAACACAAGACCTTTCTTTTGTTCTAATTTTTGGCCCATGAGACCTTGAGAAATAACCTTTATTTACCATGTTGTTAGCTTCACACTGAGTTAAAAGTCACCTCCCAGGAGGAACAGTCCTGAGATTTCACCTGTATCTTATTAATAAAGTTTCCCATTTACAGAGATAAATTCAGGTACCTAAATAAGAAACCATGCTGCATAAACAATAAGGGATGAAGGAAGGCCAAGAAATTAAAAGTGACAGAGATCTATTAAACAAACAAACAAGCAAAAAACCCCACCAAAATTTGTGACCATTGACTGACTTCTTGGCTGAACAGGCAGCACTGACTGCCCAATTACAGCATGTAGTCGATGGAGTTACAGATAACCTGCCAAATACATGGACTTACAGCTATACCCTGGGTGCAGACATCTTGACTTAATTGCTTTGATTTAAATGAGAAGTATTCTTTTATAATTCTGAGTCTTCCTGGACTGATTTTTGTAGCTGGCATACCTTGAGAGAGAAAGCAGTCTCTCTTCTTAACAGGCTGGTCCTTAACAAAATTATGACATGAGGAAGTTGAAATTGCATTCTACTATCAATTCTCTCATAAATTGGCCACAAGTCACAGGCACCCATAGCTTTCTTTGTAAGAGGCAAGGTAAGTCTGGCGAACGAAAACAAAGCCTTGAGATTTGAACAGACTGGCTCACGATCCTGAACCTCCAATACCAGCTTCCTCCTCTGCATTCTGTTTCGACAGGACCATGTTCACTAAGTGAACTTGACTAATTGGTTCAGTGGACTCTAATCAATTTTAACGTGAATGTAGAAAACCTAATGGTATATTGGCTGTTTTATTAGATGCTTTCTGGAAGTTTGCCTTAATCTCAGTATGGTATTTTCTGAAGTGTACTAAAACAACTGGATTAATGGGGGATATATTTGGAAGAAGAGGGCTTTGTTTTGTCACCTACTTCTGGTCATCAGAATAGGAAGCTGTGAGCTGTCTGAGGAAGGTTCAGGATTGCACCTGTCAAAATAACTTAATGTAGGGCCTTATACCAGGGATGAGCAACATTTTTCCGTAAAGGGGCAGATAGTAAATATTTTAGGCTTTGCGGGCCATGTGGTCACTCTTGCAACTACTCAACTCTGCCGTTGTAATGGGAAAGCAGCCATAGACAATATATAAGAAATAGGACTGGTTTGTTCCAATAAAAGGTTTGGTTTTGTTTTGCTTTATTTTGTTTTTTGTTTGTTTGTTTTTACAGAAATAGTGGTCCAGATTTGGCTCAGAGGCTATAGTTTGCCCACCCCTGCTTTATACAACTGGAAGAAAGATGTCAATTACCTACCTGCCCCGAGTGAGTGAGTCCACATCCAGAAATATGGGAGAAAATGGCAAAATCGTTCTTCTTAACAGAAGAGACGTGTGTGTGTGTACACACACACACATAAATACATACACATTTATATGCATATATACATACATTATATATGCATAACACTTACTATATGAAACTGATAAATCTTTATTTACAAGACTCATTAAATCAGAGTCATTTCATCTATAGTGGACTTGTGCTGTGTCAATTTAGCTAAGCACGAGATTTAGAAAAAGGCAGACTTGAAGCAACAACCAACTTTTTATTACACTCTCAAGGTTGATGCAGGGCACTGGGTGCTTTTGCAGCTCATGCTTACTGCTGCTTAATCTTATTGGTGTGAAGCAGCAGCTGGGCCCTCAACTCCTCTAGCTCCTGCCAGACCTGCTCCTCAAATTGTTCCAAATCCTGGCCAGGTTCATGTGCAGCTCATGGTAGAAGGACAGCAGTCTCTTCTGTAGCAGGTCACTCACAATAAAGAAGTTGGGACCTGGAGGTGGTGAGAGGCAGATGCAGATTCCAGCACAGCTTCTGAGTGCTTCCCCTACTTGCCATCCATCACTTTCCTGACTCCCAGCCCTGCTGACTTCAGGTCCTGCATAGATGCAGAAGTAATTGCCTTACATGGACTGTTTATATAATGAGTGCCCTATTCTACATAAGCCATCATAATTTTACTTTTCTGATGAAAACCTAATGGACATATCATGCCAACCTAAATAATTTTCCATTCAAAGAAAGGAGATCCAATAATTAATAATTGTAAGTACTAGGTTTTAAAATATTATCATAATAGTGATGCTAATTTCTCTTTTGAAAGTCACACTATTCCCTTCAACCCTGAGATTATGTAAATGCTGTGGATTCTATAATGATAGTGATGTGTTTGTTCACAGGGCATGGATGCTGATTTATTTTCTCCTCCTCTAGGATCAATGATACACATTAGAGAGGTGGCTGGTAGGGGACCAGTGTGGCAGCCTCTTGTCCCCAGACTAAGCAAAACCATCTGGCCCTCGGAGGAATTGAACCCATATTATCAACCTCAATTAGCACCATGTTTTACTCAATTGAAGAAATAAAAGTTGCAATTAATTCAACTGTCCTCGTCTTAGTCATTATCAATTGCAATATTCTATCCTTATTTAGCTTCTAAAACCCAAAAGTTCATGCTCCCGGACAAAGTACATGGGAAAGTATGATATGCCAGCATTGTCACTATTACAACTTGAATGACTGCAGGAGATTGTATTTTTAAACTGCCTCATCATAGCCCTATCCTCAAATGTATGCCAGGACTTCCAGAGAAGCAAAGTCACATGGCTGTTTATTCAATGAGAATTCATGTTTATCATCTCTCATCCCAATCCTACTTCCCCTACACTATTCTCCTGCTTGGCTCCTTGGAAAAGGAAACTGTCCTCCCTTCAGTTACATTTTTGTCATGTTCAATGAGTTAATTTTGTTGGCTCAGTTATATATTTTAGTATAAATTAAATTCAAGTTTCCTTTATTTGAGTCTTTGGGCCAGTTGCATTGCTTTATACTTTCTGGTGTTCTCAATTTCAACTTTGCTAGCATTTAGAAGGCAAAGGCACTGTCTAGCAGAAGTAATAATCCTTTTAACTACCTAATTGCTTCTGTTGGTTACCGCCGTTTGTCTTCTAGACTCAAGGCATTGACTCTAGATGACTTCCAACAAGCAGCCAACACATCTGCCTCTTGATAGATCAGCTCATTTATGTTTGTTTCTACTGTCTTATAGACAATCTCAGATAAAAACTGGATCTTAATGGACAAAGGTAACAGTAGAAAGATTGTTTGCTTTTTCTAAAGTTTCTTTTTCCATTTTAGCTCATGTAATGCTATGTGTCTCTATTAGAACCAGCAATTCTTTTAGTTGGAACTTTGGTAAGATTCATTTACAGGTGTCTAGAAAGTGTGTGGCATAATGTGGTTTACGTGTCAATGGCTGAGATGTTAGAAATAAAGTTTGTAGAGGGTCGGGTGTGGTGGCTCACACCTGTAATCCCAGCACTTTGAGAGGCCAAGGAGGATGGATCACCTGAGGTCAGGAGTTTGAAACCAGCCTGGCCAAAACGGCGAAACCCTGTCTCTACTAAAAATACAAAAATTAGCTTGGAGTGGTGGCAGGCACCTGTAATCCCAGCTACTCGGGAGGCTGAAGCAGGAGAATAACTTGAACCTGGGAGGTGGAAGTTGCAGTGAGCCAAGATCGTGCCATTGCACCACAGCCTGGGAGACAGAGCGAGACTCAGTCTAAAAAAAATGGGTTTTTCATAGTGTGGTTGTCTGATAATGGCCCTCAAAAATATCAGTTCCTAATTCCTGGAACCTGTGTTACCACATTTGTTTTAAAGGATCTTCGAAGATGTAGTTAAGGATTTGAAATTGGGAGATTGTCTTGGATTACCTGTGTGGACCTTAAATGTAATTACAAGTGTCCTTATAAGAGAAAGATGGAGGAAGATAATACCCAAAGGAGAAGGTGCTATGAATGAAGATGGAAGCAGAGATCAGAGTAGTGAGACTACAAGCCAAGAAATGTTGGCAGCCACTGGAAGCTTGAGGATGCATGGAATAGAGTCTCCTCTAGGGCCTCTGGCAGGAATGCAGCCCTGCCAATACCCTGATTTTGGCCGAGTAATACAGATTCTATAATTTTCTATTATTTCTATTATTTTGACTCTACACAGCAGAATGCAGCTCCTCCCTATCCAGGACAGCAAAATCACAACAGAAAAAAAACGGCCAGGTCCATCTGAACACTGCTTGCTCTCTTTAAAAAGCTGAGGCAGCATACAGTCATCCTTCTTGTTTTCACATCTTGAATCACGGCAATCACATGTTTGATGTTAATTCCTTCACCAGATACTGAAGGATGAGGCTCCTAAAACTTCCTGGCACCAAGGCCTTTGGCCAATAAGACCCTTCAATACCAGCCATTGTTTTTGGGATGCAGTAGTGATGATGGATTTCTGGTGTAAAGATGACAGAATAAAGAGGTTTTTGCCTTCCTCTTCTCAGAAATAACTCTCAAACAAAAAGGAAAAGGAGAACAGAAATTCCACATTTGCTATAAATTAGTTGATTTCCATATATTATGAAGGATGAGCAAAGACTGGAAAGATCACATGGATATGTGGGAAGAGGTCAAGATACTTGTGGCTGCAGAACAGAAAAAAGGCTGTAGTGCTCTGTATCCCAAACTAGGTAGCCTATGAGAAGACGCAAGCCCAACAATCCTATTTTGGAATAAAATTAGCTCAATATAGAAGCTACTCTCTTTACCTTGGCACTAGAAAAGTGGGGGAGGTGGGATTCACAAACAAGTGGTGTTTTCAGAAAGTGGTATTCAGATAAGCTGCAGTAGAAAAAACAAAATATAAATTTGGAGCAGTAGTACAGTTGCTGCTAGGACGGGACAAGCAAAGTTAAGCATTTTGCCCATAAAATCCTGTCATTAACGACTTCATTTGAAATCAAGGAAAATTGTTACTGTCTCAGAATAGGGGCCAAACCCCTCCATACTTGAAATAGTTAAGCTAGGAAGATGACAACTCATTCAAACATAAAATAGTTGAGAACACAAATCTGACAAATAATTATGCAAAACAAATCTAAGCCATGCAGTGCAATAGTTTAAAGGAAAAAAAGGAAATAAATAAGCATAAAATAAAATATGATGACAATGTGGAAACTAAAATAGTTTTTAATAAGAGTCCAAAGTCAGAGAAAAATAAATGTCAATAACAGATACTTGTGTTGCCACAGAGCTGAAAAAAAGCATTACAACTCATAGCCATCAAGTCAAAAAAGTTATGAGATACAGCTGACTCTTGAACAACACAGGTTTGAACTGTGCAAGTCTAGTAACTTGAGAATTTTCTTCTGCTTCTGCTGCCTCTGAAACTGCAAGACCAACCCCTCCTCTTTCTCCTCCTCCTCAACCTACTCAACGTGAAGATGATGAGGATAAAGACTTTTGTAATGATTCACTTCCACTTAATAAAAAGTAAATATATTTTCTTAATAACATTTTCTTTTTTCTAGCTTACTTTATCATAATATAATATATAATACATATACAAAATATGTGTTGATCAACTATGTTATCAGTAAGGCTTCTGTTCAACAGTAGACTATTAGTAGTTAAGTTTTGGGGGAGTCAAAAGTCATATTCATATTTTTGACCATGTGGGGAGTCAGCACTCCTAACCCCTGCATTGTTCAACCATCAACTATATTAACATTTTAAAACTAACTGCCGAAAGCAGAAATACCAGTGTTGAGAGAAATTTTATGAAAAAGACATTTAAAGGAGAAAAATGAGTTGGTTTAGCTTAGAAAAAAAAAAAAAAAACAGAAGAAAATATAAAACTGTTATGGGAATGAGCTTCCCTTTGGAAACTGGAGAAGAGATACTTGTAGAAATGCAACAAAATACTTGGTGAACAAAACCGAACAAATCAAAATGGGCAGAATTTAAAAGGACTAGAGAAAATAAACTTGGAAGATGAAGTCTATTCAGTATGAGCAATATTAGTGTCCCTCAAAATACAAGTGTATAATGGACCAGAAAAAAGATTCAGTTATAATTTAAGAAAATGTTTCAGTCATAACCACAACAACAATTTATTGAGCACCTCCTATATACCAGGTAGCTCTATACACAGGGATACAACAGTGTAGAAGACAAAAGAAGCCCCATCACCACTGAGCCTGCAGTCAAAAAAAAGACTGGATGATGGGCATATTATGTTAAAACAACAACAACAGGATTATCACCATCAAAACATTTGCAAAGAAAGTTACTGACTTCAAAACTAAATAAAAAACACTGTATTTTGAGGGCCAGGCATGGTGGTGCACTCCTGTAATCCCAGCACTTTGGGAGGCTGAGGTGGGAGGATTGTTTGAGCTCAGGAGTTCAAGACCAGCTTGGGAAACATAGTGAGACCCCATCTCTATAAAAATAAAAAATTAGCCCGGCAAGGTGGTTTGTACCTCTGTGTGGCCCCAGCTACTTGCGAGGCTGAGGTAGGAAGATCTCTTGAGCCCAGGAGGTCGAGGCTGCAGTCAGCCATGATAGTGTCACTGCTCTCCAGCCTGGGTGACAGAGTGTGACCCTGTCTCACACACACAAAAAGAACACTGTGTTTTGAGTATGCAGGCAAAAAGATTTTTACCTAAAAGAAGAAACAAAATCACCCAGGCCTAAACACAAAAATATAAAATGAAACAATGCCTGCTAACTCCTCAAAGAAATAAAATGTGAATTGAGAACATTATGCTCAATCACACAAAAAAAAACTTTAATAAGCAAGAATTAGGGATGTAGCTGAAACAGCAATGGGAATAGTGGCCAAAGAACAGAATGTAAAAGTGATATACAATAAATGCATACAAATAAAATAACTAATAAAACTTGGAAAGGAAAGTGGTGACAAATGGAAGGAATTATAAATATGGCAAGCAAAATACGTAAGTTAAAATTGATAAATCAAGTAACAGATGTAAAATTGTATTTAAAGACAAAAATGTAATTGTTAGAAAAAAACTAAGAAAAATCAATTATGTGGTAGAGGGAAGAAAGGAGGGAGTGGTAGAGATGGAAATATATTAATTCGGTATTTGTTTATAATAGGCATACTAATACTTTATAAAGAAATAGCTGAATATTCTAGATGTTTACACTAAAATCATGTAAAAATCACAAAACTAGCTTTCCAAGTTAACCTAGGAAGTGTGTGCACGTGCACGCATGCACACACACACACATACACAATTAAGAAAGCCAATTTGAACCATACAAAGAAATATGTATGGTACATAAAAAGAAAAAAGCTAAGTGAAAATGCATAAAATAAAATATAATAACACAACAAAATCCAACTATGTATTCTAGCACTGTACACAAATTAAGTAAGATCACCTAATTAAAAGTTAAAAGCTCTGAGATCTGGTCTCTGATCACAAAGCAATACCTAACTATATGTTGCATACAACAGATATACCTAAAACAAAATAACTTAGAAAATCTAAAAAAGGTAAAAGAGCTAGCAATGGCATGCCAAAAAATGCAATAAAAGTAAAGCAAATTATAGATTATTTCTATTAGAAAAGTGAATCCAGGAATAAAAGCATTAAATAAAACAAATAAAGGTACTTAATAAATGGAAGAGTCAACACTGAACATAAACAGTGATAACTACTAACAAAAAAAAACATAGAAAAAGAGCTCATAAAGAATAAAAATTATATTAAATATTTTTGTAAAATAAGTAGGTGGAAACATGCTAGTCACAGGAGATTTTAGTTCACAGTATAACTTTAAAACAGAAATAAACCTCCTTTTCAATCACATAATATGACTATATATGAGACCTCAAAGAAAACCACAATAAAGCCTTCTGTTTAGAAATACCACAAATAATATTTTTTGACAACAGCATTCTAAAACTAGAAATTAATATTTAAACTGGAAGATGAAATGACCCTTCCAACTGGAAAATGTAATAATCATGCTTAAATAAACTTTTGAGTTAAATTGGAAATCATGAGGGAAATTTCAGAATGCCTAGAAATAATGATACTGAAAATTCCGCATGGCAAAACCTTTTACAGAGTTTTCCAGAAAAGAATTATGTAGAAGAGGAAGAAGGATTCAAAGGACAGAAGGGGAGGGAACACTTCTTAACTCACTTTTATGAGTCTAGTATTACTGTGATATCAAAAAATCAAAAATAAACAGCACACAAAAAGAAAACTATACACAAATATTTTTCATGAACCTACACAAAATTAATAATAACAAAATTAATTAATATTAACAAAATATTAGCAAACCAAACCCAACAATGTATAAAAACAACTAGGCTGGGCACAGTGGCTCACACGCGAAATCTCAGCACTTTGGGAGACTGAGATGGGCAGATCATGAGGTCAGGAGTTCGAGACCAGCCTGGCCAACATGGCAAAACCCCGCCTCTACTCAAAATACAAAAATTAGCCAGGCATGATGGTGGGCGCCTGTAATCCCAGCTACTTGGTAGGCTGAGGCAGGAGAATCACTTGAACCCAGGAGGCGGAGGCAGCAGTGAGCTGGGATCGTGCCACTGCACTCCAGCCTGGGCAGCAAGAGCAAGACTCCATCTCAATAAATAAATAAATAAATAAATATTAAACAAAATAACAACAACTAAACACCATCATGAAGTGGGATGTATTCCAGATAAGACCAGTTAAGCATCAGAAAATCAATCAATGTAATCCACTAAAGAAGACATCCACAAAAGATGAAACATCATATGATCTTATCAACTGACACAGTAAAAGCATTTGAAAAAAAAAAGTCAACACTTACTCTTGATAAAAACCATTAACAAGTTAGGAATAGAGAGGAACTACCTCAACTTGAGCATCTACAAAAACCTTACAGCTAACATTATGCTTAATGTGAAACACTGACAGCTTTCATCAGGAGCAAAGCAAGATGTCTGCTGTTACTGCTGTCTTTCAACACAATACTGGGAGTTTTACTTGCAGCAAATTGGTCAAGAAAAAAATAAATGACATGAAGATTGGAAAGAAAGAAATAAAACAGTCCCTATTGCCAGGTGACAGTATTAACTATATAGAAAGCCTCAAAGATTCTACAAAAATCTCCTAGAAATAATAACTGAGTTCAGGTAGATCACAGTACACAAAATCAATATATAAAAATCAATCATGTGTCTATACACTAACAATTCACGTGTGGAGACCAAAATTAAAATCATAATTTCATTTATAATCATGCCAAAAGAAATGAAATCACTCATGTATATACCAAGAAAAATAGGTACAAGATCTGTATGCTGGAAGTTATGAAATACTGATGAAAGAAATCAAAGGTGACCTAAAAAAAAGTGGAGACACATACCATTTTCACAACTTAGAAGATTCGACAGAGGAAATTCTCCCAAAGTGATCTACAGGTTTAATACAATTTATATCAAAGTCCCAGCAAGCTTTTTTGTAGACATAGACCATATTATTCTTAAGTTTTTATGGAAACGCACAGGCCCTAGAACAGCTAAATAATCTTGACAAAGGAGAATAAAGTGGGAGGAACCACTCTACCCTATATTAAGGTCATCTAGACAGCATGGTGTTGGTGGAAGAATAGATCAATGTAACAGAACAGAGAACTTGGGAATACACCCACATACATATGCTCAAGTGATTTTTGACAAAGGTGCAAAAGCACTTCAATGAATAGTCTTAACAAAATGGTTCTGGAGCAAATTGGACTACCACAGGTAAAAAATGGAACTTTGCCCTGAACCTGACACCTCACACAAAAATTAACCCACAATGGATCATGGACCTAAATGTAAAATGTAAAACCAAAAAAAAAAAAAAAAAAAAAAAAAAATTTTGGAAGAAAACAGTGAGAGAAAGAAAATCTTCAGGATCCAGGGATAGGCAGAGTTCTTATATTGACAACAAAAACACAGTCCATTAAAGGGAAAAAATGATTAACTGGATCTCATCAACATTAAACTTCTGCCTTGTGAAAGCCCATGTGAAGAGAATCAGATGACTAGGATTAAATATTTGTAAGCCACATGCCTGACAAAGGACCATTATAGAACAAATAATCCAATCAGGAAATGGGCAAATGACATGAAGAGACATCTCATTAAAGAGGAAATGCCAATGACAAGCATATGGAAAGATGTTCAGTGTGATTAACCAATTAAATAAATGTAAGTTAAAATAATATTAAATGCAAATATAAATGTAAACTAATGAACATGAAAACGACAATGAGATATCACTGCATCCCTATCAATCAGAATGACTAAAATAAAAAAAAAAACATGCTAAATGCTGGTGAAGTGCAGAGAAATGGATCACTCATACATTGCTAGAGGGAATGTAAAATGGCATAGCCACTCTGGAAAACAATTTGGCAGTTTCTTAAAATATTAAACATGCAACCTACTATATTACTCAACAATTCCATACCTAGACATTTCTTCCAAATGAATGAAACTTTTATTCACACAAAAACCCAGCAGCCAGCCAAATCAAGAGGGCCCCTACCATGCAATTGGCCTGAACTGGAAAACCTCTTTGTACTGGTGGACAAATAATTCATTGGACACTTTTTTCTTTTTTTTTTTTTTTGAGACAGAGTCTCGCTCTGTTGCCCAGGCTGGAGTGCAGTGGTGCGACCTCACCTCGCTGCAACCTTCATCTCCCGGGTTCAAGTGATTCTCCTGCCTCAGCCTCCTGAGTAGCTGGGATTATAGGCATGCGCCACCATACCCAGCTAAGAGATGGGGTTTCACCAAGTTGGCCAGACTGGTCTCGAACTCCTAACCTCAAGTGATCTGCCCGCCTTGGCAGATCCCAAAAGTGCTGGGATTACAGGTATGAGCCACCGTGCCTGGCCACTGGATACCTTTTTTTAAGCAAACAAATGGAAACAACCTAAATGTCCATATATATCTATGGAGAGAAGCTAAAAATAGATTACTACTGTACATTGACTTAAATAATTGAACTAAAATAGTTTTGCATATCCCAAGTTATAATTCAAAATATATAATCCAGAAAAAAGATTAAAAGCCATTTATATATCATGCTACGTATGTGTTAAATCATACAACCTATACAAATCATATATTTGTGCGTATATTACACGGATACACTACGAATATACATATACTTTTGTATATACAGTCTCTGACTTATGATGGTTCAACTTGTGATGATCTTTTGACTTTATAATGGTGCAAAAATGATATACACATTCAGTAGAAATCATACTTCAAATTTCAAATGTTGATCTGTTCTGGGCTAGCGATACTCTCTCACGGCACTGCACAGCAGCAGCGAGCCGCAACTCTGAGTCAGCCAAGCCATCACAAGGGTAAACAACTGGTATTCGACAGTTTTCAGTGTTGCCAAATGATTTTCCCCAACCGTAGGTTAACGAAAGTGTTCTGAGCATGTTTAGGGTAGGCAAGGCTACACTATGATGTTCAGTAGGTCAGGTGTATTAAATGTATTTCAACCCCAAATCTTTTCAATTTACATGATGGGTTTGCCAGATGTAAGTGCATCATAAGTCAAGGGGCATTTGTAAATATACTGTATGAATACATGTTTAAAAAAATAATTCTGGATGAAATGTATACAACATTTTAAATAAATTTCCCTATTTGTTTTTAACAACAGCTTGAGTTGGATTTTATTTTACTTCTACTTCAAGCATTCTAATGATATGCTCCCTAAGGCTGAATACCTTAAGATAATTGAGGAGACATATTACTCTCTATTTCTCCACATCAGAGATACTACACATACTTTTTCCTAGTACAACAGCACAGTCTAAGGAACTTGTTCCTAGTACAATAGCACAGTCTAAGCACATAGACTTACATTAACTCATCCCATGAAATAGACTCCAGTGCTTGGTTTTGACCAAACACATCTAATCCAGTTCCTCTCCTAACTATAACTACCAGGTGTTTCAGATATTTTAATATCTCTTTCTGGAGCTTAGGAAACTAGAAAGGACTCTCTATGAATTATACGAGATTTTTACAAACTGTAGTTTCGCATCTTCACACCATGATATGGCCAACATACAATCAGAATTTTGAAGTGGGAGAAATGTTGTCTAATTATCATCTCCTATTTTACAACAGAGAAGTAAAATGACTTTCCCAGATCACAAACTGAGAGGAAGGTCTAAAATCCAGTCTCTTAAATTCAAGTTTAATGCATTTTTTATTATATCCTATGGCCAAATAGCTAATAAAAATGTGCTAAAGTGCCTTTGAAAGATTCATATGAATTCCAAGTCCATGAAATGTCGACACCCTGCCCACTACAGTTCATGTTGCCTTGCAAGTGGTACTACAATATGCATGAAGAATATCCACTTTGATCTGTAAAAACAAAAGCTGGGGGTTGCACAAGCCAACAACAAGCATCCATATAGACATTGTTTAATGGACGAGAACAAATAGCTCCCGTTCTGATTAAAGAGCTTTTTGCAATGGCTGCAGAGTGTGCTCATAAATGTAATTTACTCTCTGGTTGTCAAGGCCTCCTGACTAATTGTTTCCTGGTCCCTTGATTGTCTTAAATAACCATTGTTGACTGGCTTAAAATATCAGGTGGCTGAATGGAACAGTAATATAGAATGCATATTTTCCAGAACAGTTTTGTAAATCTGGAGGATACATCATTTCCATCAAAAAGGTAAAACAGCACAGACATGTGTCAAGCTCACAAATAAATTCTTTCTACCAACCATGAGGAAAAAAAACAAAACAGAAATCCCCAAATTTACATCCAAAAACAAAAAGATGTTATATCTCCAGATTCTGTGGCTTCCTCATGAGTAAAACTTCTCGTGATCTTTCTTTGTGTATGGCTTGGCCATGGCATTGACCAAGGTGATGAAATGACTGGGTTGGAATCCTAGCTCCTCCACTGTAACCCTGGACGAGTTTTCTAACCTCATCTGTACAATGGAATTAATAATAATTTCTACCTCAGCTAACTACTTTATTTCTAATCCAGCATTCACCTGGTCTGTTAGCAACCAACAGGTGCTCAATAAATGCATATTAGCCATAAATCATGCACTCTGCTCTACTGGGGATCACACAGAGATAAGTAAAACATAGTCTCATAATAGAATGGAGGAAAAAAAAGACAAAGTGAGGATATAGAGCACATTGTTTTTTGCACTTTGCAAAATCCAGTTTGGTTCAAATAAATTGTAGAGAAATGCTGAGAGATAATATTGTAAAAGCTAGTCTGGGACTGAATCAAATTACAATGGTGAGGAACTCTGATGTAATTCTGTGAGCAATAAGCAACAATTAAATGTTTTGAGCAATGTAGTCATGAGAGTGCAACTTGGCTCTAAGAATATTAATTTAATCATGGTGTATGAACATATGAATTGGAAGGGAAAGACTGGTAGTCACAGGGACATTGCAAGGACTATTACTGTACTCATCTCCTGAAGGGAGCCAGCAAAGTGCCTGCCCTCACGGAGCTTTCTTTTTTCTTTTTCTTTTTCTTTTTTTTGTTTTTGAGACAGAGTCTCACTCTGTCACCCGGACTGGAGTGCGGTGGCGCAATCTTGGCTCACTGTAATCTCTGCCTCCCAGGTTCAAGCGATTCTCCTGCCTCCCGAGTTCAAGTGATTCTACTGCCTCAGCCTCCCAAGTAGCTGGGATTATAGGCGCCCGCCACCGCATCCGACTGGTTTTTGTATTTTTAGTAGAGACAGAGTTTCACCATGTTGGTCAGGCTGGTCTCAAACTCCTGACCTAAGGTGATCTACCCGCCTCAGCCTCCCAAAGTGCTAGGATTACAGGCGTGAGCCAGCGTTCCCAGCCCGGAGCTTTCTTTTCAGAGGAAGAGATGTATGAAATATAAAAACACAAATATTAGTATGGTCAGGTCATGTTAAGTTTTATGAAGAATAACAGTGCAGGGTTAGAGAATAGAGTAAGGTGAGGATTTATTTTATCTATAATGGCCTCTAAATATAAATACACTGAAAAGATTAATTTTGAGCAAAAACTATATCAAGTAAAAAGTCTTTGGGGCAGAAGAAAGCTTTCATTGCTGGAAGAAGAACAAGGCTGCTGGAATAGCTAGAAAGGAAGGAGAAGCCCAGGAAGAAGCAGGAGATGAATTCTAAGAGGAAAGAGAGGTTCAAGTCCTTCAAAGTCTTTTGGGACGCTGTCAGGAATTCAGATTTTATCCTGAAACATTGATGGGTGTGCTTAGATTTCTTCCACGCTCTAGAATTCTTTGATCTTATTGTTTCTACCTTCAGTTTCCAAACTATTATCTCCTTCCCACTAAAACTCCATCCCTAACCTTTCATGAAAGGAGACCTCAGTTCCATCGAGGCATCCTGAGGGATTTTATCACTAAACAAGTGTAGTCAGTTGTTACTTTTGGCATTAGTTTCTGTTTTGTTATTTGTCTTTGGCTTAGTCTTATTTTAAATGTGTCAGCCTGTCTTCTGCTGCTCCATGAGGAAATCACCAATGAATTTTGAACTTGTTTGAGCTCACTATGGCATTAGTAGCCACTGGGAGGAAACCAAGAAGGAAAAGGGTAATAGAAGGGAAAAAAGTGAGTCAAAACTTTGAGATTTGGGTGCCCCCATATAGAAATTCTTTGCCCACTTCCAGCCTTTAAAAGTCAGGGTATGATTTTTTACACAAAGCCTTA
This sequence comes from Homo sapiens, assembly GCF_000001405.40. Lineage (NCBI taxonomy): Eukaryota > Metazoa > Chordata > Mammalia > Primates > Hominidae > Homo > Homo sapiens. Next base: position 36,648,085 of record NC_000008.11, read on the forward strand.
GTCTTCCTTCTAAGGAGAGTAAAAGTTACTTTAGCCATTCATTGTTCTGCCCAGCTACAGTTCTTCACAGAGCAGTGCCTGAATACTCTTCTGATTTCTGCATGAGCTACTAAATCATCTCTCTGCTTAAGGGTATTTTTGTTGTATTATATTTATTATATCATATCATATATTACATTAGTTTATCCTAATGAAATTTTTTCCCTTTCCTAAACAGTTAGGAACTGGTTGCCATGCAAGAAATATCTGTGGAGGTAGTTTTTTGGGTGAATAGAAGAGGAAATCAAAGGAACTGTTCTATCAAAGACAATGTCTCCAGCCTCAGAGGTGCCACATTTGTCTTTCCAATGGCCCTCAGTAAAGGCTGCCATCAGCCAAGTCTGCACAATGACTTTGACTTTCAAATATAAACCTGACCCTGCAGGCTCACCACCACTACCGCTATCACATTATCAATTCAGATGAACAGGACATATGCATAGAAAGAAGACAATATAGCATAGCAAAGCCACTTGCAAATGTAGTGGAATAGACCATACATGTGAAAGAGACCATAATGGTGGGAAGAATCACGAACGCACACATAGAGGGCTTTAGAGAGCAGAGGAATCTTGGGATTTGAAGAAGAGAAGAATGAAAATAGGTGCTGATAGGTGGGAGTGGGCTGAATGCTAACAGGTATTATACACAAACTGGTTTTAGGAAACTAAATTTGGCATTGAAACAGCATAAATTGGAGGGAGGATACTTAATAAAAGAAACTCAGGAGTGTCTCAAAAAAGGAAATGGCAAGAGTCTGGGTGATGATACTTAGATGGGAAGGTAAAGATACATCCAGCACTAGGAAGTTATTTTTTAATTTTTTTATTAGATTTAGGACTTGCTTTAATTAAACAATCACAGACATAAACTGTTAAAGTTCTAATGGACTCTAGAATTTGTCCTATCCATTCAATTTATTTTTCAGACAAGAAAAATGGAATTCATATTAAGAATTATTAACTTTTTGGTTGGGCGTGGTGGCTCACACCTGTAATCCCTGCACTTTGGGAGGCCGAGGCGGGTGGATCACGAGGTTAGGAGATCGAGACCATCCTGGCTAACGTGGTGAAACCCTGTCTCTACTAAAAAAAAAATACAAAAATTTAGCCAGGCATGGTGGCGGGCACCTGCAGTCCCAGCTACTTGGGAGGCTGAGGCAGGAGAATGGTGTGAACCCAGGAGGCAGAGGCTGCGGTGAGCCCACATGCGCCACTACACTCCAGCCTGGGTGAAAGAGTGAGACTCTGTCTCAAAAAAAAAAAAAAAAAAAAAAAAAAAAAAGAATTATTAACTTTTTCATACTTTAGTTAAAAATTACTTTAACTAAAAGTATAATTTTAGTTAAAAATTACTTTAAAAGTATACTTATACCTATCTCTCTTATTTAAAAAAATCCTGGTGAAATGAAATAACTCTCTAGAAAAACATAACATAAATGGGCTGAAGATGAAAAAAGGAAGTCTCAATAAAACAATAAACTAAGAAGAAATGGTAAACGATACCCAATAGTTATTTCAGAAAAGGTGCCAATTCAAAACGGTTTTATGCGTTAATTATTTCAAACTTAAAAAAAAATCAGGCCGGGCGTGGTGGCTCACGCCTCTAATCCCAGCACTTTGGGAGGCTGAGGCGGGCAGATCACCTGAGGTCAGGAGTTCAAGACCAGCCTGACCAACATGGAGAAACCCCATCTCTACTAAAAATACAAAATTAGCCAGGTATGGTGGCACATGCCTGTAATCCCAGGTACTTGAGAGGCTGAGGCATGAGAATCGCTTGAACCCAGGAGGCAGAGGTTGCGGTGAGCCAAGATCATGCCATTGCACTCCAGCCTGGGCAACAAGAGTGAAACTCCATCTCAAAAAAACAAAAACAAAAAAATCATTTCTTTATTATATTAACTGTTTTAGAACATAGACAAAGAGAAGTTCCAAATCATTTAATAAATTCCTCAAAACCCAATGCCAAAATCTGACAAATTATGAATTTTAAAAATTATAGTCTAATCCTACGTATTTATACCAAGCCTTTTATTCTTAACAAACATTAAGAATTCAAGCCCAGAAGTTTACTGTAAAAATACATTAAAACCAAGTAAAATTTACTCCACTGATGTAAAAATGGTTCAACTCTACTAACTCAAAATGTTATTAGCTCAATTTCGTAAAAACATAACACCATACAATAAATTCCTAAATTATATTTGCCAAATCAATGCTATTTTATATAGTTTTCAAAGTATATATATATTTATATATATATATTTCAAACTATATAAAACATTAAATTAGAAAAATCCCACGCAAAAAGGAATAGGAGTAAAAGTTGATTTTTTTTAACATGATGAGTATCATTTATCTCAAGCAGGACCATATACTACACTTTAACAAAAATGCCTCTCATGTTTTATAACCTAGGAATAAGGCAGACACCCTGCTGTCACTACCACTGGCAGGTACACCTGCTATTACTACTATTACTTTGCATTGTTCTGGAAGTTTCAGGCAATGTAATAGTGATTAAAATAAAGTTTAGGTATTAGAAATAAGATCCAACCTTTTTATTATTATAATAGTATTTTCTAATGCCTGCATGAAAAACCAAGGTAATCAACTAAGATATTAGAAATATTCAGAATCTAGAAAATCATGAATCCAGTAAATATACAAAAAATCCTCTTTACCTCTAAAAACTAATCAGAAAATATAGGGAAATGACTGTAGTCATAAATGTTTACATAAATGGACACATAAAATGACAATACATAAGCCAGGTGTGATGGCTCATGCCTGTAATCCCGGTATTTTGGGAGGCCGAGGTGGGTGGATCATGTGAGCACAGGAGTTTAAGACCAGCCTGGCCAACATGGGGAAACACCATCTCTACTAAAAATACAAAAATTAGCCAGGCAGGGTGGCAGATGCCTGTAATCCCAGCTACTCAGGAGGGTAAGGCAGGGGAATTACTTGAACCCAGGAGCAGAGGTTGCAGTGAACTGAGATCACGCCACTGCACTCCAGCCAGGGTGACAGAGCAAGACTCCCTCTCAAAAAAATAAATTAAAAAAATAAATAAATAAATTGATAATAAATCTAGCAATAATTGTAACAATTGCACTCATTTATTGAACAGTTATGACATCGGGCATTATGCTAAATGCTTTTACATATATTATCTCATTTAACACATAATAGATTCCTATAAAGATAGTTACTATTATTAATCCCAACAAGAAGAGAAAACTTAGACTTCATAAGATTAAGCGACTTGCCTAAGTTTACAAGTGAGTAAATATACAAAGGTATGAAAATAATGTTCAAATTTTATTAAGTGGCCCAAAATAAAGCCTGAATAAATTGAGGAATATAGTATATCCTTGAATAAGAAGATTCAATACCATAAGATATCTGTTTCCCAATATACATGCACAAGTTAAATTCTAAAGTATATTAAGAAGCATTAGGAAGTGATCATAACTAAGCATTTGCAGAGGAAGAAAATGAAGCAGGCTGGGAAGTCTCAATTGTGAATTTTCAGATAAATGAAATAAGCCACCAAAGGCCGTGAAAGTGTACTGGATGACCTGGGAAAATATTTATCACACAAATGTATGTGAAAAAGCAGGATGCAATATTTTGTATGTGGTACTATTTCTAACAGCAGTGCTATTTGCAGCCCTGTGTCCTTCTCATACTTTTCTCCCCTTGTGGCTTCCATAGCTTCTTCAAAGAGACCATGTCTTCTGGCTCACAAAGAATGGCATTTCTCATCCTATTTTTCTGTTTCCTGAAATAAGTAATTTTCATAGATGGGATGTGCCATGGGGTCTTAAGTATGGTTGTGAATTTGTCTGACTCCATATATATTCTCCATAGGTTTAAAGAGTATGTGGCATGCGTGTGCTAGATGCAAACTCAGGATTGAGGCAAGTTCTCTCTAGACTATGTTAGCCAGAAGGCACTGTCTGGGGCCTTTGAAACTATTTCCCCTCTCTCATGGTTGCAGATATTATATGATATTTCCCAGACTTCCTTGTTTGGTGTGATTGTGTGATGAAGTTCTTGCAAATAATATGTGAGCAGAAGTAATCTGGTGTCCGAAGCCTGACCCATCAAAGCTCTTTCCCTCTCCGCTAGCTTGACATAGACACACTTGCTGGCTTTAGAAGTCCCTTTTTCAAGATGAAAGAAGGCTGGCTTCTAAAATCACTGCTTAAAAAAGAACTGTACAATGTTGAGGGATACCTGATTTGTACTTGAAGGAAGTGACAAATAACCTTCGATTGTGTTAAATCACTAGGATTTGAACAAGTAATGTTGTCTGGATAGATCTCTGCTCAAAGCCATTTGGGCAGAATTGCAAGATAATTTCAATAGCAATTGGCCAGGTGCAGTGGCTCACACCTGTAATGCCAGCACTCTGGGAGGCCAAGGTAGGAGGATCGCTTGAGCCCAGGAGTTTGAGACCAGCCTGGGCAACATAGTAAGACCCTGTTTCTACAGAAAATGAAATTAAGTAGAAAATTAGCCAGCATGGTGGCACATGCCTGTGGTTCCAGCTACGTGGGAGGCTGAGGTGGAAGAATCGCTTGAGCCTGGGAGGTCAAGGCTGCAGTGAGCCATGATTGCACCACTGCACTCCAGCCTGGGCAAAACAGCAACACCCTGTCTCAAAAAAGAAAACAACAACAAAAACCAGTAATAGACTAAGATAGAGATTATACATCCTCACATCAAAGCAGCAATTTGCCACAGTAGCAGATGGAGAAATTCTCCAGGTAATTGGTCAGATGAGGGGATGAGGGCCAAGAGAGATCCTGCTCAGCATGTCCACAGCAGATTGCTAGAGAATTAATTCCTAGTTCTTAGTGACCACGATACTAATTGTCTGTGGACCATGTGGGTTAGTTTCTACTTTGATTTCTGAAGGAAAGAGAAGCAAGCCTGACTTTCTTTAATGAGTGAAAGGGGACTTGTGATATTTGAACAAAAAGAATATGGTGAAGAGGGATATAAACCGCACAAGCTGTGGTCAAGGGGACACCCAGGCTTCTTGGATGCACTTCCTCTGCCCCTGCCACTAAATTGCCCTTAGGTCTGGATTTTCTGTTTCTGACTGAATGTAGGCCAGGCCTCTTATAGCTAAGCAATGTTTGTGACCTGGTCCAGAATTATACTTGTGTCATAAGGTTTTCTAGGTTTTTCTGATATGAGGTGTTTGTATGTGCTGGGCCCTGTGCTAATTGTCCTGTGTGCATTGCAGTGTATCAATACTCAAAACTATGCTGCAATGTAATCCTACTATTACACCCATCTTACAACTAAGGATGGAATGGGTGAAGTGCATTATCAGTGCCCAGCTTCTAAAGTAGAGAAAATTACAGAATTAGGGAGGAAAATAAGGAAAGAAAACCTAGTGTTCTCTTGGTTGGGTTGGAAAATATCCTAATGAACAAGATATGGGGAGATATGGAAGGAAAGAAAACTGTTAGCATTGATAAAGAAGGCCTTGTCATGTCAGACTAAAGTTTGCTTTATATTGTCACTATTACTGATTTTTAATCTTTAATGTAATTTGCTGACCCATTTTCCTGGATATGAGGAATTTGCTTATATACTGAGACAGGTCCTTTGTGCCATTTAAGTGGACCAAGGGGAAAAATCAACTTTTCTCAACCAATCCAAAAGATTACAGTTGAAGCATAAAGTTCATTTCATAGTATGCTAATAATAGACAGGCATATTAAGCAGAAGAGCTCACAGGTGTATCCTCAGATGTGAGTGGTACTCCCTTTTCAGGTAGAGGCTAGAGAACAAATTAAGGTGTCTGGCTACTAGCTTCTTTCTCATGGTCCCAAGATGTTCTTTTTCATGGGCAAACCAGGATAGAGCTGAGCCTCCGTCTCCTACCTTTGCTCCTCTTCTTTGACCAGTAGAAGAGATGAAATACAGGAGCAGCTACAGTCCCCAGCCTGCACCACGTTCTCCTGTTTCCTTTCTGGCCTACAGTTAAATGGTTGGAATTGTAGCTCCCAAAACTCAGCACTCCACCACCAGCCTCTTCTACTTTCTGTGGTTTTTTTTCTACAAAATACACTGTGATGGCCTTAGAATTTCTGCTGACACAGACCTTGGCTATCTTGTTCAAAAAGTAGAGAAGGAACAAAGTGCTGTCCTAAAGTTCACTAGGAAAGAAGGTTTTCTCTCTTTCATGTGTGTGGAAGCATCTGCCACCCATCAGAAGTCTCTTTTTATCACCATAGGCCTTCTAAACACTGGGAAATGACCTACTGCTACTGTAATTCACTTGGGATGTCTGTATATGTGTTATAATAATATGTTTTTTTCACTCTCCAAATATTTATAAGAGTTTCAGGGGAGTTCAGAATGGCAAAATCACCATCTTAAACTAGAAACATTTTATGTTGAAAGAGGGCTTAAAATATGTGATACTTTTCAACATAAATTATATTAATTATATTAAGATCCTTGTGATATTTCCTATTTGATGTTCTTGCCCCTTGATCTGAAGCTCTTAAATACTCTTTAAATAGGGAAATTGCTCACTATTGTTCAAGGACATGCTTCTCATGGGCCAAAGAATCTGGCCTCCTATTGAAAGCACTGTAAAAAGCTCCAGACACCTGAGTCTTAATGGATAACATCACATTCAATGACGGGAAGCATTCTTCTGAAAGACTCCAGGAGCTCCCTTTCAGGGAAGGAGTGAATCAAGGTTAATTTACATTTCTGAACTTATCCTCTGCATTATTGTATGCTGACATAATTGAGTTTCGAAGAGACAACCAAAATAATATAGTAAAGCACAACTTTAATGCTATTAAAAGCCAGAAATAGCCATGATTAATTACCACCAAAGCTGAAGGGAAGAAGGGAAAACTCAAGCAGTTTAATTAATCATTTGGTTTAGAATGAATACAATCCATCTAAACTTGGTAAGAAAGAATGATCGGCAAACAATAAATGGTGTTTGTTCTTCAGGTAATCAATGCACGCTCTTAACCTAAAGAATATCTGAAGTGTCTTTGAGTCATTTGCTTTTATTATTCTTTATTTTTAAAAAGTAAAGAAAATTGACTCTGTTCCTCTGTTTTGGATAAAATAGATGGCAGTGCAGCCTGAGGGTTTCCAGGAGCCTTTGCAAAGAGATGGCCATCTCATTTCTGCCATGTACACCTACATGATGTACATGTGCTTATATATGATTTTATCTTGATGTTGATAAAAAATCGTACTGAGGCGGGCCACATCTACAGAACATGGGATGAAAGAGAAAATGTGGTGCTTATGCAGTGCATTTGATCAATGGGCATAACCAAACTAAACAGCTCTAATGCCAAACTTCATGTTTCAGTTTGAATAACTTGATCAGTCAGCCAGCACCTGAGATTAAACAAGTGATTCAAAACTCTCTCCTTGATCATGAGATGGTAGAAAGAAACCAAGAGGTCAACTTCAAGTTTATTGGGAAAATGATGACATACATTTGGGGAAGATTTTATTTCTCTAAAGCAAACTGAGCAGAACAATCATAGTTGTGCACAGCTCCAGCTACCCATAGCACAGGCTGCCCCATGAACCACCTTACTGAAGCCTCTTGAACTTGGGGTCAGAGACCTTCCATCTAAAACTGACCTTGTGGCCAGGTTGAGAGGCTTCAGTGGGGCAGCAGCAACTAATGCTTGTGGAAAACTTTGCATTTATCAACAAGGTATTTTCATGTATTATGTCATTTAATTTTTTGAGTTGTCACAGTAACACTCTAAGGTTCTACAGTTAGGAATAAATAGGGCCAGAATTTGAATCCAGGCTTACCTGACTCTAGGGAAGATCACTGAGAGGAAAGAAATATTCATTTTAACGTGGATATTTGGGACATAGTGATCACCAAAGCTTGTTCATCCAAAGTATAAATATAAAAAGAAATATAATTGATATTACTTACAATGAATGATTGGTCATTATATCTCTCATCTGAGGTCCCAAATATGAAAGCCCAGACAAGTAGCTTCATTAATGCAAACACTTTTATTAATGCAACCTCCCTCACTCCCAAGTCTTCCAACTAAAACAGATTCTCAAGCTACTTTTGCTAAGGAAGTAGCTTTGGGGTTTTACATTCCAGAATGAAAATATGCCTGATCACTTTGTTGCAGATTTCATTCATGTCATCAAATATGAATTGAACATGAGTACTTTTAGCATGACAGCAATGTATTAAGCATTACTTTGTGGGAGAAGTCTTTAAGCAGAACACTCAGGATAAGATATATTCTAAGGCAAAATAAAAGTGAATACAGAGTAGAATAACATTTTACTTAGGGGTTGGTTTCTAATGTCAGCTCATAAAACAAAAATAATATACATTGAAAATCAACTATAAAATTTCTCAGGAAAATGGCATGTTGGAAACTATACCATTTCACAGGTCCAATACATCAACATTGGATGACATAGCCCCGTTTTTATTTGGGCACAGATAAAGGGGTCAGTTTATGCTTGGGAATATGTTATCTAAGATGTGTGCACCTCTAGACACTGAATGCCATGTTGACAAACTCCATGTGGACACTCATTTCTTGTCCCTAGCCACAAGGCAAATGTTTATTGGATGAGTTCTTTTAGCTCTACTATTTAAATTTTCCTTTTTTCCCCTCTCTCCCATTTTCTCCTTTTTTTTTCTCTTGGCTTTCTATCTTCCTCTGCCATGAGTGTTCAATTTAATTCATTAAAGTTGAAAGTACATATGAAGTAAGTTTAGTCTACCTTTTTGATTCCTACCTACACAAGCATGAAACTAGACAGCGCCTGCACTTCAGCTTAGACTTGGTTGATGGTCACATTATGTTGGAAAAGTTCAATGACGATTCTCTCTGGTGCTGCCTACTGCATTTGTTTATTTAGTGAATAACTTCACCATTCTACCATCGAGCCAGAACCATTTAGAAATGGTGATGTTGATGACGATGATGATGATTTTGATAATGATAATGATGATGATGTTGTTAAAGATGATGATTGAAAATTATTAATAATAGGAAGAAGAAGGAGAAGGAGGAAGAGAAGGAGGAACTAATATTGTAATATTTATGGAATCTATACCATGTGCCAAGCACTGTACTAAGTGTTTTTCTTGGATTATATCCTACAAAAACCATATAAAGTTGGTCCTGTTTTTATCACTCCCAATTTAAAAATAGAAAAGCCGATGCGTAGTAATTTGACTGAACTAGTAAGTGATACAGCCAGTATTCAAACCCAGACAGTGTGATGTAAAAGCCTGTGATAATAATGATCACAGTGTGTGTCTGAGTCATCTCCAATCCTGTGCTCTCCACCCCCACCTGCCACTGCCTTCATTTCTATCAATCACCAAGTTAGGAAAATTCTACTTGCTGAAAACTCAGTTCCTTCTGCCACCTCCCTATTAGCACTGCTAGGTTCAGCCTCTCCTCTCCTCTCCCCTGGGCTGTGACAAATGAAATCTGCCAAGCTAGCTTCTTTTCACATAGGCTTTACCTCTTCAAACCACTCTTCCCAGTGCCATCAGAGCAATGTTACTGAAAAACAAATCTTTCCTATTGCTCCCCATCCTAAGCCTGCTCTATGGCTCCCCGTCACTGCAGAGAAATGCTCACATTCTTGAATGGGGCACACAGCAGCTTTGTGACCTTGCTCCAGTCCACCCTTGTAGTCTCACCCTCTGCCCCATCCCCACACCCACTCGTGGCTCAACTATTTCAAATGACTCTCCCTCCTCTGCTTAGATTAGGAGTTTCTGTTTCTTCTGCTTAGATTATCTTCTCAGCATAACCATCTAGCTTCCTTCTTTTTCGTTGAAAAGTCTGAACCCATCTTTGAGGTCTCGCCTTAAACAGTCACCTCGATTGTGATGCTGTCCCTGGCTCTGGTAGGTGAGGCAGACCCTTCCTTCTCCATCCCCTCACAGTACACTATGCCTGCCTTTAGGAGGGCACTTAATCTCTTGCATGGTGACTTTCTGAGTGGAGGTCTGTGAGATCTATAAGAGCAGTGACTGTGTAACATCCATGACTCCCTACAACCCAGTCCCCAACTATATTTTCAGCCTTATCTCACAACACGTAAGTGGTGCACCTGCTATCTTAAACTCAATCATATCCTCCCTATGCCTCATAATTTATTCCCTCTCTGTAATCAATTGCTCAGATCATCCCTTCTGTCTGGACAGACTTATCCAAATCCTCACTTACCAAAATCATTTTTATTAGGTTGATGCAAAAGTCATTGCGGTTCTTGCCTTTGAAAGTAATGGCAAAAAACACAATGATTTTTGCACCAACCTAATAGCAGCCCAAATGTCACCACCTTCTCAAAATTTTCCTTGCCCAGAGAAGGTGTCTTTCCTTGGAACTCCTATACTGCTCTCTGGATCCTGGCCTCATCTCCCTGGCACTTCACCATCTTCTGCTGTGTCTCAGGTTTCTCTGTCCATGGCTTGGTTCCCCAACTCTAAAGCAACCCCTTGAGTCTTTTTATCAGAAATCATGTCTTAGGCATCTTTGTTTCACCTTTGCACCCAATGCACTTATCCTTACTTTCCCTCTGCTTCACAGCAGCAAGGTGTGATAAAAGAAGGCATGAATGTTAGTGATGGGCCAAATTGGTCACAGCACTCTCATCCCTCATATTCCCCTTTGGCATCAGAAAGGGCTCACGAAGCAATGGTGAGCTAAGAAATAGTTAATTTTGTAAAATGGACTGAGGGATGTTCTTTGGTTTATGGATCTGGGTCTTGTTTGTATCAAGAGTTATTTCTGTCTGGTTTGAGTGTACTGAACTGAAAGTTGGTAAAGCTCTCGCTGGAGAGTAACAATCATCATAGCCAAAATAGGCTTCCATCTGCCAGGGTGTGTGTCAAGCATTTTGTATGCATTTGATGATTCTTCACAGCAACTCAATAAAGTAATACTATTGTTAATCTTACAAATAAGAGAACTGGGTTGTAGAGAGGTGATGTAATCTTTTTTTTTTTTTTTTTTTTTTTTTTGAGATGGAGTCTCACTCTGTCACCCAGGCTGGATTGCAGTGGTGCAATCTCGGCTCACTGCAACCTCTGCCACCCGGGTTCAAGAGATTCTCCTGCCTCAGCCTCCTGAGTAGCTGGGATTACAGGTACCTGCCACTGCGCCTGGCTAATTTTTGTATTTTTAGTAGAGACAGGGTTTCACCATCTTAGTCAGGCTGCTCTCAAACTCCTGACCTCGTGATCTACCCTCCTCAGCCTCCCAAAGTGCTGGGATTACAGGCATAAGCCACCACACCCAGCTGAAGTGATGTAATTTATCTAAGATCACAGAGTTTACAAGTGGCAGCTCTGAGAGTAAAATCCATGCCTGTCTCATATCCGTGATTCAATGCTCAAACTCTTAACCACAAAGCTCCTTTCTTTAGAAGCTTTCCTAACTCATCATGGCAGAAGAGGAACAGTGATGATGTTCCATCATCTTACTTAAAGCAAAAAAGGGACTTACTTAAAGCAAAATTTTCCGACCTTGCCATTATTGACATTTTGGACTACATAATTCTTTGTTGTGGGGGTCTGTCTTGTGCATTTTAGTATAATTAGTAGTATTCTGGCCTCTGCAAACTACATGCCAGTAGTTTCTGCCTCCCTATTACACCTCCAGTTTTGACAACCAAAACTATCTCCAAACATTGCCAAACCACTGGTTAGGAATCATTTGATTTAAAGGAAAGAAAAGCCTCTTTGATTGGATAGCGTTTCCAATCTCAGTTCAAGTAACATGCTAAATAGAATGATACTACAAGCGTGATATTGCAACCCAGACTATAACAGTGGATCTCAGGTGAGGGGACATAAGAGCAGTTTCCCCCCGGGGTGTTTTCTTTAGCATCTATTATGTCCAAGCAAAGTATATCAGAACTCTGGACAGTGGTTAGGGCAGCTGAGGCAGTCACATAAATCCTCCCTCGTGAGGTAACACGGAAATAGGAGATTTCCCAGGTAGGACATTTAGTTCATGTGAAGCCAATTTCCAACACTTTTATTCTCATAAAATCCAGTTAAGATGGTAATTAAAAGTGTTTTTTCAGAGGAATAGCCAAAAAGGAACACGTTGAAATGAAATATGTGAAAAAGTAGGCAGGGCCATGCCAAATATGCCATGGTAATAGAGCCAGGTCTTTTAATTAATTACTCACATGTGAATTTTAGTTCTTTGAAAATTACTTGTAAGGGAGTTCCCTTCCAGTACCCTACCCCCTCGACACCCCATATAACATCACTACAAGAAATTAACGTTTAGCCTTGGCCTTGGGTAATACCACCACAATACTTAACAAAAGATTGCAGCTATATGCTGGTGAATTGGAATCATTAATATTGGTATAATGACTATACAACCCAACGAAATCTACGGATTAAATGTAATTCATATCAAACTACCAATGACATTGTTCACAGAAATAGAAAAAACAATCCTAAAATTTGTATGGAACCACTGAAGACCCTGAGTAGCCAAAGCAATCCCGGACAAAAAGAATAAAGCTGGAGACATAACATTACTAGACTTCAAAATATTCTACAAGGCCATAGTAACCAAAACAGCATGACACTCATGTAAAAGCAAAGACCTAGACCAATGGAACAGAACAGAGAATGAAATAGAGAAATAAACCCATACACTTACAATCAACTCATTTTTGACAAAGGCACCAAGAAAAGGACATTGGGAAAAGGCATTGGGAAAAGGACAGCCTCTTTAATAAATGGTGTAGGGAAAACTGAATATTCACATGCAGAAGAATGAAACTAGACCCCTATCTCTCACCATATATAAACATCAAATCAAAATGGATTAAAGACTTAAATGTAAGTCCTATGAAGCTACTAGAAGAAAACATTGGGGTAATGCTTCAGTACATCAGTCTGGGCAAATATTTTTTGAGCAAGACATCAAAAGCACAGATGACAAAAGCAAAAATAGACAAATTGAATTACATCTATCTAAAAAGCTTCTGCCCAGCAAAGGAGACAATCAACAAAGTGAGGAGACAACCTGCAGGTAGAAGAAAATATTTGCAAACTATCCATCTGACAAGGAATTAATAATATATAAGTAACATATTATTAATATATATAAGAAATACAAACTACTCAAAAGCAAAAACAAAACAAAACAAAACAAATAATTTGATTTAAAAATGGGCACCAGCTACTTGAGAAGCTAAAGCAGAAGGATCATTTGAACCCAAGAGTTTGAGACCAGCCTGGGCAGCATAGTGAGACCCCCATCTAAAAAAATTGGCAAAGGATTTAAATAGACATTTCACACACAAAAATATATATATATAAAGTAATATATATAATAATATATATAATATATAAAATAATAAATATAATAATATATATATTAGTAGTAGTAGTAGTAGTATTCTGGCCTCTGCAACTACATGCCAGTAGTTCCTGCCTCCCTATTCCACCTCCAGTTTTGACAACCAAACTATCTCCAAACATTGCCAAAACACTGGTTAGGAATCATTTGATTTAAAGGAAAGAAAAGCCTCTTTGATTGGATAGTGTTTCCAATCTCAGTTCAAGTAGCATGCTAAATAGAATGATATCGCAAGCATGATATTGAAACCCAGACTATAACAGTGGATCTCAGGTGAGGGGACATAAAAGCCGGTATATGAACATGGCCAATAGGTGTATGAAAATATGTTCAACATCACTAATAATCAGGGAAATCCAAAACAAAACCACAATGAAATATCATCTCACTCCAGTTAAAATGGCCATTATCAATTAGACAAAAAAAAAAGCACATACTGCAGATGTGGGGAAAGGGGAACACTAGAGCACTATTGGTTGAAAATATAAATTAGCACAGCCACTATGGAAAACAGTATGGAAGGTCCTCATAAAACTAAAAATAGAACCACCATATGATCCAGTAATTCCACTACTGGACATAATTCCAAAGGAAAGGACATCAGTATGCCAAGGAGATACCTGCACCCCCATGTTTTTGGTACCACTATATGCAATAGCCTAATATGGAAGCATATGGAATGCTTCCTAAGATATGGAAGCAACCTAAATGTCCATCAATGAATGAATATATAAAGAGGATGTGGCATATATACCGGATAAAATATGATTTAGCCATAAAAAAGAATGAAATCATGTCATTTACAACAACATGGGTGAAACTTACATTATGTTAAGTATAATATGCCAGACATACAAAGGCAAATATAAGGCAAATATCACATGTTCTCACTCATATACGGAAGCTAAAGAAGTTGATCCTATGGAAGTGAAGAGCAGAATGATAGTTACCAGAGTCTGGGAAGGGTGGGGGCAAGGAAAGGTGAAGAGAGGTTGGTTAATGGGTACAAACATACAGTTAGATAGAAGAAATCATTTCTAGTGTTTGAAAGCACAGTGGGATGACATTAGTTAACAATAATTTATGGTATATTTCAAAATAGCTAGAAGAAAATATCTGTAATATTCCCAACACAAAGAAATGATAAATATTTGAGGTGATGGCTATGCTAATTATCCTAATTTGATTATTACACATTGTATGCAATGTGTAATTGTGTTACAAAAATCACATGTACCTCATAACAACTATACAGCTATTATGTGTCAATAAACACACACACACACAAACAAACAAAGAAAATATTGTTGCTGCTTAGGAGACTATCAAGTAATATTTGTGACTAACAAGGACAAATAATTTTGAACTTTATTTTTTCTAGTCCTTCAATTGCATCTATCTTGTCAAATCTTGATTTGCTCATTGGGTTTTCTCTTGGATGATTTTTGGTAAATTTATATCATTGACATGTTATATACTTGGAAGATTCTTCCCAGATTCCAATTCTATGAAGATCTCTGTTATCTATTTTTACTTAGATATTTTTGGTTAGGTACATGTATTCTGGTAACAATGTCTTTTGAGAAACTGAGTTGCAAATCATCAGAGAAAATGAGCATGGTGTTTAAACTTGGAAAACTTTTTCTTTTAACTTTCATTTTAGTTTTGGGAGTACATGTGAAGGTTTGTTGCATAGGTAAACACATGTCACAGGAATTTGTTGTACATATTATTTCATCATCCAGGTATTAAGCCCAGTACCCAGTAAATATCTTTTCTGCTCCTCTCCCTCCTTCCACCCTCCACCCTCAAGTAGAGCCCAGTGTCTTTTGTTTCCTTCTTTGTTAAACTTTGATAACTTTTTTAAGAGCTTAGAATAATTTTATTGTGTTAGGGTTTCTTGGAATTTTGGATTAACTTTTGGATTAATTTTTATATATATATCTATGACTGCACATTGTATAATACATGTATATATAATTTGATAATACAAATAATTGCTTCTTCAAATAAACTTGTTTCATTAATTTAAAAAACGATAAAAAATATTGTGAATAACTAAAGTTTAAAGAAAAGATTAATGAGCTGAATTTACAAGGACCTTTGCATTTTTAGCAAAGACAAAAGCTGAAAAGTCAAGAACTTTTTAAAAGCTCTAATGGTGGCAAAACAGGCAGCAGGACTGGAATTCTGAGCTGGGAATGAGATGTTCTGACACCCTCTTGTTAGCACCTCGGATTTCACTTCGTGATCTTCGCTCTGGTCTTTAGGCTCACTAGCTGAGACGTTATAAAAATGCCGCCTGTAAGCGGTATTAGTCTGTTCTCATGCTGCTAATAAAGACATACCCGAGACTAGGTAATTTATAAAGGAAAGAGGTCTAATGGACCTACAGTTCCACATGGCTGGGGAAGCCTCACAATTGGTGGAACATGAAAGAAGAACAAAGACACATCTTACATGGTGGCAGGAAAGAGAGCATGTGCAGGGGAACTGCCCTTCACACAATCGTCAGTCCTCCTGAGACTTACTCAATATCACAAGAACAGCACAGGAAAAACCCACCCCCATGACTCAGTTACCTCCCACCAGGTCCCTTCCACAACATGTGGGGGTTATTACAATTCTAGGTGAAATCTGAGTGGGGACACAGACCCAAACCATATCATAAGCTGACCCATTTCAATCAACAAACATGAGGAGACCATGCATAGTATATTTCTATGGCTTAAGGAAGGGAAGCCCTGTTCTATTAGTCACACTCTTGATGAATGCTGTTTTCTAAACTTACTGTTGTAATTAGAACATTTTAAAAATGATATGAGAAAAATCCTAGTTTCTCCTCTTACCAGCTCTTTGACCTGGGACACATCACTCAATTTCTTAGAACCTCGGTTTTCTCATTTATGAGATGAGGAGAACAATACCCATATTGAAAAGCTACTGAGAGGTAATATGATTTATTTTCTCCTCATTTTTCTTCTGGGCTTTTCTGTGCTTGCCAGGAAGAGTATAAACTACTTAAGGACACTGCATATGCTATTATTCCAGTACAAGGTGGTTTCTCTCCCTCTCTGTTTCTTCACACCTGCATTCATTCACCCAGCAGAATGATTTTCTCTGCTGCCAGGCAGTAGTTACAAACAGAAAGAAGTCCTGAATGCCTGGCTCCATTCACTTTGGGCAGCTCTTTCATGCACTCTGTGCTGCACAAATAAATATATGTTATTTTCTATTATTTATGCTGCTGTCATTTCTATAAGATCCCACATAACTTATACTTTGTCAAAACAGGGATACTATTCAGACTTCATCTGCTGGCATGCTCCGGCATCCCTGGGGAAGCAGTGAGGCAGTGCACTGTGCAGTCTACAAGCACTGCAGCTCCCTCACATGCATCCTCCTCCCATTTCCTGCCCTGGCATTCCAAGGTTCCATAGAGTGATGGCCAAAATAGAACAGAGCAGAGAAATCTAGTATGAAATGGAATTTCTTGCCACGATGATATTTTGGAGAGCAGGGTGACATTTAAATGGTGCTTGGCTGAATTTGACCTTCACAAGGATCTCTGTTATCTTAAAAATCTGTTATTTTGGTTCTAGCCCAGGATATTTGTTGACAAGTGGCATTTCTCAGTAATGTCCAGGAGAAGCCCTTGGAGAGAAAAAAAAAAAAAACCCTCAGAATCAGGAGTTGACAGTCAGTATCTTTCTGTCCAAATAACCTGTGAATGAGAGGGTGACTTTAAACCTGAGTTCCCTGGATCCATGGGGGTTTTTAGAAATGCCTGCTAAGGGATACTTTAGAAAATCAAGTAGAGGCCCTGAGTTTGGGGCTTCAGGCCTCCCATACTTATTTAAATCAGAGCAGCTCGAAATTAATCTATTTTTAATATGGTAGAATTATTTATGAGATATTTAAAAAACAGTTGTATTACTAAAAAGACATTTGAGTGCATCTGAAACGATGCCTTTGGGGCCTTGTGTGGAAACATCCAATTCCTCCCTAGGCTGGATGCATTTGTGGTTTTTGAAAATCAGTGACTTCTAAATAGCTATAAAAATGCAAAAGATGGTTAGGGGAAAGAAAAAGAGTGGTCAGAACTGGGAAGGGTCCAGAGCCAGAAAACTTGTAAAAACCAACAACTGCCTTCTATCTATTTCTTCACAACTTCTCAAAAATATTACTATTTTCACTTCCTCACTGCCAATTAACAATTTGACTCACTCTTATCTGACTACCATCCTTATCACCCACTAAAACCAAAGTCTTCCTGTGACTGAAGGAAATGAACAATTCTCAGTCCTTCTCTCACTTGATAGCTCAACAGTATTTCACACTGATGGTCATGCTTTTAAATCAAAATTTTAATTTTTATAGTGGTATTTGTTAACATAAAATTTTAAATTATTCAGAGCTCCCAGGAAAATGAAGTATCTGTGAGTCATGAAAGGCTATTCATTGTAGTACTGCTCCAAATACTATGATGTCTTGGAGGTTTTTTTTTGTAAATAATTCAGGGATTATATTGTTGTTGTTACTTGTTTTATTGCACACAATAAAAGGCATAAACTGAGCACTGCTGCAGATATTTGCTTTAAAATTTCTCTAGGAAGAAGCCACCCAGAGATGATTATCTTTTGATATTATCATCTTATGTTTCTCAAAGAAATTCATAAATATTTTCTGAATAATAACGTAAACATTACAGAACTCTTTATTTGGCAGGTCAACTTACAACCAAGGGAGAATCAGTGGCCCAAATATTTTTGGAAACAATAAGGAAATTTATGTATTTCTCTTTTCTTATTATTATACTTTGAGTTCTAGGGTACATGTGCACAATGCACAGGTTTGTTACATAGGTATGTATATGACATGTTGGTTTGCTGCACCCATTAACTCGTCATTTACATTAGATATTTCTCCTAATGCTATCCCTTCCCCAGCCTCCCACCCTATGACAGGCCCCAGTGTGTGATGTTCCCTGCCCTGTGTCCAAGTGTTCGCATTGATCAACTCCCACCTATGAGTGAGAACATGCAGTGTTTGGTTTTCTGTCCTTGTGATAGTTTGCTTAGAATGATGGTTTCCAGCTTCACTCATGTCCCTGCAAAGGACATGAACTCATCCTTTGTTATGGCTGCATAGTATTCCATGGTGTATATGTGCCACATTTTCTAAATCCAATCTTTCATTGATGGACATTTGGGTTGGTTCTAAGTCTTTGCTATTGTGAATAGTGCTGCAATAAACATACATGTGCATGTGTCTTTATAGTAACATGATTTATATTCCTTTGGGTATATACCCAGGAATGGGATCACTGAGTCAATGGTATTTCTAGTTCTAGATCCTTGAGGAATCGCCACACTGTCTTCCACAATGGTTGAACTAATTTACACTCCTACCAACAGTGTAAAAGTGTTCCTATTTCTCCACATCCTCTCCAGCATCTGTTGTTTCCTGACTTTTCAATGATTGCCATTCTAACTGGCGTGAGATGGTATTTCACTGCGGTTTTGATTTGCATTTCTCTGATGACCAGTGATGACAAGAGTTTTCTCATGTATCTCATTGTGGTTTTGATTTGCATTTCTCTGATGACCAGTGATGACAAGAATTTTTTCATGTGTCTGTTGGCTGCATAAATGTTTTCTTTTGAGAAGTGTCTGTTCATATCCTTTGCCCACTTTTTGATGGCATTGTTTCATTCTTGGAAATTTGTTTAAGTTCTTTGTAGATTCTGGATATTAGCCCTTTGTCAGAAGGGTAGATTGCAAAATTTTTCTCCCATTCTGTAGGTTGCCTGTTCACTCTGATGGTAGTTTCTTCTGCAATGCAGAAGCTCTTTAGTTTAATTAGATCCCATTTGTCTGTTTTTGCTTTTGTTGCCATTGCTCTTGGTGTTTTAGTAATGAAGTCTTTGCCTATGCCTATGTCCTGAATGGAAATGCCTGGGTTTTCTTCTAGGGATTTTAGGGTTTTACATCTAACATTTAAGTCTTTAATCCATCTTGAATTAATTTTTGTATAAGGTGTAAGGAAGGGATCCAGTTTCAGCTTTCTACCTACGGCTAGGCAGTTTTCCCAGCACCATTTAATAAATAAGGAATCCTTTCCCCAGTTCTTGTTTTTGTCAGGTTTGTCAAAGATCAGATGGTTGTAGATGTGTGGTGTTATTTCTGAGGCCTCTGTTCTGTTCCATTGGTCTGTATATCTGTTTTGGTACCAGAACCATGCTGTTTTGGTTACTGTAGGCTTGTAGTATAGTTTGAAGCCAGGTAGTGTGATGCCTCCAGCTTTGTTCTATTTGCTTAGGATTGTCTTGGCTATGCAGACTCTTATTTGGTTCCATATGAACTTTAAAGTAATTGTTTCCAATTCTGTGAAGAAAGTCAGCGGTAGCTTGATGGGGACGGCATTGAATCTATAAATTACCTTGGGTAGTATGGCCATTTTCACAATATTGATTCTTCCTATCCAACAGCATGGAATGTTACATTTGTTTGAGTCCACTTTTATTTCGTTGAGCAGTGGGTTGTAGTTCTCCTTGAAGAGGTCCTTCACATCCCTTGTAAGTTGCATTCCTAGGTATTTTATTCTCTCTGTAGCAATTGTGAATGGGAGTTCACTCATGGTTTGGCTCGCCATTTGTCTGTTATTGGTGTATAGGAGTGCCTGTGATTTTTGCACATTTGTTTTGTATCCTGTGACTTTGCTGAAGTTGCTTATCAGCTTAAGGAGATTTTGGGCTGAGACGATGGGGTTTTCTAAATATACAATCATGTCATCTGTAAACAGGGACAATTTGACTTCCTCTTTTCCTAATTAAATACCCTTTATTTCTTTCTCCTGCCTGATTTCCTTGGCAAGAACTTCCAACACTATGTTGAATAGGAGTGGTAAGAGAGGGCATCCTTGTCTCATGCTGGTTTTCAAAGGGAATGCTTTCAGTTTTTGCCCATTCAGTATGATATTGGCTGTGAGTTTGTCATAAATACCTCTTATTATTTTGAGATATGTTCCATCAATACCTAGTTTATTGAGAGTTTTTAGCATGAAGTGCTTTTGAATTTTATTGAAGGCCTCTTCTGCATCTGTTGAGATAATCATGTGGATTTTGTTTATGTGATGGATTATGTTTATTGATATGCGTATGTTGAACCAGACTTGCATCGCAGGGATGAAGCTGACTTGATCATGGTAGGTTAGCTTTTTGATGTGTGGATTTGGTTTGCCAGTATTTTATTGAGGATATTCGCATCAATGTTCATCAGGGAGATTGGTCTAAAATTTTCCTTTTCTGTTGTGTCTCTGCCAGGCTTTGGTATCAGGATGATGCTGGCCTCATAAGATGAGCTATGGAGGATTCCATCTTTTCTTATTGATTGGAATAGTTTCAGAAGGAATGGTACCAGCTCCTCTTTGTACCTCTGGTAGAATTTGGCTGTGAATCCATCTGGTCCTGGACTTTTTTTGGTTGGTAGGCTATTTATTATTGCCTCAATTTCAGAGCCTGTTATTGGTCTATTCAGAGATTCAACTTCTTCCTTGTTTAGTCTTGGGAGGGTGTATGTGTCCAGGAATTTATCCATTTCTTCTAGATTTTCTAGCTTATTTGCACATAGGTATTTATAGTACTATCTGATGGTGGTTTGTATTTCTGTGGGATTGGTGGTGATATCTCCTTTAACATTTTTTATTGCATCTATTTGATTCTTCTCTCCTTTCTTCTTCAGTAGTTTTGCTAGCGAGCTATCAATTTTGTTATCTTTTCAAGAAACCAGCTCCTGGATTCATCAATTTTTTGAAGGGTTTTTGGTGTCTCTATCTCCTTCAGTTCTTCTCTGATCTTAGTTATTTCTTGCCTTCTGCTAGCTTTTGAATTTGTTTGCTCTTGCTTCTCTAGTTCTTTTAATTGTGATGTTAGGGTGTCAATTTTAGATCTTTCCTTCTTTCTCTTGTGGCATTTAGTGCTATAATTTTCCCTCTACACACTGCCTTAAATATGTCCCAGAGATTCTGGTACATTGTGTCTTTGTTCTCATTGGTTTCAAAGAATATTTTTATTTCTGCCTCATTTCGTTATTTAGCCAGTAGTCATTCAGGAGCAGGTTGTTCAGCTTCCATGTAGTTGTGCAGTTTTGAGTGAGCTTATTAATCCCAAGTTCTAATTTGATAGCACTGTGGTCTGAGAGAAAGTTTGATGTGATTTATGTTCTTTTACATTTGCTAAGGAGTGCTTTACTTCCAATTATGTGGTCAATTTTAGAATAAGTGTGATGTGGTGCTGAGAAGCATGTATATTCTGTTGATTTGGGGTGAAGAGTTCTGTACATGTGTATTAGGTCCACTTGGTGTAGAGTTGAGTTCAAGTCCTGGATATCCTTGTAAATCTTCTATCTCGTCGATCTGTCTAATATTGACAGTGGGGTGTTAAAGTCTCCCATTATTTGTGTGGGAGTCTAAGTCTCTTTGTAGGTCTCTAAGGACTTGCTTTATGAATCTGGGTGCTCCTGTATTGGGTGCATATATATTTAGGATAGTTAGCTCTTCCTGTTAAATTGATTCCTTTACCATTATGTAATGGCCATCTTTGTCTCTTTTGATCTTTGTTGGTTTAAAGTCTGTTTTATCAGAGACTAGCATTGCAACCCCTGCTTCTTTTTGCTTTCCATTTGCTTGGTAGATCTTCCTCCATCCCTTTATTTTGAGCCTATGTGCGTCTCTGCGCATGAGATGGGTCTCCTGAATACAGCACACTGATGAGTCTTGACTCTTCATCCAATTTGCCTGTCTGTGTCTTTTAACTGGGGCATTTAGCCTATTTACATTTAAGGTTAATATTGTTATGTTTGAATCTGATCCTGTCATTATGATGTTAGCTGGTTATTTTGCCTGTTAATTGATGCAGTTTCTTCCTAGCATCGATGTTCTTTACAATTTGGCATGTTTTTTCAGTGGCTGGTACTGGTTGTTCCTTTCCATGTTTAGTGCTTCCTTCAGGAGCTCTTGTAAGGCAGGCCCGGCGGTGACAAAATCTCTCAGCATTTGCTTGTCTGTAAAGTATTTTATTTCTCCTTCACTTATGAAGCTTACTTTGGCTGGATATGAAATTCTGGTTTGAAAATTCTTTTATTTAAAAATGCTGAATATTGGCCCTCACTCTCTTCTGGCTTGTAGGGTTTCTGCCAAGAGATCTGCTGTTAGTCTGATGGGCTTCCCTTTGTGGTAACCCAGCCTTTCTCTCTGGCTGCCCTTAACATTTTTTCCTTCATTTCCACATTGGCAAATATGACAATTAGGTGTCTTGGGGTTGCTCTTCTTGAGGAGTATCTTTGTGGTGCTCTCTATATTTCCTGAATTTGAATGTTGGCCTGCTTTCTAAGTTGAGGAAGTTCTCCTGGATAATATCCTGAAGAGTGTTTTCCGACTTGGTTCCATTCTCCCTGTCACTTTCAGATACACCAATCAAATGTAGATTTCGTCTTTTCACATAGTCCCATATTTCTTGGAGGCTTTGTTCCTTTTTTTTACTCTTTATTCTCTAATCCTGTCTTCTTGCTCTATTTCATTAATTTGATCATCAATCACTGATATCCTTTCTTCCATTTGATCGAATTGGCTATTGAAGCTTATGCACACGTCACAAAGTTCTCATACCATGGTTTTCAGCTCCATCAGGTCATTTAAGGTCTTCTCTCCACTCTTTATTCTAGTTAGCCATTCGTCTAACCTTTCTTAAGGTTTTTAGCTTCCTTGCGATGGGTCAGAACGTGCTCCTTTAGCTCAGAGAAGTTTGTTATTACCAACCTTCTAAAGCCTACTTCTGTCAGCTCGTCAAAGTCATTCTCCATCTAGCTTTGTTTCATTGCTGGTGAGGAGCTGCGACCCTTTTGAGGAGAAGAGGCTCTCTGGTTTTTAGAATTTTCAACTTTTCTGCTCTGGTTTTTCCCCATCTTTGTGGTTTTATCTACCTTTGGTCTTTGATGCTGGTGACCTACAGATGGGGTTTTGGTGTGGATGTCCTTTTTGTTGATGTTGATGCTATTCCTTTCTGTTTGTTAGTTTTCCTTCTAACAGTCAGGTCCCTCAGCTGCCGGTCTGTTGGAGTTTGCTGGAGGCCCACTCTAGACCCTGTTTGCCTGGGTATCACCAGTGGAGGCTGAAGAACAGCGAATATTGCAGAACAGCAAATATTGCTGCCTGATCCTTCCCCTGGAAGCTTTGTCCCTGAGGGGCACCCGCGTGTATGAGGTGTCTGTGGGCCCCTACTGGGAGATGTCTCCCAGCTAGGCTACACGAGGGTCAGGTACCCACCTGAGGAAGCAGTGTGTCCGTTCTCAGAGCCCAAATGCCACGTTGGGAGAACCACTGCTCTCTTCAGAGCTGTCAGACAGGGACATTTAAGTCTGCAGAAGTTTCTGCTGCCTTTTGTTCAGCTATTCCCTGCCCACAGAAGTGGAATCTATAAAGGCAGTAGGGCTTGCTGAGCTGCAGTGGGCTCTGCCCATTTCGAGCTTCTCAGCCGCTTTGTTTACCTACTCAAGCCTCAGCAATGGCGGACGCCCCTCCCTCTGCCAGGCTGCAGCCTTGCAGGTCAATCTCAGACTGCTGTGCTAGCAGTGGGCAAGGGTCCATGGGCGTGGGACTCACTCAGTCAGGCATGGAAGAGAATCTCCTGGTCTGCTAGTTGCTAAGACCATGGGAAAAGCATAGTATTTGGGCAGGAGTGTCCTGTTTTTCCAGGTACAGTCAGTCACAGCTTCCCTTGGCTAGGAAAGGGAAATCCCACGATCCCTTGCACTTCCCGGGTGAGGTGACATCCTGCCCTCCTTCGGCTCACCCTCCATGGGCTGCACCCACTGTCCAACCAATCCCAATGAGATAAATCAGGTACTTCAGTTGGAAATGCACCTGTCTTCTCCATCAATCACACGGGATGCTGCAGACCAGAGGTGTTCCTATTTGGCCATCCTGGAACGGACCCCCACTGATGGCCATTATTTTTAAACCATGCCAATCCATTAGATTCCATGAACTCAGAGGCTTCCGGTTGTGACTTTGTTTCTCATGGGTCTTTTCTGAGCATTCATCTTTCTTTTCCTATCTCATCAGTTTTGTCCTAGGTTCGGTTCTCTTGTCTTTTCACAGTTCTGTCGTTTTTGGTGAACTCATTCACTCTCATGATTTCAATTATATCCAAGTGCTAATGACTAGTAAATGTTTCTTCAAACCTTGAGCTATAGACCCACAAATCCTTTGTGTTTTCCCTTAGACACCTCATTTCAAAATGTCCAGAGCCAATTTCATCATCTTTCCTATAACCTGGTCCTACACTTTTAGTTAGTACAGTCATCACTATCACCATCTGCAACACTGCCCAAGCTAGAAACCTGGGCATGTTCCTTGACTCCAGAATCCTCAACCACTTCCCCAGCCCTCTTTTCCATCCTCATGTCTAATCAATCATAGGAGAGCCATTTTGACTTCTAAATATTTCTCATATCTTTCTGCGTCCCCTATACCCTACTTCCACTTCTTAGTTTAGCCCATCCTCATCTATCATCTGAACAGCAGCCATTACTCCTGACTGGTCCCCCAGTACCCAATTCTACCTCCTCCAGCTTATTCTCCATGCTTTAGGCAAACTGATCTT
This sequence comes from Homo sapiens, assembly GCF_000001405.40. Taxonomy (NCBI): domain Eukaryota; kingdom Metazoa; phylum Chordata; class Mammalia; order Primates; family Hominidae; genus Homo; species Homo sapiens. The sequence goes on from NC_000008.11 coordinate 36,673,206, forward strand.
TCTAAAATACAAGGTTAGTTAGGTCTACATTTTAATAGCCTTTAGTTGTTTCTCTGGTAAATTCAAACTACTTTAACATGACTTGACAAGACAGTGCATAGTGTTACTCCAGCTGCACTCTAAAGTGTCGCCTTTTGGTCTTCTGTCAAAATTGGAGCCCGTGCATTCTCCTTGTACTATAGCTTTTCCACATGTTGTTCTTGCTGTAAGCTGGAATGGTCTTCAGTCTCCTCCCAGTTATTTACCTGAATAACCATGACTTTGTCTTCAAATTGCAATGCATACATTACTTCCTGTGGAAAGCATTTACTAATCCCTCTGGCCTTGGTAAATTTACTACCCATATTGTCCCATTGCTGCTCTTGTTTTCTTTTTATATGAACACTGATCCCATTGCCATTGTCTGGTTACTTTTTCTATCTCCCATCTAGACTCCAAGCTTAAAAAAACATAGACCTGTTATATCTCTAGCATTTAGCAGTGTGCTTAGCGTTCAGTAAAGGATCCCCCAGTGAATGAACAAATGAATGTCCTCTAAAGAACAAAGGAGAAAGTGCCTTAGATTAAGGACTCAAGAGAGTTGGCATTTTAGATGTATATTAAAAAAAAGAAATAAAAACAGACAAACAATGGGGAATTTGCTTCCAGCACTGAACAGATTATTTAACATCACTTAAAGCATGAGTGATGTTATTTAAGACCAAATATGCAGGATTTAAGTATTTCTGGAATTGACCACATAGACGTAAAACCAGGCTACATTTTTTAATGGGATATTTCAGATTGATATGGAATACTACGTTGTCGAAAATGAAAACCTTAAAACTAACAGAGAATCTCAAATATAAACCCTAAATCTTTGGTGGGACAGAATTCAATTAATAAATACCCAACAAATACCTCTTCTAAGTAAGGACTGTGCTGGGTGATTCAGAAATGAGTAAACTCTGTTTCTTGATTTAATAAGTTTACAACACTGAGGAAAAAACCAACAACAATAGCAAAAAATCACTGTACTGAATTGGTAAGTACAACAGCTAGAATGAAGGAAATACTGTAATTGCACAAGAAGGGAGCTACTAACTCTACTTTTCAGGGAGATATTCTAGAAGAGGTGACAATTGAACCAAGTCACAAAGAGCAAATGAGTAGGATGTGATCTGATGGAGAATAAAGGTAGGGGAACTTTAGGGAATTTTGGACAGAGACAGAAGTCCTCACAGGACGAGAATCACTAAGAAAAAACATGGCTTGTCCAGGAAGAGCAAGCAGACCCCAGAAGCAAGATCACAGCAGTCACAGAGGATAGTGGAGGATGATGAGGCCAAAAATGCCAGTAAAACTCAGGCCTTGACCACCATGCTAAGGTGGCTAATGGCAATGAGTAACCACCAAGTATTTTAAGGATATTAGTAGTGTCATCAGATTTAACTTGTAGAAAACCTACCTAACTTATTGGAAAGTGGAGAGAAGGAAAGGCAGTGATGAGTGCTCAGGCAATAACACAGGGATCCCCAGGTAACTTTAAAAATAAATGACTCGGCTGGGCATGGTGGCTCATGCCTGTAATCCCAACACTTTGGGAGGCCAAGACAGGCAGATCACGAGGTCAGGAGATCGAGACCATCCTGGCTAACACAGTGAAACCCAGTCTCTACTAAAAATACAAAAAATTAGCCAGGCGTGGTGGCATGTGCCTGTAGTCCCAGCTACTTGGGAGGCTGAGGCAGGAGAATCGCTTGAACCCAGGAGGCGGAGGTTGCACTGAGCCAAGATCATGCCACTGCACTCCAGACTGGGCAACAGAGTGAGACTCCGTCTCAAAAGTAAAATAAAATAAAGTAAAATAAATGACTTATAGAGATGATGCACTGTCTGTGTGTTTGGTGTGTGGGGGGGTACGCATGTGTGTGTGTGTGAATGCACGTGTGTGTTTGTGAATTTGGGGAGGAAAAATGTGGGGAAAATATGAGGGAGAAGACATAGCGTGTGTTTGAGGGTAGGAGCTGGGTTACAACTTCTACTTCTCTAAATGCTGGATTTTCTCCCAAGTGATGCCTTAGCAATCTTATTCTTCCACAGAGTTTGAAAAGGTCAAATTCCCAAATTCATTTCATAAGGTGAAGGGCAAGTCACAGAAAAGATAATGAAGCATATCATGAGAAATAAAACAAGGTGTTTCCTAATCTGCAGAATGACTTTGTGCTAGCTAAGTAGATCCATCTGCCAGGCTTCACCTTGTCTCTACAGCGTCTTTTCCTAGATGCCAGGGCAGTGTTTTTCCCCAACGTATTTTACATGAAATACTAAAATCCAAGGTAAATTGAGAATGCTAAGATCAATGCATTTGTTAAAATATCAATACAACAAGAACAGCTGGCTTGTACCCTTCCTTGAAAAAAAAAAAAGCTTTCTGAATGTTCCTGGCAGATCTGTCATCTCTTCCTCAAATCAAGTGACAAGTGAGTTATACAATGGGGCTTCAAAAGGTTCAAACCATATTGCACAGCAGATGCTCTAAAACTATTTTTCAGAGAGTCTGTTCAGGCCCCCTCCTGCCCTCTGATTCCCTTTAAGCGATTTATGACCTAGTCTCTTTTTGCATCAGTTACACCATGACCACATTAATTCACAAGATGAATTAACCTCACCTCTATTTCAATATTTCTGAACACCCCCACCACTACAGCCCCCAACATCTCACCACCATATATACACATTATTCTCTTTCACATATTGTCTAATGCAGGATTATTCCAGAAATGTATTAGTGCCAAAATGACCAATGTGATACACACTGAACTTTTACCTAATGCACTGGTTCTGGTCCTTTTTGCTTTTGTTCCACCATAAATCCTCCAGCAGCTTTCATTTTTGAGGATAACGGTCTTTTTTCTCATTTCTATTTCATCTTATTTCCCAATCAATCTCACCTTAAAATTAACCCAGGTTAGCACTTCATATGATGCTCATCATATATGAAATTCTATAGATCGTCCTTGGATCCACATTTTAGAGGTACTCTTCATTATAATGCTACTTTCAATGAATTCTTACCTTTGACATATTGAGACTACAAAATACTTTGCATTTATAGATCTTATTGAATTCATGACTATTACCTACACAGCAGCAAATCATGAAAATTAGAGTTAGAAAAGTCTTATTAGGACTGCGAGTCCATCCCCAGAGGTTATCTAAGAATGTTACTTATAATTCAGCATTTATTAAGTCCTCAAAATGGACTAGGTTCTTTACAGAACAAAGAGCTACACAGAGTTTCAGCCCAAGTTATTTACAATAATGCACCATCACCCTGTCCATTTTTCTCTTTAAAGGGCTCCACAAATGGGGCTTCTAATGTGAGCTCCACAAACAAAGATTGTATGGCTTGATAAATTTTTCTTACGAGAATCAGGAACAAAATAAACATATAGAATATGAACTCTGGGAATAACTTCTTTCAAAGTTTCATCCAATTTTCTTTTCTATATTTAAGTAGGACAGAAGAAAACCAATTCACAGTCTACATCATTTCCTACTTTGTAATAATTGAATAGCTGAATAATGTCTCCACACTCCTTTTCTTCTGCTTTCTTCATCTCCCTCTTTCAATGAGAATACATTTGTATACATACCTATCATTTAATAAAATACATTATACAGTGCTTAACATATAGTGGGCACACAATACATTTTTGTTAAATAGATGTATAATAAGTACACATTTTTTGGATAACGTGATTGTGGTATGCCTGACTCATCTTTGCAGAACAGTATGCCAGTACTTTGAATATTCACTCTGCTTTAAAAAATCTGCTGGATCAAATGCACAGTTCTTCAACACACCTCAAAAATACATAGATTCACAAGTCATAGATAATTTAAGTTAACGAATATTCACACCAAGATTTTGATTGTCATTTAAAAATTATTTTAACTAAAATATACCACTGTCCACCAGGGGAGTTTTAAAATATACCATTGTCACTGGGAGGATGAGTGGTAGAAACTACCAAGATAACTAATAATGTCCCCCCCCCACCTCTTTTTTTTTTAATGTTTACTGAATTAATTGAACTGGAAAGTTATTGGTCTCAGACATAGATACGTAATTTAAATAAATATGCAGGTGCTGTGGAAACTATATAGCCAGTTGATGAACTGAATATATTACTACATTTCACTGCTTGTTTCAGGATCTATGTATTCAATGCAAAAACCTCAGGGTGCAATTTGTAACTCATTCTTTCATCTTGGCTCTGGAAATAGAGTAATAATTATTCTTTTAAAAAAAACCCTGTGATATTTGCCATACAATAAATAAAACACTGATCTTCTATTTTCCTGCCAAAGGCAAATGGACATTGAGCAGTAGTATTTCTTTTCCAAATGCTCTCTTGACCTATCATACCCTTTCTCGTATCCTCCTTATGGAACTCCCACCCCAACCAAACAGTAGACACATGGAGATGTATCACCAATGCATTTGCCTGAAAATGAAAATATTTGTCATAAAGTAAGTCTAATATTCTGAAATTGATGTTCACTAGAAGTGAATAAACAAAGCATGAAAAGATTTGCAATTGAAAGTACAAAGATCATCACTATTTAGATTAAGTGATAGGCAATTGCAGTAAAACTTCGCTGCATTAGAAACCTCATTTAGGAATACGTTAGCTAAATATTACAATAGCTATGAAAGAAATCTCTACAGCTCTGGTTTGCTAGTCAGAAATCTGTGGCCTCAGATCTGCCACTAATTAACCATGTGAACTCCTGAAATGCACACGCTTTTTTATGGTTTTAGCTTATTTGTTTATGAAATAAAAAAGATTGAAGTAGGTGATTTCCAGGATTTTTGCTGCTAATAAATCCCAGGCTTTCAAAATGTCACACTTTCAAGAAATACACTTTCTACATTTTGATATATTATAGCAGATATGATTTGACTCTTGGTATCATAACTATATAAAATAAAAATCTTTTTATGACATTAAACACCCATAAGGCAGATAAAAAGAATTTCTTTCCTTAGTAATCATTAGCATTTAATCTTTTCTGCTTTCCTATGACCCTGTAAGAAAGGCATGGATATCCTTCACTTTCCAGATGAGGAAACTGAAGTTCAAAGAAGATAAAGAACATATTCTGTCAAAGTTTCTAGTAAGAGGTGGAGTTGGGATTAGAATTCATGTCTAACTGCAAAACCTGTGCTTTACATCATAACAGACTGGATTTTAAGCAACAAATTAGAGTTTGGTGCTGTATTTATAATTTTCTATTCTTTTTTTATTCCAGGAGCCACTGAAACATAATGATATGTAATATATTTTTGTGTTTACATTGTGCCAGACATTGTTCTAAGCACTTGACGTGTGTTATGCCATTTACATTTACAATAATCTTAAGTGAAAAGAGAGGGGAACAAAGAGAAAGAGAGGTCAAAGTCATATAACAACTAAGTAGGAGATGAAGATTCAGATTCGAATCCCTATTTCTGATGCAAGAACTTGCTACCTCATACTGTCTCTACATGAAACACCTCTGGATTTACACTGAAATGCTTTCTTAAATAAATGGAGAAAATGCTTACAAAGCAAAGTCCCTGCATAGTTATCTGAAAGAAAAGAAAAGTATTTTGGGGGTTAGGTCTTATTGTGGGTCCTACTTCCTAGCATTTCAAAACATAAAGTATGTAGTCAAATCTCTGCTCTCTCATACTCCAGACGGCTCCAAGACATTTCCGGGGCAATCAGTTATTGCCTCTTATGTTCTTGCTCTACTGCCTCTTTGAACTTTGGCAGTAAAATCGCTAACCTGCTTCCATTCCATATGAGGCACCTGACAGCCTTAAATGTATGTGGGTCATCACAATAGTGAAGGTGTGCCTTATTACTGAACACATTGAGTATTAAGCAACTGAGTATTTAGTAAGTATTAATAGTATGTACATTGGATATGTACCAAATGAATCGTACTTTGTGTATTTTAATATACAAGCACCAAATAGCATGTGAGTATGTACATAAAACAGAGACTTTTTGTTTCACTTCAAATGTACTTGCACTGGATTTTCAGTTTTTATATATCAAGTTCTTATAAAGGATGGCATAGCAGAAAAATGGAGTGTTTAGAAAAATCAATTTTGAAGCTCTCTTTTTAAGGAAAAGTGCCATTACACACCCTGCTGACATTCCCCTTTTGGTAGGATCTGTATTTATATTAAACATACCTAAAAGTATCATCTTCGGTGGGTAGAATGCATAGTCTCCCATGACCCAGAAATGCTCAGTTGTTTGTTTCCTTGCAAGGGTTATGCTTCTGGTTGTGACACACTGAATAAATCCATCATAATTTTGTCATAAAGTAGTATCCCAATTTATATTCTTTAGCCCTAGCAATCATACTGTGTCCGCAGATAAAAATGACATGAAAGAAAACAACTAGCTACTGACTGAATTCAACAAAAGTTCCCCTTTACCATCTTCCAACAACCAGTTCACTCCATGCATCCACATTCCCAAGCTAGTTTGTACATATAAGCGTAGTAAGACATATTTAGCCTCTTAGAATATTTCGCCTTACCCAGTAAAAAGGACAAGGGTTATTGACTGATTACCCCCTTAATTTGATAAATACTGACTATCAATCTTAATTTTTTTAGGCTCTGACACGTTGAGAATCTGGAAAGACTTTAACAGCTCTATAGAACTCGCTGTTTCTTCTACCTGGAATGCTCCCCCTACAATTATCTGTATAGCTCACTACCTTTTCTACTTCACTGCATAAATGTCTATTTCACTGCATATTTTGCTGCATAAATGTCATTTTATGCTTAAGGCTTACTCTGGTCAGCTCATTTTAACTTACCACTGTACTTTCTATTTCTTTCTCAATTAATTTCCTCAGTGGCACTATTCCGTCCAACTTTCCATATTTTTTTTCTTGTTTTTATGCTACCTTTCACCACTAGAATGTAAATTCCATGAAGGCAGAGAGTTTACACTGTTTTGCTCACTACTGCATTCCCAGTGCCTAGGGCCCATAGTGGGTGCTCAATAAATATTTATTGAATGACTGAAAGAATGATATTCCCAAAATGTATGTTTGAATATCCTGTAATGTCCAAGGTTTATATTCAAATGTAGCTTCTAACAGGGATACACTGTATCCAAAGGTATATTTTCTTTTCCTAATTATAACAAAAGTGTTTGTTGTAAAATCCAGAGTCTTTCTTTCAAAGACTTCAAATATCCAGGAAACTTACAGCTGCATGATCTATGTTCTAGTCTTGGTCTACCATTGCCTACAGCAGGGTGACCTTGTTCAAGTCACTTAGATTCTTAGAGCCTCTATTTTATGGTAATATAAAATAAAGAATGTAAACTAAATGTTCTTTTTACTTTATTTTATACTCTGAAATTCTATGATTCTTTAAGGTAGTTTCTTCTATCCCTCAAATATTTGTTTTCCTTTTGAAATTTTAATTTTAAAAAGTGTATATATTTATGAGGTACAATGTGACATTTCAGTACATATGTAATTATCATTTCTTTGTGGTGGGAACATTTAAAATCCACTCTTTTTAGCAATTTTAAAATATACAATACATTACCATTAACTACAGTCACCTTGCCATGCAGTAGATCACCAGAACTTATTCCTCCTGTCTAACTGAAACTCAATACCCTTATCAATCAAGTGTTTTAATCATTCCATGTGTATAGACATGTAGTGGTTAATCCAAAAGATATACAGAAGATGTAAGACCTAGTGCTAAGACTGTAGTTATAAGAAATAAAGAATCAGGAAGATCTATTATCCAGGATTTTATATGTAAATTTATGTGAAAGTTACTTAAAAAAACCAAATGCTTCTGCTTCCTTGCCATTTCTCATACCATTGACAGTTCTGAACTTGTGAATTACACCCTACATGAGCACAGCTCCTTAACTCATTTTTTATCCCGATTACAAAGCCACTGAACTGTCTTTTCATCTTGGATGCTCCATTGAACATACTATACAATTTTTCAACACCATAATTTGATCTGAGAACATCTGCAAAAAATCAGGAGCACATTTTTTCCCCTTCTCGGCACTTGACTGCAAACCTCACATTTCAGACATTGTTCCACAGTTCTCTGACATATTATTGAGCAAACCATCAGCTACACTTCTGTTTTGGAAGGTGTCAACATGAATAGAAAATGAGCCAGACTCACATCATCATTAACAGAATTAATTACCTGCTTAACTTTGTTTCTTCTAGAAATAAGAATCTCTTGACATTTTCTCTGATGTTATTCTCTATTTAAAATGGCTTCTTATAACAATTGAGATTATTTATTTATATATTTATTTTTTCCAAATAATCTGAGTTTCCTGGAAAGAACTGCAAAGTTTTCTCTGAGGCTGGTGCTTCAATAGGTGAAAGTTCCAACATAAGGAAGTTCAACAGACAATTCAAATTTTATCTCAGTCACACACACATAAAACCTAACAGTTATCTCCTCTTACTTTCATTCCATGCCTACGAGTCTTCTAGGCCTCATTTCCTCCTTCGCACAGAAATTCAATGAGAAAAGCCACCACATTATTTGATTCAAAACTCCCTACTTTTCTCCTTTCTTTCCTACTTGCAACCTACTATGCATTTATTTTCATCTTATTTTCATGTGGAGTCCCTCCATCTGCTACTTTTCTCCATTATTTCTTTTCATCCTTACTGTATTTTATTTATTTTCTAATTCTATATTGGTTCGCTAGGGCTCCCATTACAAAATACCATGGTCTGGTTGGCTTAAACAAAGGCATTTATTTTCTCAGAGTTCTAGAGGCTGGGTGTGCAAGAGTAAGGTGTCAGCAGGATTGGTTTCTTCTGAAGCTTTTTCCTTGGCTTGTCTATGGTTACCTCTCACTGGATCTTCAAATGGTCTTCTCTTTCTGTGTGTTTCCATCTTCTAATCTCCTCTTCTTAGAGACGCCAGTCACATTGTATTAGGACCACCTATATAACCTCATTTCATCTTTGTCACCTCTTTAAAGGTCTATTTTCAACAACAGGCAAATTTTGAGGTACTGGGGGTTAGGATTTCAACACATGAATTTTGGGGGAACACAATTTAACACCTAATTGTGTTTCTCATTTTTCTTTCTCTTTGCTTACTCAGCTACTTTTCTTCTATTCTTTCCTATTTTGTTTTTATAACTTATATTCTTATGTTGGTCTCTATCTTGCAGATCCACCCCCTTTGCAGGCCTCAGGGACACTACTTTCCTGGGTCACTCCTCCTTCCAAGCATCCCAGCAAACAACCAAACCCTGTGGCTTTTTGTCTTGAGACTGAAGAGGGAAGTTGGGAGATAAGATGAGACAGCAATCATGTACGTCCACTCCATCATGAACCAGATCCCAGGAAGTCTTCTGTGGCCAATCTACTGTTACAGCCAATAACAGGAAAGGAGGCAGAAAGACCAGCCTGCCAAATTTTGATCTTTGCGTTCATTTCCATAAAGAATTAGATGTGTACTATCAACTTTGTTCATTTTAAATTTGCTGCTGACTCTTCACATTTAATAACTGAGCAGAAATACATCTATTCTGCTTTCAAGTCTACTATCTTTACAAGAGAAATTGTTATTGATCTAATCAATTACCTGCCGAAACACTGCACGGTGATGCTGAACCATAGGCTTCACACTAGGTAGCCAGAGAGTCCCAGAGAAGTTATCCATGTTTTCCTTACTTAGAGGTGCAGGGAGACTGACAGTCAGTTCCCAAATATCCCTTTCTGCTCTAGGAAGTTTGACCCCCATTCTCTTGCTTCAAGTGTTTACTGAATCTGAGCCTTCATTCTCTTTTTAAATCTAGAGTACAAGAGAAATACCACTGCTCTGGAGACATACTGTGATGTGTCGAGTTAGTTCTGAGTTTCCCAGGAGGCAGAGAAAGCCTCTGTTTAGGGCACCCTGCAAACCAGGAACACCAAAAAGATGTTCGAAAGGTTTTTATGTTTATTAATTATATATATATTTTAAGTCATTGTTTTTCCTTTCTGTCCTGTGAACAATGACATATTTTGTAAAAGCATCAGATGAGTCATCTTTGGGAAAAAAATAAGATCTTTATTAGACTTCTTTCTTTTACTTTACATCTTGGTATTATTATTTTGTAATTTCGAATTAAACATGTGAAAAGAATGGGCACAGCCTAAGATTTTTAGTGCCACTCTTTCTGTCTTAGTTCAACTTGCTTTATATTTAAAGTGCAATTCTAAATGATAAATTCTTTATTTTAAACAAACTTGAATGGAACCAGTATTTTAACTGGTCTTGAATAGATTTAGTTTTTAGAAGGCACTGAATTTAAGACATCAATAAAAAATGTGATTCAGAATATTCACTGGTTCTGGGCTTGCAGTGTTTTTGTTCCTTTGTAAGTTGTATATACATTTTTAAACTCTCTTAAATTCTTACCTATTGGTGTGTCTCTAAGTATTTCTTTCATGTAAACTAATCCAACAGGAATTTCTAAGAGGGACAGCTCAATCCTTGGCCTAACCCCAACTGCAGACTTCAGCTCCATCGAGAAACTAAGACAAACCTTCTTCCCATTGGGGGGAATTTAAAGAACTCTAGGTTAAGAGAAACAGCAACAACAAAAATATCCAGTTAGCCTCTTTGCCCTTCTTAGTCTCAAGATCCAGTAACTGAATCCTGGTATTGGTGAACTTCCCAGTCCCTAGGGCATTGTAGCCTTTCTCCCACTCTTCCTAAAGAACTTCCTTTCAGTTCCTGCAGTACAATGGCTTTTCACCACAGATGTTCATTCCACCTAAAGACAACACTGGGAGGAGATTTGTAGCAGATATTAACCCATTTTTCTAAGTATTTTCTACCAGTTCTACCAATGAGAAAATTAAAGCTCAGTGACTTTTCCAAGGTCCCATGTCTTAAAGCCAGATCTTCTGATTTGGCCTATAGATACTGTGCTCACCTCTGCTTCACACCATCGCCTTCTAGATAGTGTGCTTCCATGTTCCACAACAAATTTTGACACCCAAATCAGAAAATTTTAAATGGGATTTAGTCACCCTGGGTTATTCAAGAGCAAAAATTAGAAACATAGGTCAAAGAATCTGATCCAGACCAATCTATTCTGAGTCAACTTTTGACTCTCTGGGTGACTGTGGGCCCATCCCTTAACCTCCAGGACTCAGTTTCCTCATTTCTAAAATCAGGGAGGTGTTCACACAGTGCTGCTCAAAGTGTGGCCGGCTGTCCTGTGAATACACTTCACCTGGGAACTTGTTCCAATGTAAGATCTCAGGCCTCACCTCAGACCTCCTGAATCAGATACTCTGGAGAATGGGACCAACATCTATGCTTTATACAGCCTTCCAAGTAATTTTGATACACACTAGAGTCTGCATGTGTAAAACACTGATAGAGACCAGGGTTCAGAAAACTGCAGCTCTCAAGCTACCTATTTTTGGAAATAAAGTTTCATTGGAACACAGCCGTACTCATTGTTTATGTACCGTCTGTGTATGCTTTTGCACTCCATTGGTGATGTTGAGTAGTTGGGGCCAGGTGCAGTGGCTCAGGCCTGTAATCCCAGCACTGTGGAGGCTGAGGTGGGAGGATCACTTAAGCCCAAGAGTTGGAAGCTGCAGTGAGCTGTGAACACACCACTGCACTCCAGCCAGGGTGATAGAACAAAACCCTATTTCAATTAAAAAAAGAGATATATATGGCCCCTAGAGCCTAAATGTCTACTATCTGGCCCTTTGCAAAAAATGTTTGGCAACCTCTGGCCTAAGCTACCCTTTAGTTAACCCACTAAACTAAAATTATCATATTTAAGGAGTTGGGCATCAATAATTGACCACTGGTCAGATTCTTCTGAAAATTTATCCTTAAACAATAAATGAGATTAAAGACATAAAAGAATCTGATTGAAAACTGAAGAATGAGGCCTTGGAGCAGTTCATGTCCCTGTAGTCCAACACAGCCTCTGTGCTTGCCCTTTCTACTTCTGGGAAAGAGGAAGCCAGTATCAGCACCATTCTTGACCTCTTGCACTTCCCTTACCTTTCTTACATTGCTTTCAAAAGCCCAAGGTTGGAGAGTCTAATGCTGATCCCTAATCATGCCAATCAAAGCCATCTTTTGTTCATCTTCTCTTGCTCAGCAATTTGCAGTATAATTTTTGTCTGTTGAAAGCTGCAAAGCTCAAAAAGTAAGGCAAATACTAGAATAATGTAAGAATCAATGTTGTATTTACTAGAATCCTTCTTTTGGTTTATCTAAATATTTTTCACCCAAATGAACTTTAAATGACTTGTACACAGTGTATGTCCTCATCACTAGAAGAACTACTCGAATAATGCTGTTATTAATATGTATAGTCACACAAATTTGCCCCATGAATATAAATACACTCCCCACATAGTGTACCTACGTTTATGCTTATTTTCTAAAATAAACATCTCTCCACTTAACTGGAGTGATATGTACAATATTTAGCAGAATACTGAGCATGCAAAATGTACTAAAAATGATGCATATGTGATGATGCCAATATTAAGCATGTAGCAACATTACTGAAGGAAGCTCTCTGTAGTAAAGTCCACTAAGTGGAGCAACATCTTGCTGTGTGGAATAATGTGTGAAAGCTAGTGTATCACAGATATAGAAGCAAGTGATTCAAAGGAGTCTCTATTCAAACCTCCAGAGGGATATAACTGCTTTTTAGTTTTAGCTTTTGTTTTAAATCAAAGCAAAGCAGTAACCATTTAAATAACCTTTTCAGGCAGAGTGTGTGTTTACTCCTAAATCTGTCACTTACTAGGAAAAAAGACTGAATGGGTGGAGCTCCAGTGTGCCACCTTTCCTAGCAGGCACTCTGTCCTAAAGGAAGGAGGAGGATTTATGAGTGGCCTTGGAGTCTAGTCCTCTGTAAGGTGATACTTTGGGCAGATGGGGAGAGGAAGTCATGCTGTCCTCACTATGTGGTAAGAGGTAAGAATAAGAAATTCGAGGCATTGGGCCAGGCACAGTGGCTCATGCCTGTAATCCCAGCACTTTGGAAGGCCTAGGCAGGTGGATCAACTGAGGTCAGGAGTTTGAGACCAGCCTGACCAACATGGTGAAACCCCATCTCTACTAAACATACAAAAATTAGCCGGGCGTGGTGGCGCATGCCTGTAGTCCCAGCTCCTCAGGAGGAAGGAGAATCACTTGAACCCAGAAGGTGGAGGTTGCAGCAAGCCAAGATTGCACCATTGTACTCCAGCCAGGGTGACAGAGCAAGACACCATCTCAAAGAAAAAAAAGAAATTTGAGGCATTATTCTCAAATATCTTCATTTTACAGATGTACAATGAGATTCAGAAGAGCAGTGCTACTTACTTAAGGTCACAAAAGTAGTTAACCACAAGCCGAGACCATGTCCAAACCTCCGAATTCTCTACCTGTGTGGTATTTGGAGATGGGTAGAAGCTTAAGATAGTCAACTTGTAGTCAGCATAGGAGGCTATAAAATAATCTATATCTGTAAAATCCTTCTTTCTTACACTGACTCATTAACCTCTAAAAAATGAGGTAGAAAATGAGCACTGATATCGAAGAGATTAATTATTATTACGAAGTCTGTCCTTTCCTTCTGCTCCTAGAGCTGCCCGTGCCCTATTTCACATCATCATAGGCCATTAGTCAAGTGGTAACAGGAACTTATGTATCACAGATAAGGCAAGTGATAAAGCCAAGGTAAACTTTCTGAGCCAGAAAGGATCTGAGAGGCCATCTATTCAAATGTCCCACCCATCACAGAAATCTTCTCTGCAATGTTATTGTTGGTTGATGGACAATTTGACCTTTGCTTTACTATTTTGAGTGTCAGAAGTTTGCTTTATGCTGAGCCAATGTGGTCCATCACATAGTGCTGTTTATCTGGAAACTGGTGATCACACCTATATGGTGTGATTTATAAGCATTTCAAGATCTGCATGCAGATGTTCTGCTAAGCAGAGAGAGAGGTAACACGAATCCAGTAGTCCCATATGCTGCAAGTGATTGTCTAACATGGACAAAGGGGCATTTTTTGTACCTAACACTTGTAAGCAGTTGGACTGGGGGAAGATGGAGGAGAAAGGACACACAGGTTTGTTTTTTATACAGATGTGGTATAGACTAGTGGTGGCCCTACTGGTAATATGCATGCATAATGCTTCCAGACATCAAGTGAAGTCTGGAAGAAAGGGATGTAAGAATCCTGACCTGGGTACTCAAGCCCAGCAGTGCATTCTCCAATGTGCTAACTAGATAAACCAATCTTTTGGTTTTATACCACGCCAGTGAGCTTCTGCATTCAACAAACACCAAAGTTGCTGTATTCTTTGAAAGGTAAAAGGAAGCAGGAGTTGGAGACTTGGACAAGCTTAAAGACATAAGTAAAGAATGTACTGCTGGTGGTCTGCTGCTCTCCTGGTTTCTGAATGAGGCAGCATACCAGATTATTTTAGTATCTAGGCTCCAATCTAATTTTCCAGCCTCATTTCCCACCATCGGACTCCTCCTTTACCTTATTCACCACTCCCCTTCACCAAACCGATACCACCTTCCTTTGTTCCAGCTGTACTATGCTTTCTTCCAATGCACAAACCCCAGGCTCTTTGGCTCAAAAACCTTCTATGCCAGACTTTTCCCTCTGCTTTATCCAGCCTGTCCTCTGGGGTTGACGTGGCATGCTCCCACGCATACTCCTGACCCAGCTCAGAGGGTGTCACCTTTGTGAAGCATGCCCTCCTCCAAGGTGAGGGCAAAGGCAGCTGTTTCCATACCTCTCAGGTTTCCAAGATGGAGACTGTTTCTTACTTACTTTATGTGCTTGATATTTAGAATGAATACACAAATATTCAGTTGCATGTAAGTGCAAATCAGGACTAAGACAGTCTTTCCCTGGAATTAGTTTTCATGTGGTTGTAATGTTCCTACACTATCTTCCCATGTTTTATTCCCAAATTTCTGAAATTCTAAATCTATAGGATCTTTAGAATTTTAGTTTTTTGTATCTAAAATTGAGGCAATGGCATAAATACCTTATAGGCTTAGAGCATTAAATGATAACATGTATTACAATGCTTACCAAAGTGCCTGGTACATGAACAGGGGCTCAGTTATTATTAGTTTATGTTTCATTCTTATGGTGCTTATGCTTTTATTGATTGTTCTATTGATTTTTGATCAATTTTGACTATCTGTTTATATAATTATTCTAATCAGACTGAAGAGGGGATTTATGAGATAGTAAGAAAGGCTAAGCTTCTACAGCTAAAACAGGAAATCACTGGCCTTACACTAAAAAGAAAAGAAATGTAACATCAAAGGAGAAAATTTTGGCTTTAAGTTGTGACCCACATATTTCTTAGCAGGTACTTGTTGCTTTGACGTTTTTGAAAACTAACTTCCAGTTCTAAAGTTTCCAGAATCCCATGACTGGCTTTCAAAGACTCCATACTCCTACCTCCAGGGAGAATTGAGACACACCATGTAGGGTCAAATGGCGGCTCTGCACTTGATCCATTTCCCTTTGTGGCTTCTTGCAAAAGCTCAATATTGGCACTATATCTAGGACTCAATATTGTCCTAGGTATAGCCCAGATATTTCACACGGTGTTTAAGTCCATTTTCATTGCTCTGAATTTAGCTGGCATTGAGATCACCCATCACCTTCTTCTGGATAAAATTTATTTTATAATAAATTCAAATCATAGGTGATGATTTAAGCATTTCCTTCATGAGCCAAAATTATCCCATTCCTTACAGACCCCATTTGCATCATATTTTTAAACTCTACCTAGTCTGATTTAAAAATCACTCAAAAACTTATCAAAATGGTGCCTTAAATATGAAAACCAGTGTCATTGCTGCATTTGTATGTCTCAAATAATAAGTTTAACCTTATTCAGATCTGTCACAATTATTTGTTAGGCTGAAAGCTATTGACTATTAATGGTAATTACTTGCTTAAGGAGTCCCTCCCCAGGTTCTGAATTTCAAATCACAGCACCTCCAGGCTTACTGGCAGGGGCTATGACAGGGGCTGAGCCAAGAGTGGGGAGCTGAAGCTGCAGGCATTTCCTCTGGGAGGCACCCAAGGAGACTGATGGAATCACAGATAGTCTTTACCCAAACACCAAGCCTACCTGACAGGAACCACACAGCAACTCAAAGGGTCCTGAAGCAAGAGCAATGCATTTTAAACATACTCCCAGCCTTCCCTCTCTCAGTAACAGATTAGACTTGTCAGTTTCTCCAAGCAGATTTAGTGAGGACATTACCAATGTTAATGATCTGTGCTTGCCACAGGAGGAAGACACTGGAAGCAGAGTTTGGTAGGGCCCAGGGAAGGCTTTCGTTTTCTTTTCTTTTTCTTTGCCTGCATGGTAGCACGACAAGTGCTGCTTCTCCACAGTCATCCCCCTCTCAAGTTTGGGGAATCTCAGATGATATGATGTGAAAATCTCATATATTTTACTCCTCAACAGACTGGCCAATACTTACCCACTGTTTACTCCTATGCTCTGGTTCAATTTAGGAAAATCAGGGGAATTATCCTCTATAAGCAGTGCATGTGCTGGGAGAAAAAGAGGGGAAGATGTTTTACAGGATGCAGGCTCTCCAAGGTTGCCCATTGAGAGGTAATTTTGTTGTTGTTATTGTTGTTTTTGTTTTTTTGTGTGTTTTTGTTGTTGTTGTTGTTGTTTGGTTTTTTTGAGACGGAGTCTTGCTCTGTCACCTAGGCTGGAGTGCCAGTGGTGCAATCTCGGCTCACTGAAACCTCTGCCTCCCAGGTTCAAGCAATTCTCTTGACCCAGCCTCCCAAGTAGCTGGGATTACAGACACGTGCCACCACGCCCAGCTAATTTTTGTATTTTTAGTAGAGACAGGGTTTCACTATGTTGGCCAGGCTGGTCTCAAACTCACGATCTCAGGTGATCCACCCACCTTAGCCTCCCGAAGTGCTGGGATTACAGGTGTGAGCCACCCGGCCAAGAGATAATGCTTTAAGAGTAGTGTATTTTAAACATGGTCTAAACTCCCCTGGACCTTGTTTCTACTGAATTCCACTGTTTTCTAGAGAAAGGGGCTTGAAACTAAAGTACAAGCAGGAGTCCAGTGTTACTAGGATGAACAATTTATGTAGAACATCTCCAACTTTAGGAATAAAGCTTCTTTAATTTATTTCCAATAATTAAAGACTTTTCCCTGATGCATAGGTGCAATGCTATTGATAAGTACAGTCCACTTTCCTAAGGTCTTTGTCCCAAGGTGTCTTTTTCAAAACTGGCCCAGAAAGGCAAACAATAGTAAAAAGAGGATGCCTCTCTGTCTAAATCATAGCCATTTATTTTGTAGTAAATATAACACATGGAAATCCATCCATCTAAACCTACTAAGCTCCAGCAATATTACAGTGAAACTAGCTCCAAAACAGAAAAAAAAATAATGTTGATAGCTCAAGTTGAAATGGATTGAAAATTAAATTTGCCAAGCACCTGGAGAGATTACTAAAAATAAAAAAGACCAAATGTTGCATTCCATTAAAGGACATAATAGGTTTCAAAGAGAAGACTATTAAGCCGGGTATATTGAAATTGAGCTATTTATAGACTAAAATCTCCTGAGTTTGTCAATAGCTTTGCATTTCCCTTTGAAATTAAGCAGCTTCTCTTACACGTCTCAGGCTTGGACCCAGGTATCCACAAATGAGTTAATAAAAGCCATAATTAAGGATGATTCAGGAGGGATATTTTTTCATATTCCTCATATTATGGGTTGCTCATTAACCATCATAATGTTTAGGCTTTGGGGGAGCAACAAGATCAATGGGAGAAAGATGACAGATCAAAAGGATGGAATTTCCTGTGCTCATTTTCCTATAGCATTGACAGAGTAAATTTTGCTTTCAAGCCCTGGTTTGCATCAGCCTGGTAGCCAGAAGAACACCAGGAACAAAGGGAAAACAAAACAACAAAAGCCCAAACAGACAATGCCAAGGAAAGATTTCAGAAGCAGCGCTCGTCTATTCTTCCCCTATCTTTAGTCCAAGCCAGCATCTGCCCCCAACACGCGGCAGCAGAAGAGTCCTGTGTTCATCGCTTACTGTCGGCTAACACCACCTTTGCTTTGATTCTCTGGGCTTTGAGGTATTTTACTGCACATACACACACAGACACAAAAAGTCAAATTTCTACAGGGCAAACTCCAGCTGATGCTTTTTTCAGAACTTTTTTTTTTTCCTTGTCTTCTTGTCTTTTTCCTGTATACATTTCTTCGGCACACACTTTACTTCTCTCTCGCCTTTTCTCTTTTAGAGCTGCCATCCCTAACTGGTCATTCTTAGTCAAGAGATGACTAAGTTCTGTGAGGCATTTCCCTCTGGGAACCTTGCCTCAGTGTGTGCTGGCTTGAATTGCAGGCTGGCTCCATTTTTGATAACTTCTGAACATAATGTATTATCATCTAGGGATAGAGGAAGCCAGTGGCATTTGGACTGAGCAGCTCAAGGAACATATTTTTCAGATGTATTGGATTTTGCAAAGTCCGCATGGATTTCGCCCCATAGGTATACTACTTATTTATTCTTTTAATTTCCAGGCTTTTGTGGACTCAAGAGGGCCTGGATCCACAGGAGCCAATTATGCTGAAGCCTTTTTAAGTTCAGCTTAAAGCCTAAGATGCAAAGAAGAATCTTCTGAACTTTGTGAGAAACAGTTTATTGCCAACATGTTAAACAACTGTGTTTAAAATCCAGTACTAAGCAAAGGATAAGTATGAAGTAACATATGTTGATGTACACATGTGTCACCTTTTGCTGTGGAAGCAAGGAAACCCAAAATTTCAGTTGTTTATACCACACACATTTATTTCTCAGTCCTAGGTTCTTGGGTTGGCTGTGGCTCTCCTGGGCTTGGCTTCAGCTTGGGTTCAAGTCTATTTCACTAACCCTCATTCTGGAAACCAGACTCAAGAAGCATTTGAGATGGAGCAAACACCCCTCCAAGGGCCTACCAGGTACCCCCAAAATACATAGCATGGAAATAAAGGAAAATCTTCAGTTCCTTCAGGGAGCATAGCTAGCCCTGAGTAGTAAATGAGTAACTTGATGTGCAAGAAGGTAATAGTAGCTTAAAACAATAGCCAAGGAATACTAGCTTAAAACAACTCAGGGACATATGTTAGAGTTACAAGATGTTTTGTTTCCTGTAAAAACTAAAGATAACATTTTTTCTTTTTTTTAAAGACTATCTCTCTCTGTTACCCAAGCTAAAGTGCAGCGGTATGATCGTGGCTCACTGCAGCCTCAAACTCCTGGGCTCAAGCAATCCTCCTGCCTGAGCCTCTTGAGTAGCTAGGAGTACAGGCAGGTGCCACTACACCCAGCTAAATTTTTTAGTTTTTAGTAGAGATGGGATTTCACTTTGTTACCCAGGTTGGGCTCTAACTCCTGATCTCAAGCAATCCTCCTGTCTCAGCCTCCCAAAGCACTGGGATTACAGGCATGAGTCACTACATCCAGCCAACATCTTAATACATGTCCTTGAGTTGTTTCTTAGAAACCCAGACCACCACCAAACAGATCCCCTGGCACACAGATAAAGGGGAACTGAGGACTCAACTCTGATCACTGTTCTTTGTTCTAAATTTCCTCCTGACAGGCCTGGAAGAAGTCATGTCCATGAGCCAAAACTAACATTGTTTTATGCTGATCCCAAATTTTTAGACAAACCGTTGCCTCCTTAACCAATAGCAAAGTAGAAAATCTTTGAATCCATCTATGACCTGTGGGCCAGTGCTTTGAGATGCCCTGCCTTTTTAGATCAAACTAATGTGTAGCATCCATGCATTGATTTATGACTTTGCCTGTAATTTCTGCTTTCCTGCCTTTAAAAATCCTTATGTAGCCATTAGAGAAGTCAGGTCCAGAGCATGAGCTGCTCAATTCTTACTTGGTGCTCTGCAAACCTCTGCAAACCTCTCCCACAGCAAACCTCAGTGTGGATGTTTGTCCTTACTACAACAGGCACGCAGAACCCAGCTTAGTTTGGTAACACCTTCACTATCTGGGGCAAGCTGTTCTGGTGACAAAAGACTGAAGCTCAGGAGGGTAAGTGGAAACATGGATTCCTCTTAAATTCTTTCCTTAAAACTGGTACAACATCCCTGCCATCCACATTTCCTTGTTCCAAGCATGCCATAGGACAAAGCCAAAAGTCAATGGGGCATAAACGGTTGGTATGATAAAAAATAAATAAATATTTGGTCTTTGTACCAGGTTCCTGGCATATAGCTCTTAAAACCCTTGGAATTTACTCTCTTTTGTATGCTAATGAGAAAACTGATTGGCGGGGAGGGGGAGGTGTGGGAGGCAGGTCTAGATAACTTCAAGATGGGCAGGCTGTTCCCCAGGACACAAACCATCTATTAAGGAGTTAGAACTTTTAGCCTTACCACCCTGGGATGGAAGAGAGACTGGTAATTACATTCAATCACCAAGGCCGAATGGTTTAATCAATCATGCCTATGTGATGAAACCTCCATGAAAACCCTAAACAATGAGGTTCCAGCAGTTTCTGGGTTGATGAACACATCCGTGTGCTAGGTGGGTGGTGTTCATACCCAGATTGGCTATGGAAACTCTGTCTCCCCACCCTTACTTTCCTCCATGCATCTCGTTTATTTGGCTGTTCCTAAATTATATCCTTTATCATAAACCAGTAATCATAAGTGATGCACCTTCCTGAGTTCTGTGTCATTCTAGCAACTGCACCTGAGGGGAAACAATTCATTTTAATCCCAGAATTGGAAGTGTGGGTAGCCTAGACACCCTATCTTGTCCCAGCTGGTGTTCAAAGTGGGCACAGTTTTGAGGGACTGAGCCCTTAACCTGTGAGGTCTGTGTTAATTATGGGTAATGTCAGAATTGAATTGAAATGATGAACAACAGATTAGTGTTGGAAGAATAGCTGGTATTGGAATAATATATTTGGTGTCTGAAAACACCATGCAGAAGAGTATTCTAACCACAGGGAAATCAGGCTTTAGGGATGAATGAATAAGTATGAACAAATCATGAAGTCTACCACAAGTCTCTGTGTTGTTTTACATTTCTTTGCTTTCTTAATTTTTTTTCATCATATAATTTGAGTGGCAGACAAGTCAGAGATGTGTGTGAGGCTTGAGAAAAAAAAACATGATATTCTTAGGGGACTCTTTTAAACATTCTTTAAGTACATGTCTTTATAATTATGCTTCCGTGATAATAAGAGCTCTGATACCTACAGGATATCAATGGGCAAAATGCACCCATTGTGTAAGTGCATTGGAAAAGCTTAGCACTGTTGAGTATTGTCAAACTCCAATTTTCCAGTGCATTCCCTACTCAACTGTAGCAATGTCTCCTTCCTTAATAAAAATAT
The DNA here is from genome assembly GCF_000001405.40 of Homo sapiens. NCBI lineage: Eukaryota > Metazoa > Chordata > Mammalia > Primates > Hominidae > Homo > Homo sapiens. Next base: position 36,694,695 of record NC_000008.11, read on the forward strand.
CAACATCATTCAGCATTAGACTAAGGAACTCCTGTTTCCTAGTGAACATTTCATATAACTTTAAATGATAAGAGAGATTTATGAGTATATATTTTGGGTCCCGAGTTAGGCTTCAAGAGCTTGAAGGAAGATGCTCCATCTTATCTATTCTGCGCATTTATGCAAAGTCTGGCTCATAGACAGTGGCAGGTGCATTTTGCCCATTGATATCCTATAGGTATCAGAGCTCTTATTATCATATAAGTATAATTATAAAGACACGTACTTAAAGAATGTTTAAAATAGTCCCCTAAGAATATCACATATTTGTTTTCTCAAGCCTCACACACATCTCTGACTTATCTCCCACTCAAATTATATTATGAAAAAAAATTAAGAAAGTAAAGAAATGTAAAACAACACAGAGAAGTCCAGCACAGTCCTGGGCGCTTTCCTTCCTTTAGCAACTTTGATTCCCCTACAGCTCTGTAAGAGGAATATCAGAGCAGCACCTCCATCTCCAGTTGTCCCCATGAGGAAATAAAGACTCCGAGGCATAGTGTCTTAATGGCACAATTGGCAGGCAACAGAGCCACCAATTGAACTTAGTCCTGTACAACAAAAGCTTTTCTCTCTACTTGATATTTTTCCATAGCACTGGTCCCAGGCCACATCTCAAGGAACTAGCAACTCAGAAATGTTGTCATCAATAGTATGAAATCTATCAAATGTTACCCATATTTGAAAAAGAAAGAGTAAGGAGAAAGGAGCCTAGTGTTAGCTATCTCTGGCAAAAGTTACTGTTTATGACTAGGGTTCATTTGCTTATTTTCCAGAACCCTCTATGCACATTATGTTTAAGTATACAATAAACAACCCTCCAAAAGTTGGCAAATTTATAAACTGGAAACTAACCAAAGAAGATAAACAGGCTGGGTGCAGTGGTTCACACCCACTTTGGGAGGCCCAGACAGGAGGACTGCTTGAGGGCAGGAGTTTGAGACCAGCCCGGGCAACATAGTGAGACCTTGTCTCTATCAAAAATAAAAAACAATTAGCCAAACATGTTGATGTGCACCTGTAGTACTCACTACTTGGGAGGCTGAGGAGGGAGGATCACTTGAGTCCAAAAGTTTAATGTTATGTTGAGCTACAATTGTGCCACTGTACTGCAGCCTGGATGACAGAGTGAGACCCCGAAAGAAAGAAAGAAAGAAAGAAAGAAAGAAAGAAAGAAAGAAAGAAAGAAAGAAAGAAAGAAAGAAAGAAAACAGACGGCAAATAAGCACATGAAAAGATACCCAACATTATTAGCCAATTAGCCATTAGGAAAATGCAAGTTGAAATCACAGTGAGATACTGCAACACACATATTAGAATGGCTAAAATGAACAAGACAGGCAATAACGAGTATTGAATGATGTAAAGTATAAAGTAACTGGAACTCTCATACACTGCATGCAAAGTAAAATTGTATATCCAAAACTACAATCACTTTGTAAAATAGTTTGGAAGTTTTTGAAAACTAGTATACAAACTATATAACCCAAATATTTGACTACTAGGTACTTAAGAAAAATAAAAACATATATATACAAAAAGTCATACATAAATGATCATAGCAGCCTGATTTGTAATAAGTCCATGCTGGAAACAACCCAAATGTCATCCATGGATGCATGCATAAACAAAGTGTGGACAATCCATTCAGTGGAGTACTGCTCAGCAAATGAACTGTAGAGTCACATAATATGTGTAACTATAGATATACATAATAAAGGAATCCCAAAATAATTGTGCCCCCAGACCACCCAAAAAATTATATTCTTTCAATTTTATAAAATTCTAAACAATGTAAACTGATCTGTAGTAATAGAAAGCAGCTCAGTGATTAGACAGGGATGGGAGGTGAAGACACATAAGGTGGAGGAACTACAAAAGGGCAAGACGAAACTTTTGCAGGTGATTAATGTTTATCATCTTGATTGTAGTGATGGTTGCATGGGTATCTATATATGTTAAGCTTATTAAATTGTACCCTTGAAGTAAGAAAAAATTTACTATCTGTCAATTATATCACAAAAAGTTTTTTTTATTAAATTTATTTAGAGATGGGGTCTCTCTCTCCCTCTCTCACCCAGGCTAGAGTGCAGTGGTGCAATCACAACTCACTGCAGCCTCAAACTCCTTAACCCAAGTGATCCTCCTGCCTCAGCCCCCCAAGTAGCTAGAACCACAGGCATGCACTATCATACCTAATATTTTTATTTTATGTTTTTTTTTTTGGAGAAATAGGGGTCTCTCTATGTTGCCTTGGCTGGTCTGGGACACCTGACTTTAAGTGATTTTCCCACCTCAGCCTCCCAGAGTAAGCCACGGCACCCAGCCAAGCTTTCAAAAACATTATATCGTATACGCATAGTGTAAAGAAAAATTATTTCAGACATGAAAACTTAGATCAGCGTCTGGCACATTTTAAGCACTCTATACATGCTAAGACCTTGTGACTATTACTCTCACTGTTATTGAAAGGGATGTTGTGCTGTTTGCTGGCATTAAATATAATCTGTAAAGATCTACTTTCTACTCTCTAAGGTAATTGCCTTCCTATGTCACCGATCAACCATGACAAAGTTGACAATATCTATGACAAAGCCTTAAGACTAACTCTGACCAAAGAACATTCTCTCATGTCTACCTTTTGCACTGTGAGAGGTATATTAGGAAAATAGGATCTTGTCTGTGTGAAGCCAATTCTTTCTCCTGAGGAAGGCTTTTGATAATCCTTAACATGACACAGAGTTTTAGTGTTACTGAGCTCAAGAATGCTAAATAGGACTCGACAGTTTCTAAATGTTTCATTAGTTCGTGGGGAGCCAGAAGTGAAGCTAGCCTAGCTCAAAGATTCCTTACAATCCAGGTGTTTGGACAGTTGTGCCAATTTTTTTTCCAGATATTAAAGAAGATTATATTCTCATCACTTTTTTACTCATGCACTCATGCATGATGGTATTCTAATATCATTGCTAGGTTTTTTGACTTCATGGTGCACAAATTCCTGTTGAGACACAAAAGACTCTACAGGAAGCAGCCTTGAAAATGTAAATAGTTCGAGTTTCTCTTTAGGTTAGAACTGTGGGCAAGAAATAAACAAGTTTACTAAGAGCGCTAGCTACTGGCCAGCAGCCACCAGCAGAATGAACGTAAGCTATGTTTTATGTGAGAATGTATAAGTTACTGCATTTGCAGATTAGGTCTGGGCTGATTGGTGATCAAAAAAATAAGGGAGCTCTCCCAAAGATAAGGCTTGAAGAACATCTGTGTTATCAATATATCTAAGCTTTTTAAATATACTACCCTGATAACTTTCATCTTCGTTATTTAATGACAAGATCTTTTGCTCCCAATTTTGTCTCCAATACTCAAATAGGCTCTCCACTTTACTGACCACTAGTAGGAGAAAGAGGCGGGGAAAGGTAAAATTCATGGTATCATTATCTTCACCATCAATTATTAATTTTGCTGATTTTTGCCCCCTTTTAGCAATTTCCTATATGAAAATTGAAAGGGAAGGTTGAATTCAGGATGCATTGAACATGATCCTTGTCTTTCTATTTAAAAATAAACAAAATGCAACCTCACTGAAGCCAGGGAAAGTATCTTGCTCACCATTTTATTTCCAGTACCTAGAACATGTCAGACCAAGAAACCAGTGTATGTAAAAGAGAAATAGAGAGACAACAATAACAAAACATCCCATTTTATACACAGTGAAACCGCTATTTATTCACCTCTACTTCTGAGATGGGGAAAATAAGAAACAGAGTATAAGTAATCTTCCAAAGAAGAGAAAGCAAGTAATTTGCAGAACCAATATTTTTATAAGGAAACCTATTATTGAAATATAAAAATACACAGAAATGTCCACGTATCCTAAATATCTAGCTAAATGAATTTTCACAAATTGAATACATCTGTGTAACTACTACCCAGCTCAAAACATAGAAAATCACCTGCACTCCAGAAGTCTTCCTCACGCCCCATCCCAGTACATATTTTTCCACAAATTAACCACTATTTGAACAACTAATATTAGAAAATAGTTTTTCTTGCTTTTGAACTTCCTATAAATTTAATGATAGTTCTTTCTGTGACTGACTTCTTTTGCTAACTATGGTCCTTAGATTCCTATTTGTTGTATATGCAATATAGTTTGTTCAATCTTTTTGTATAATATTTTACTGCATAAATATACCACCTTACCACCATTTATCTGTTGTACTTCTGACAGACATTTAAATTTTTTCCAGTTTAGGAATACTGTAAATGATGCTACTATAAATATTCATGTACATGTGTGCCCATCCATTGGGTAAATACCTAGGAATGGAGATGTTGGGTCTTAGGGTAGGCATATATTTAGCTTTAACAGACATTGCCAGATTCCTGAAAGAACTGTTCCAATTTACACTCTCTCCAGTAGTGTATGAGAGTACCAGTTGCTCTATACTCTTGACAACACTTACAATTTTCAAATTTTTTTATTTTAGCAATATGGTGGGTGTGCTGCGGCATACTACATTGTAGATTAAATTGCATACCCATGATGAGTTACGAAGTTGAGCCCCTTTAGTTTACTAGCCATATGGATTACCATTTTGTGAACTGCCTCTTCAAGACTGTTGCTCTTTCTCACTGGACTTTTTTCTTATTGATTTTTCCAGGACCTTTACATAGTCTAGATATGAACCCTTTGATGAAATGATGTATTACAAATATCTTCCTCATTTTATGGCTTGCCTTTTTATTTTCAAATATATATTTGATAAATATTTGATATATTTGATAATAGGTTTCTTTTTAACAGGTTTTATTTTTATAAATCATTTATTTTATGGTTAGAACCTTTTCTGTCATACTTAAGAAATCTTTACCTGCTCTGCGATCGCAATGTTATCCTTCTATGTATGCTCAAAAACATTAACCATTCTATCTTTCACATTCAGATTTACAATCCATTTAAAATTGAATTTTGTGTATATGTGTGGTAAGGGTTAAGATGCATTCTTTTCCATATGAATGTCCAATTTACCTCATACCATTTACTGAAGGAAAAAAGGCTACTTTTCCACCACTTCCTTGCAGTGGCAATTTTTCATAAATCACATAACCATATCTGTATGGGTCTCATTCGGACCCTTTAATTTGTTCCTTTGGCCTGATCATCTCTCCTTGCACTAATGCCACAGTGTTTTAATCACTGTAGCTTTATGCTAAGTCTTGATATCTGCTGAGGAAATACTTTTTCGCTCTCTTTTTTTAAGTTTGTCATAGATTTTCTTGGGCCTTATATTTTCTATATGAGTTTTACAATCAAATTATCAGTTTCCAAAAACAAAACAAACAAACAAAAATTCTGCTAGAATTTTGATTAAGATAGTTTGAATTTAAATGATCAGCTTGGGGTGGAACTGATTTCTTAAAAATTTGAGTTTTTGAATTCGCGGACATAGTAATTTCCTTTATTTATGTGTGTCTTCTCAAATTTATCTCAGGAAGTAGGTTTTAGTATAAAAACCATATTCATATTTTATTAGATCTATTCCTAAATAATTGATGTTATTTATGCCTCTATAAATTGTATTTTTAATAAATTTCAAATAAAATTTATTTTAGATGATATATTAAAACATAACTGATTTTTGTATGTTGACCTTAAATCCAGTGACCTCATTAAATTAGGTTACTATTCTTTTGCATTTTCTGTAGATTTCTTTGTATTTTCTCTTCACACACTAAGGCCTGTAGGACTAATGACAACTTAATTAATCCTTTTAAATCCTCACAACTTTCATTTCATTTTCTGACCTTTGTGCATTGTCTAAGGTTTTATTACACATTGATTAGAAGTGGAAATAAAGAAATCCTTACCTCAGTCCTCTTTTTAGTTGGTAGTAAGACACTATTAAAAAATGTTTAGGTTATTTTTAGCTAAATACTGATCTTAAGAATATTTGTTTCTATCACTAATTTGCAATGGGTTTTTATTATGTATGACCAATAGGTTTTATCAAATACTTTTTTGACTTTTTGAAAAATGAGTATATTATTTTTCTTTCTGTTTTTTTATACAGTGAATTCCATTGATTAATTTTTAAATGTTAAGCCAAAGATACAATCATAAAATAATCAAATTAGGTTGTTTTATAAAAGCATTACTACATATAATTACATATAATTGGCTAATATTTTACTAAAAATTTTGTATTTGTGTACATGATTTACTGACCTTTAATTTTCTTTGGCTTTACTACACTGTCATTTTCCTAATATCTTGATTTTGATTTTTAAGTAATTAATTTCTAGTCTTTCTTTTTTAAAAAATGTATACATATGTGTATGTGTGTGTGTGTGTATATATATATATACCATAAACTGCACTCTGAAACAACTTTAGTTTCACTGCATAAATTTTGATAAATTCTATTTTTATTGTCATCCACACAGCAGGATTAAAATCCAGAATTTCTAATTACATTCTAGAATTCTTTCAACTGAAGGTGTAACACTGTTTTATTTCTTTGTCATCCACAAATAAATGGTTTTCAAACATTTACTTGAAAATAATTAAATATCAAAGGAAATTAAATTGCCATTTTTAGTTTGCAAAATCTGCTAGTAAGTGTGTCATGCTTGTTCTATCTTTCCTTATGTTTTTATGTTTAATACTTACTTACAGCAATCTTAGGGGGATGTGCCCTTTTACCCTCTCTTTAAAAATGAAGAAACACATGCATAAAGAGATTACATGATTGTGTCCATTCAACTAATAAATATGTAGCTGAGCCAAGATTTGAAGATGAACTTCCCAGCTCCAAAATCTGTTTTTATCTTCCATGCTCCCCTACTCTATGCTACCTCTACACATACCCCGTGCACTCAAGTCATGTCATCTAAGAATTAGAGCTAGAGCGAGTAAGGCACCTCAGACCCTTATGTCTTGCGGGTAAGAAAACGGTTCCAGAAAAGCTGCCTGGCTCATGCAAGGCCATTTTGCTAGTGAACGGTTGAACCAGAACCAACTCTAAGGTGTCCTAATTTCTAAGACAACCATCTTCCTGCTTTTGTAAATTGCATAATAGCTCACCTTTGAAGAACAGGCAGTAGTGCCACACCATCAACAGTGCTTCCATGACCACGTAGTTCACCTGGTAGAAAACCTTAAGAAGAAATTCAAGGAGTTTGTCAGGATTCTTATTTTTTAAAAAAAGTACAGAATACTGACATTAGTCCCCAATAGCTCCTTTACAATCTTTCAATAACTTCTTCAAGTTGTTCAAACAAAAGTTTTATTGTATCCCATTGGTAGTCACTAAGGGGAATTAATATGGAGAGTAGGTAATAAGAATTCCCAAGTTGCCAACAAGAGCATTTCCTGGAAATGCTAAAAACTGTTACCTTGGCTTAAACTTAATTTCAGTGACCAGAATTCATTCAGGTATGTGAATTCTATGAGGGTTGACTGCTAAAACTCCACCTGCCACTTTTTTTCATCTTGGTTTTTTTTTTTTTTTTTCGAGACAGAGCCTTCCTCCGTTGCCCAGGCTAGAGTGCAATGGCTCCATCTCAGCTCACTGCAACCTCCACCTCCCAGGTCCAAGCAATTCTCCTGCTTCAGCCTCCCAAGTAGCTGGGATTACAGGTGCCTGCCACCACGCCCAGCTAATTCTTGTATTTTTAGTAGAGATGGGGTTTCCCATGTGGGCCAGGCTGGTCTCGAACTCCTGACCTCAAGTGATCTGCCCACCTCAGCCTCCCAAAGTGCTGAGATTACAGGCGTGACCCACCACGCCGGGCCTTTTTTGTTTTTTGTTTTTTGTTTTTTGTTTTGCCTCTTGGCCTCTGGCACTTTTAGATGTTACCCTCTAATCCCCAGGCAATTCTTTTAGGGAGACCCACAGCTTTGAAATGGGGTCCCTGTGGGCTGTGATAGCAAAAAGAAGATAGTCACTGCATGATTTAACCTTTCTTCCCTATGTACACCGTCTGTCAGAATCTCTGTCACACAGTCTAGAGGCAGAGAGGAGGCCAGTGAGAGAAACTATGAACTGTAAAACTCTGTTCTGAGAAAACACATCACCCAATGAATGCCTTGTAGCTTTCACTGAGAGACAATAAATGTTACTGCTCTACAGTAAGGAGAAATGAGAAATCCTCTTCCCAAGGGAAAGAAAATACATCTCCACATTTGACAAGTAGTTAACATTATGGATGGCATCTGCCTGGGCTCTTATCACAATGTAAATTTGTTTTCTATTCACTGGCTTGAATAGTAACAAAATAATATTGAAATGTGAATAAAGAACCATATTTGAATTTTATTACAGCTTCACAGTAATCTGATTGTGGGGGAAAAAGTTTTGGAGTGAACAAAAGCAGAGAGCAGTTAGTCAACTCAAATACATATACCCGATATTGGAAAGCCTATCTGTTTATTAATAATAAGCCAAATGCTTCCTGGAATGAAGCATTTTTTTTTCCAGTGTGGTCAACATTATATGATTGGAGTTTACATAAAGTTCCTGAACTGGTTTGTACTAACTTGTTGACAAGATTGTTTATCATCCCTTTTGAATGAAACATAAAATAAAATTTTGGCCACAAGGCCCATAAAAGCTATCTTAAAATATCATAAAAACTATCTTCTGCCTTTTTTTCCCCCAGGAGTAGACGTACTAGCTGTGAAGTTCTGGATGAATCTCCTTCAGATTTATCCTTTATATTAAACTGTTCAGAGACGGGACTCATATTTCTTATAAGGTTAGTACAGCACATAGGTGTAGGCGAGTTTGAAGGTGTGCAGTGACAAGAATGAACTGAGGAGTTTTAAGACAAGATGATACAGAAACTCCTAGTCCTCCTGTATGAAGTGAATTCTAGCATTTCAAGTAGACATAGGAGATTTTTTCAATTATCTTTTTGCTCCCTGTATTCATAACTTGATCAGGTGTATTACTGAACTTTTAGAGAGCTGCTCATTTTTACCATGGGGCCAATGCTTTTAAGAAATGGAGGTATGCATTTACTCACAGCTAAATTCGATGTTCACAAGTCCTTATTTAAAAAAGGAAAGTTAATGACACAGGCATCATATCCTAAGGAATTTTAGAAAGGTTTGTGTTTACTGTTGAGGGATAAAATAAAAAGTGGCACACTTATTCAATATAATGTAGTCAATAACATAAATAATTCTCTCTCTACCATCTTAAGTAAAAAAAAAAAAAAAAAAAATTAGTCCTGGTGAGGATATGGAAAAATATAAGGAAGAAAGAAAATACTGCATGTTAGAAAAGTCAATGAATTTGCTGAAAAATACATTTTGACATTCTTGGCATTATAAAGACCAATCCTGAGGAAGCTAAGTGGTGATGTAATTGTGTTGCATGACACATAGGGAGGGATAAGGCTGTAACACAGGTAGGGGAAGGAAAATGTAAAAGAGACAGAGAGAGACACAGAGAGAGAGAGAGAAAGAGCAAGCATGCAGTGAGCCAGGAGGTGACAAAAGGTCTTGAATCCTGCACTGTGGCATCTTCTTGTGACCACCCACATTTTACTTTTATCTATAATGAAAGATCACAAAACTTAAAGGAAGTGCCTTGTATTTAGGTTGATGCAAAATAATTGCGGGTTTTGGAATTACTTTTAATGGCAAAAACTGTAATTACCTTTGTACCAACCTATAAATATCAGGTAATTAACTGGGCTTGGCATTCAGAAAGTCTCCAAGTCTCACAAAGATTAGAGGCAAAAATGTTAGCAGTCAGGGCCAGGCACGGTGCCTCACACCTGTAATCCCAGCACTTTGGGAGGCCAAGGCAGTTGGATCACTTGAGGCCAGGAGTTCGAGACCAGCCTGGCCAACATGGTGAAACCCTGTCTCTACTAAAAATACAAAAATTAGCCGGGTATGATGGCGGTTGCCAGTAATCCCAGCTACTCAAGAGGCTGAGGCAGGAGAATCACTTGAATCTGGGAGGCAGAGGTTGCAGTGTCCCGAGATCGTGCCACTGCACTCCAGCCTGGGTGACAGAGTGAGACTCCGTCTCAAAACAACAACAAAAAAATGTTAGAGCTCAGAACCAAAGAGAGAGAAAATGGAGAGACATAGAAAGCCTTTAAAAAACACTGGAAGAAGGCTTCACATGGCAACCAGCCCTGCAATGGGAATTTCAGCTGTTTCACAGATCTGGTGGCAAGGTAGGGTGCAGCTGACATTGGCCACATATTTACAGTAAGACAACATTATATGTACAACTTTCTGGGTTTTTTAAATTTTGTTTTGTTTTGCAGTACAGGAGTTTAATTGACATGAGGCCAGCCACACCAAGAGGGAGACAGAGTTATGACACAAATCAACTTCCCTGAGAGTGTGGAGGTGAAGGGTTTTTAAGGGTAATTTGGTGGGCAGAAGACTAGGGAATGGGGAATGTTGATTGCTTGGGGATTAAATTATAGGGATGTAGAAAATGGTCCTGTGCACTGAGTCAGTCTCCAGGTGAGGGCCACAGGACTTTGTACATATGTGTGCATGTGTATATATGTGAAGGATTTCCACATTTATAAAGAGATTATATCAAACATTGATAGTGTTTGTCTCTCTGGATGCTAATGTCATATGAGAATTTTTTCATTTCTATCTTCCTCTACTTCCTTATTTTCCAAATTTCTACAATAAATATTTATTATTTTAGTATACATAAATATAGTTTTCCTAACAAAACCTAAAGTTATAAGTTTCCCATTTGTATCTTTCCAGTTGTTTAGATTTGATTGGTGATTTTTAATAAAAAGTAGTAATTTTCACCAGCTAACTAAAGATAGGACTGGTCTTTATGAATGTCTTTGCTACTGCTGTTTCTTGCATCTTGCTTTTTCCCTCAGAATTCACTTTTCTTCATAATGAAGTGTTTTAAAAATAACCTGCAGCAAGAGTTTATCAGTGGTTAAGTTTTTAAATATTTGTCGATCTGAAAATGTCTTTACTTTGCCCCTTATTTTTTAAATGATAGTTTATGGGAGTACAGAATTCTAAGTTGTCAGTTATGTTCCCTTTAAACTATAAAGATAATACTTCATTGTCTTCTGCCATTTATTATTACTGATGAGAAGTCCAACTGCCAGTCTACTTTTTTTCTTCTTAGAAATTTGTCTTTTCTGGTAGCAACTTTTTTATTTCCAAATTTAAAAAATTTCAGATATATCACAGATATATCACTCATACAGACAACACTAAGCCTTAAGCATATGAATGCACCAAGCATTTATATACTGTTTAAATAATAATCGTAATGTAAACACTCAAATAAGTACTGTCTGTGTCAAGATATAGAATATCACCAGCATCTATTTACAATGTGCCCCTTCCCAATTGCAATGTTTTCTCTTCCCTCTAGAAGTAACCAGTATCTTGGCCTTTATGATAGGTGTGTTCTGATTTTTTTAAGTAGAATTTAATCCTTTTATCTGTATCTCTAAACAATAGGGCAGAGTTTACCTGCTTATGAAAATTTACTAAATGCACTAAAACAGACCAAGACCCCTTACCATCCCCAGTAAAGAGAGAACAATTTTCTTTCCTTTCATTCAGTATTTTGGCAGCTTTTTAAGATGTCCTCTTTCCTTGGTCTGCAGTTTCACTGCAATGTGCCTACATACTATTTTTATTTATCCTTCTCATTATACACAGTGGAATTTCAATTTGAAACTCATTTCAATCTGGAAAATGCTTATCCATTATGTCTTCAAACATGGTTTCTTGGAAAGCTCCCCTATCCCTTTATTATTAAACTTCTTTTAGATGTATGTTGGTTCTCAAAATCTGTGCTTCATGCCTCTTAATTACCCGCTCACATAGTTTTCAAAATCTCTTTCTCTCTCTGCTGTTCTATGTATTTCCTTAGTACAGTCATTCGATTGACTAGTTTTATGGCTCTGTTCAGTTTAGAGTGTATATGCTTTCAAATAAATATTTATTCCAGTGATTATATTTTTATTTCCAATATTTCTAATTGATTCTCTTTTATTTTCTACCTGTCTTTGTTTCATTTCTGTATCTTTCTTTTATATTAGTAGTTGTTATACATGTATCTCCCTGATGATACAAATATGTTACAGAATTTTCTCAGAATGTTTTATTAATTTAATATCATCTAGGAAAAAATGATGTTCCAGTTGACATTTTTGCAGTCTTTCTTAGCATGAGTTTTCTACTTGTGTTTTGGATTTTTGCTTTGCAGCCATATATGGTGGGGGTTATTTATCCTATGTCTCTTCATTTATAACTACTTTCTGGTTGTGGGATGTCTTTACTCAGTCTCTTCTATGCTCCTAGCCCAGAAACTAGTCTTATACTGATAATCTGAAGACAGCATACATCTAGTTGCAGAGCCCATTGGTGGTTTGGCTCAGGTCTAGTCTTTTTTATTTATGAGACGAAGGCTTGCTCTGTCACCAGGCTGGAGTGCAGTGGCGTGATCTCGGCTCACTGCAACCTCTGCCTCCTGGGTTCAAGCAATTCTCCTGCCTCAGCCTCCCGAGTAGCTGGGACTACAGGCGCACGCCACCATGCCCAGCTAATTTTTGTTTTTTTAGTAGAGACGGGGTTTCACCATGTTGGCCAGGATGGTCTCAATCTCTTGACCTCGTGATCCGCCCACCTCGGCCTCCCAAAGTGCTGGGATTACAGGCGTGGTCCACCATGCCCAGCCCAGATCTGGTCTTAATGTTCATGTCTTCTCATTTCCCTCCCTCATCTCATTCTAAAGCTCCTATAATTATTATTATGACTCTCCCTATACTTTCTCAAATGCCTGAGATGCAGCCTTATGAGAGTCATAGATTCTGGTAACTCAAGAGAAGCATTTTCGGCTTCCTTTCACAAATAAGTTGGGAGAAGGGGGTACCTCCCTAGTCCGTAGTTTCAATCTATAATTTTGACTTTTACCTCTTTCTTTTTGGGGTGTTGTTTTGTCGTTGTTGTTGCTGTTTTTGAGACATGTTCTCACTTTGTCACCCAGGCTGGAGGGCAGTGGCATGATCATAGCTCACTGTAGCCTAGAGCTCATGGGCTCAGGATTCTCCCATCTCCATCTCCCAAGTAGCTAGGACTATGGGCACACGCCACAACACTGGCTAATGTTAACAAGTTTTCAATAAAAACTATGTTGCTTAGGCTGGTATCAAACTCCTGGCCTCAAATAATTGTCCCGGATCCTCCTGCCTCTGCCTCCCAAGTTCCTGGGGTGACAGGCATGAGCTACCACACCAGGGACCTATCACTGTGAAGGGTTTGGATCCAGAGTAGTTTATTTCTGAAAGGAATGTATTACTTTAATCAACTAAAAAATAATATAAATAATATGGTTTTGTTTAAAACACAGTTTCATGTGAGATGCATTGACTGATGCTACTGAAAGTCAATTTTAGGATAATCTAAGTACAGACAGGTGATCTCAGGTTCTGGAGAACAATTTCAAAGTTGACAGCATTCACAATTATCATTGATTTCAATCCTTTCATTTTAAAACTGTGGAACTGAGACCCAGAGGGGCTGTGAGCTGCTTCTCCAACACTCAGAACCCAAGCATGTGGGAAAGAGGGGCAGAAGGAGATTCCATTCTTTCACTAAGGCCAAGTCTATGATAAGCCTTCTTTAAGATGAGCTCTTCTCCCCACTCGGTATGCTGTCCAAGGACCAAGGGACCTTGCTTGCATTATGAAGGCAGGGACAAAGAAATCAAACTGTTTCTAACCTTCACTACACAAATTGCAAGGCTAAAGAAGAGAGGTCAATCAATATGTGTGTTATTGCATTTAGTGCTGGCTGGAACACTATCGCAGACAAGCCTTAATTCTAGTTTCTGCTCTTTGTAGCTGCAAAAGTCTGCCAGGTCCCTTCTGTTGAATTCTTATTGGTAAGAGCCTTTCCCCAAAGTGCAAAACAGCAGTATTCTATGAATAGATGGGCTATTCACATCTATAAATTGATTCCAAGACCCAAGTGAGAACCTTCTTAAAGTGACACGGTCAAATTAACTTATACACATTGAGAGAACAGTGACTAGAAAAGAAATATAAAGAAGATCTTGCTAAAACTGCTGAGTTCCTGATACAATTCAGTAAGGAAGAAGTCACTCGCAGAAATACCAGAACGTTCAAAAAATTACTTAATAAATTTAGAGTTCCTTCCACCCCAGTAGCCAAATATAATAATATTAAAATCTTAGGGTCGGGCGCAGTAGCTCACACCTGCAGTCCCAGCACTTTGGGAGGCAGAGGTGGGAAGATTGCTTGAGGCCAGGAGTTCAACGTCAGCCTGGGAAATATAGTGAAACCCCATCTCTACAAAATAATAATAAATAAATAAATAAATAACTGAATATGATAGTGTGCACATGTAGTCCCAGCTACTCAGGAAGCTGAGACAGGAAGATTATTTGAGTTCAATTGCACTATTGCACTCTAGCCTGGGTGAAAAAGTGAAACCCTGTCTCAAAAAAAATTAAATTAAATAAATAAATAAAATTTTAAGACTGCTTTCTGGTTCTTATATATCTTACATAACCTAATTCTCAATAAAACTATAGGAATTAGTTATTGGGATAGCTACCGTTGTCTCCACGCAGGTGTCTTTGGCAGGACACCTTTCAGCATCTGCAAGGAAATATCAGCTCCAGCTGCTCACAGCCCCCTTACTGAGTAATGTCTTCAGCCTCAGAGGATGTCCATACCTAAGATTTTGCCTCCTTCCAAGATGTCACCTGTGGCCACCTCCAAGGAGAATTTACACTACTGATCTGGCAAATGCATTCTTTTTCTTCTGCATAGGAAAAGAGTTCGGAGTGTTTCAGAAGCCACTCCACTCACCTAGACGGATGGACCACAGTGTACTTCCACAGTCTCATCTGTTATTTATTCTGCTCTCCTCAGGGCCCTAGACTGTCTGGCTTTCTCACAGCTTATTACATTGGTCCACTCTATTGATGGTATAACACTAATTGATCAAGGGTGCAAAAAAATAAAATGGGCCAGCCGCAGTAGCTCACGCTTGTAATCCCAGCACTTTGGGAGGCCGAGGCGGGTGGATCACAAGGTCAGGAGATCGAAACCATCCTGGCTAACACAGTGAAACCCCGTCTCTACTAAAAATACCAAAAAAAAAAAAAATTAGCCGGGCGTGGTGGCGGGCACCTGTAGTCCCAGCTACTCGGAGGCTGAGGCAGGAGAATGGCGTGAGCCCGGGAGGCGGAGCTTGCAGTGAGCCGAGATCGCGCCATGCACTCCAGCCTGGGTGACAGAGCAAGACTCAGTCTCAAAATAAATAAATAAATAAATATAAATAAAATGGCAAGTGTATTGGAGGACTTGGAAGAATATGCTTCAGAGGATGGAAGATAAAACCTATGAAGATTCTAAGACCTGCCATATTAGTAACATCATGTTATGGGTTTGGTGGTCTCGGTATGCTAGGATATCCTCCGTAATGTAAAACAGACATTGTGTCTGGCACCTCCCATCACTAAGAAAGAAACACAATGTCAGTGTTTTCCCACTTGGGAATACTGCACTTAGCCATAATGAGGATCCCATGGACTCACTGTGAGCCAGGTCTAGGTCAAGATTTGATGTGTTTCCTGAACACCATATACCCTATTCTACTGGGATGATAACTTTGTGTCCCAGAGTATCAATGTCAGCTTGGACCATGTATGCAACAGTCCTTGGAAGGGTCAAGTATTTGTCTTTCCCTAGCAAACATTTGCTGAGTGAATGATGGTGATTACTTCTGGGGAGTACTGAGGGAATCACTACTGTGTGTTCTTGCCAGGGTATTGCAGAATCCTCTTCCTCCATTAAATAGATTCTGGCTCTGAGAACTGGCTCATGCCTGGAAACTAAACAGGGATGCTGCTCATGTATTAAGGTTTCTTTTCTCGGCCCCCTAATCATTGATTCTCAATTTATTTGTTATATAAAATAAATATTATTCTGCCCATTTATCTTGCCCCCAGAAATATTGTGTGCTAGTGTTTCCATAGCTTTCTGCAAGCCAGACCTCTCAGCTCCTGCTCAGACCTTCACACTTGTTGCAATCATTGTGCCTACATGACTTCACTCCAAGTGCAGCCACCTGGAGCCTATAATTTCACATCATATCATCCCATTGTTATTCAGGAAGCCAGTTGAGTCTCCTGGCCTGCAGAAGAGGGAGTACCACTTAGCCTCTTAGCGATATTTTTGCCCAATTCTCCAGGCCATTTCTTATTGCTTTGGTAATCAGTGCGTCCTCTTGAACCCTCCAGAACACAGTTGAGAGGTGGGTTTTCTGGCCTCCTAGCGTGCTCATCCTCTGGGCCTGCTGATCCCTCCTTCTGCTGTATGCCTTGAAAGTTCTGGCATTTTCACTTAACTTAGTGTGGGTCTTAGCTTCCCCAAGCTTCTAGTAGCATCCCATCAGCATATATACACTATCTCCTGTGGTCCTTGCCAGGGTGTTAAATATTATGCTTCCGTATTGATATATTCTTTAAAGTTAGACTACCTTGTGTTCTGCTCCTTTTGATTTGCATCCTCAGGTTCCAGTCCTGTATGCATGCTCCTGGCTCATGCCAACTAAATGCTAAGTTCTGTCAACTTATAGGGCCTTTTCCTTCCTTTGCAGATCCAGCATTTCCTAGTCAAGACTGTTGAGACTTGATGCTAGTTACTTGACCAATGAGGGCTACGAGGTTGGGGGGCACAGATTCTGAAGACGTGTTGCCATACAAGGCAAATATCTCTGCACAGACTTCAAACAAATGGGAGCACTAGTCTGTCAGCAGGGAGACATGAGACATTCCAGCATCCCCAGAGAATCTGAGGCAGTCTGAAGAGTCAAGATTTTCAATTGCATGAACTCAGTTCTGCCAACCCAGGTGTCACGGTCTTACTTCTTCCCAATCACAGCCCTGGCTTTAATATACAAGGCTTGCCAAGGCTGAGAGGCCAACCCTTTTGGAATTTTGCTACCCTTATAATTGAGTCTTTTTCCTGATCCTTAGCTTTTTCTGTCCTCCAGCTTGAAGATTTCTTTATGTGCTATAAAGAAGATCTCCGGCATACACCCTTCATGTTAAATTGATGATTAACAATCCTTTCATTGTCTTTCCCTGAAGCATCAATAGTTCCCAGCCACAGACATCTTGTTCTAAAGCTCTTATAATTGTAATTACTATTTTCCCAGTAGTTTCTCAAATGCCTGAGACATTCACCTGCCAGTGTGCTTCCTTCCACCTGTATCCCATTCTGGTATACCACCACTGAAAGCTATAATATTCGCAATGCTACAGCATCACTGGGCTCCCAGCACTCAACCTACCATTAGTGGCAGGTTCTTTTTTTCCAGCCAGCCTGCTCCTGGTCGAGCTCCTCCAAAATCTCATTTTAAAGCTTGCTTCCCAGGATAAACTGGAAGCAAACTATCTTAAGTCAGGTTATCCAAGAAATGGATTATGAGACAGAGATTTTCCTTCAGGAGGTTTGCTGGGAAGTGGAAATGAAGGAAGCATGATGGGACAGAGGGAGATGTTGAACTGTGATTAATTGCATCAGCATCACCTACAGATAGCCCTGGAACTAAGATGCCCCTTCAGAATTGTCTGAAATCACAGTAAGGGGCTGGGCCTTTATACCCTTATATTAACTAGGCATTGGATTTGAGGGTGCCACTGGAGAGGGGGCATACTTCGGGTAAGACAAGTTCCCTTTGACAAAGGGTAATTCCAAGGAAGGAACTCAAATTTGAGACATCAGCAACACACAGTTCTGACAGCTGAGTGAATGAGTGCTTCACTTCTAAAAAGGCAATCTGGTCTGTATACACACAGAAGCTACTACAGTGACCCTTGCTTTAGATCCCTCGGGGATAAGGATCTGAATCATCCCATCAAGCCAACTACCTAGACTGGCCAAGGTGCCAGTCAAGCAGGAGGTAACTCTAGATTGGGCAGAGCAGGAAGGGGCTAGTGAGAATCAGTCACAACTTTAGGATCCCTTGCAGCAGGAGTGACTATACTGCAGGTCACTGACTCCTCTCTTGTAAGCATCTTTAAGAATGAGACCAACAAACATACGTGTGCATGTGGCACTATTCACAATAGCAAAGACTTGGAACCAACCCAAATGTCCAACAATGATAGACTGTATTAAGAAAATGTGGCACATATACACCATGGAATACTATGCAGCCATAAAAAATGATGAGTTCATGTCCTTTGTAGGGACATGGATGAAGCTGGAAACCATCATTCTCAGCAAACTATCGCAAGGACAAAAAACCAAACACCACATGTTCTCACTCATAGGTGGGAATTGAACAATGAGGACACATGGACACAGGAAGGGGAACATCACACACCAGGGGACTGTTGTGGGGTACGGAGAGTGGGGAGGGATAGCATTGGGAGATATACCTAATGCTAAATAACGAGTTAATGGGTGCAGCACACCAACATGGCACATGTATACATAGGTAACAAACCTGCACGTTGTGCACATGTATCCTAAAACTTAAAGTATAATAATGATAATAATAAAGAATAAAAAAGATATGCCACTTTAAAACAACCCTTCAATAAAAAAAAAAAAAGAATGAGACCAATGAGAATCCTAAAGAAGGTGTTCCTTTAGAGGTAAACTTACTGTGTGAAGCAAGTAGATCCGATTCACATAGGACGCAGACTATTGATAATTTTGTCCGGATCTCCTTTTTGGGCCACATTACCTACTCCCCACAACAAAGGATATAAGCTGGTGACAGGGCAGGGCCGAGTCTATCACTGAAAATTGCCCTGAAGATGCCCAAGGGATCTTCCTTGCTCAAGGTTATGCCCCTTCCCAGGGGGTGTCCTCAGGTAAAGGCTGGCTGAGATGAGGATATAAAGACTTGGTCACCACTTGCCTTGACTTGGGTCCATAGAGATCACTGGCCTTGATGTGGCATGTGTTTGAAGGGTCAACCCAGTTCCACAGTTCTCTGTTGGATCAGCTGAGCCCTTAGTTGCAACCACATAGTAGGTAGTTTCTCTTTCTGCTCAGCAATGCACTTTTTACTTCCTAGAAGGCATGTATTCCAAGAATTTCTTTCCAGTAAGTCTTCAGCATTCAACTGTCTGTCTCACAGATTGTTTCAGGGAACCCAGTTTAGAGCAGTTATTACTCCCATTCTCATTCATATGGAAGTGATGCTTGCCAGGGTCCCAGGTGGGAGTTGGGAGTCAGGCCACTTATCCAAATTTTCTAATATCAAATCAATTCGTATTCTGCTTCACCATAATTCTAGCATTTGTCCTCTACTCTAACACTATGCCTGGGGAAAGGATTAAATTTCCCATCGACTTGCCTTTGAGTTGTAATGCTACCAAGAGAAGGCATATCCTGACAGATGGAGTAATATGCCCTTCAGAGGTAAGTAACAAATTCCTCAGCAGAATATTAAAGAAATCTTTCTTTAATGGCATTATTTATTCCAAATTGATGCATAAATTCCTAATCTTCCTTTCTACCTACTGGTATTACATGTAGGTTAAAGAGGCAGTTCAAATTCTCAAAGAAACCTTTCCCTAACTGTTTCAAGTCACATTTTTCTCTCTTCTTTAACACAAACAGCACTGAATATACCATTATGTCCTGAATAGTCAGATTGAGAAAGTGTCAAGGTTCAGTCATTAATGGATTCTTGGGATAAATATTGTCTCATACATGATTTCAGAAGCGGTATGGTATTAGGCAGTTAGGATGAAGGGTTTTGAGGTACACTAACCTAGGTTTAAATTTTAACTCCATCATTTATTAGCTGTGGGCTCTAATAACTTGAGAAAGTAAATTAAGCTCTTTGTGACTCAGTTACCTCACACTGTCAAATGATAACAATGATGGCCACCAATGCAATGAGTAATTTTATCATTAGGAATAGAGGGATAACAAGCTGCTGACCTGCACCCCGACGTATTGCACTGTGCTTTTTACACCACCACCTATGACTAATTTTCGCCAAAAATATCTAACCTGAATCTAATCCAGCCTTTAGAACTAACTTCCACTTAAGAACATAGGAAATAGAGGAATATGTTAAACAACACGTAAAGGAAATAATTAGAAAAAAATCAGAATTTGCAACATTCTATGAAGTAACTATGCCTCTCTTTCTTTTTCTTTCTTTTTAAGCAAAACTTTATTTTGAATTTTTTTTATTTGGAGAAAACTTGCAAAGGTAATAGACAGCTCCCACATACCCCACATGCAGTTTCTCTTATTATTAGTATCTTATGCTAGTATAGTACAATTATTATACTTAATGAGCCAGTAATATTATGTTATTGTAAATTAAAGTACCTATTGCATTCAGATTTCTTTAGTTTTTACCTAATGTGTTTCTGCTGTTCCAAGATCCCATCAGGATGCCACATTGCATTTAGTCATCACATTTTCTTAGATTCATCTTGACTGTAGACTGTTTCAGATGTTCCTTGATTTGATGACTTTGACTGTTTTGAGGAGTACTGATCAGGTATTTTGTAGAAGGTCCCTTTTGGTAATTTATTTGATGTTTCTCTAATGACCAGGCTGGGCTTATGGCTTTTGGAGAGGAAGACCTCAGAAGTAAAGTCCCATTTTCATCACAACACATTGAGTCCATGTGATGAACATAAACATCACTATTGATGTTAACCTTGATCATCTGGATAAAGTAGTATTTGTCAGAGTCCTTCCTTGTAAAGTTGTTCTTTCTTCCTCTTTCTATACTGTATTCTTTGGAAAGAAGTCACTATGCACAGATAATGCTGAAGGACTAGGGAGTTATTCTTCATCTCCTTGAGAGCAGAGTGTTTACATAAATTATTTGCAATTCTTCTGCATGGGATATTTATCTACCCTATCCCATTTATTTTTTAATTTAATAATTTATATCATCGTGGATTCACAGATATTTAATTTATACTTGTGGTTATGATCCAATAC
Source organism: Homo sapiens (assembly GCF_000001405.40). Taxonomy (NCBI): domain Eukaryota; kingdom Metazoa; phylum Chordata; class Mammalia; order Primates; family Hominidae; genus Homo; species Homo sapiens. Next base: position 36,715,734 of record NC_000008.11, read on the forward strand.
TACTTTATTTTGTTGCTCAAATTGTTCTAGCTTTGGCCATTGAGAACTCTTTTATTTGATCCTTGTTTCCCTTTGACATATGTCTATCTGTGTGGGAATTTTTTTTTAGTATTTCTTTCATTTCTGGCTTTACAAGATGCTGTAAGCTTATCCTGTATATTTCCTGTCCCAGTCTTAAAATCAGCTATTTATCTAAAGACTCTTAGGGAATAGCATCAGAAATCAAGGTCTGGGCTGTAAGTGTGCTTGTTGCCACTGGGATGTCGTTGCTTCTAGGCCCACTGAGCTGACAGCAAGGAAATGCATGTATGTTTTTTAATCTATGTTTACACACCTATCTATACTCCTTTCTATAAACATCTGTATTTATATTAAGCTAAACATAAATTCAAACTGTTATCTCCAACTCTAATCCATTACTGCATGGATTATTCTAGCTTCCTTTCCTGCATGTCAGTAAAGACCCATTCCAACAGTGAGAAATCTGGCTCAAGCCATTCACCATCCATTCCCTTCGTTGTTAAATTTCTTCAATGTATAGCAGTAACCAGATTGTCAACCCACACTCCCAAGGGAAACAACTTTATCTACAGGATTGCATTACCTATATGCAGTTGCTTTTGTCATTAGTCTTACAGGCTCCACCCATTTCCAAAAATTACTTGGGTCATCACCTTTTTCCCCACCCACGTCAACGAGGATTGCTTCATACATTTGTGATATAGTTAGATTTTCTTTTTGTCACTGTGCTTTCCATCCTGGGACCCCCTGATCTCTCAAATGATTTTTTTTAATTTGCGTACCTTAAAGTTAACTGTTTGTGCTATAAAGTTCTATGGGTTTCAACAAATGCATAGTGTCATGTTATCTGCATTACGGTATCACAGAATAATTTCACTGCCCTATGAATTCTTCTGAGCTTCCTCTATTCAAACCTTCCTCCTCCTCCTGAATCACTGGCAACCAGAGACATTTTCATTGGCTCCATAGTTTTGCCTTTCTAGAATGTGATATAATTGGAATCATATTGTATGTAGACTTTTAAGATTGGCTTTTCTACCTTAGCAACATTCATTGAAGGGTCATCTATGTCTTTTGTGGCTTGATAATTCATTTCTTTTTATTACTGAATAATATTCCACTGTATGGCCCTTCTACAGTTTTTTCAGTCATTCACCTATTGAAGAACATCTTGGTCACTTCCACTTTTTGGTGATTAGGAAAAAAGCTGCTAAAAGAACCATGTGCAAGTTTCAGTGTGAACAATTGGGTAAATTCTAGGAGTGCACTTGCTCAATCACATGGTAATATTATATTTAGCTTCATAAGGACTGACAAAATGTCTTCCAAAGTAGCTGCACCATTTTGCATTCCCACAATCATGAACAAGAGATAATTTCGCTCTGCAATCTTGCTAAGATTCGGTGTTGTTAGTGTTTTGGGATATAGCCATTCTATAAAATAATAAGTACATGGTAGTGATGCATTGTTTCAGTTTGCAATTATCAAATGGCAAATAATGTCATTGAACATCTTTTTATATGCTTATTTGCCATCTATATATGTGCTTTGTTGAAGTGTCCATACTTTTGCCCATTTTATTTGGGTTATTTGTTTTCCTATTGTTGAATTTCTTGAGTTCTTTGTATATTTTGGGTATAGTTCTTTACGAGACATGCATTTTGCAAATATTATCTCTTAGTTTGTGTCTTTTTTTCATTTTCTAAATAATGTCTGTTATACTGCAAGGTTTTTATTAATAATTTTAACAAAGTTCAATTTATCAATCTTTTATACTTTAATACATAAATTATGCATTTAATGCTTTATCTAAAAACTCATCACCTAACCCATCATCATCTAGATCTTCTATATTGTCTTTAAGAAGTCTTATAGTTTTGCATTTTAAATTCAGACCTATGTTCCATTTTGAGTTAATTTTGTGAAAGGCACAATGTCTGTATTTAGGTTCGTTATTTCTTCAATAGTTCTATCATTGTTTATTGAAAAGACTGTATTTCCTTCATTGAATTTTCTTTATTCCTTTTTCAAACATCAATTAACCATATTTATGGATTTCTATATCTGAAGTCTATATTTTGTTTTATATGTTCAATGTAACCACTCTTTTGCCAATACCAATTGATTATTATAGCTTGATAGTGAAGTCTTGAAATTGGGTAGTGTGAATCTTACAACTTTGTTATTCCTCAGTATTGTGATACCTAATCTAGGTCTTTTTCTTTCTTTGTAAACGTTAGGACCATTTTGTTGATATCTACAAAATAATTTGCTGTTAATTTCATTGGTACTGTGTTGATTGTATAGATTAAGTTGGGAAGAATTGGTATCTCAACAATAATGAGTCTTCCAGTTCATGAACAGAGAATATATCTGTTGTTAATTAGGTTTTAATTTCTTTTATTAGCATTTTGTAACTTTTCACATACATATTCTGTGCATATTTTGTGAGGTTCATCTTATTTCACCTCTTGGATACTATTGTAAATAGTATTATGGTTCTAACTTTAAATATCAGATGTTCATTGCTGATATATAGGAAAGCAACTGATCTTTTAATATTAACCTTGTATCTTCTAATCTTGCTATACTCAGTTATTGATTTCAGGAGGTTGTTTTGGTCAATTCTTTGGGATTTTCTACACAATCATGATATCTATGAACAGAGACGATGTTATTTCTTCCTTCCCAATCTGTAAAATTTTTATTTTCCTTTCTTGTTTTGTTGCAGTTATACTGAGCAAAAGTGGTGGGAGAGGACATCCTTGTATTTTTCTTGAAATTACAGGGAAGCATTCAGTTTCTCACCACTAAGTATGATATTACCATAGATACCTTTTATCAACTTGAAAAAATATCTCTATTTCTAATTGGCTGAGAGTTTTTATGATGAATTAGTGTTGAATACTGCCAGGTATTTTTTATGCAAATTGATATGATAATTTTTTTCTTATTTAGTCTGTTTATACAATGCATTACACCAATTAATTTTCAAATGCTGAACCAGCCTTCCATAGATGAAATTAATTTTACTTGGTCATAATGTATCCATCTTTTACATGTTGTATTCAATTGCTAATTTGTTTCGCACTTTATTGAGGTATAATTAGTACACCAATAAATTACATGTAACTAATGTATATCATTTGGCATTACGTCCATTGCCTCTAAAAGTTTTTTCTTCTTTCCTTCCTTTCCTTCTCTTTCTTTTCTTTCTTTTCCCTCCCTCCCTTCTTTCCTTCCTTCTTTCCTTCCTTCCTTCTTTCCTTCTTTCCTTCCTTTCCTTCTTTCCTTCCTTCTCTCCTTCCTTTTTCTCTTTTCTTTCTTCCTTTCTTTCTCTTTTTTCCTTTCTCTCTTTCTTTCTCTCTCTTCCTTCTTTCCTTCCTTCCTACTTTCCTTCCATCCTTCCTTTCTCCCTTTCTTTCTTTCTTTTTTATAGTAAGAACACTTAACCTGGATCCACTGTCTGAAAATTTTAACTACACTATATCTATTATTAACTATAGGCATGTGTTGTACAGCAGGTCTCAGGAACTCATTCACCTTGCATAACTGTAACTTTGTACACATGGAACAACAGCTCCCATACACCTTTATCACTATCCCCTATCTGTTGATAATTTTTTCATTTATGTTTATGGAAGATATTTGCCAATTTTTTATTATAATGTCTTTGATTTTGGAATTAGAGTAATACTAGTTTTATAAAATTTGTTAGAAAATATTATCTCTGCTTCCATTTTCTGGAAAAGATTGTAGACAATTGATATCATTCCTCACAAATTTTTTTAGATTCACCAGTGAGCTCATCTGGGCCTGGTGCTTTCTTTTTTGGGAAGTTTTTACATTATTGGTTGAATTTCCTTAATAGATATAGGTGTATTCAAATTATCTACTTCTCCTTCTATGAGTTTGGTAGTTTATGTCTTTCAAGGCTTTGGTCTGTGTCATCTAGGTTATCAAACCTGTGGGCACAAAGTTGTTCATAGTTTTTTATTAGCCTCTGAGTACTCATAAAATCAGTAATAATGACATGTTTCATTTCTGAAACTGATTATTTACACCTCTTCTTTTTTTTTTCATGAGACTGGCTACAAATTTACCAATTTTATTTATCTTTTCAAATAACCCATTTCTGGTTTTGTTGAGTTTCTTTATTGTATTCCTGTTTTCAATCTCATTGATTTCTGCTCTATTTTTTTTATTCTGCTTCCTTTTGGCTTAAATTTTTTTTTCTTTCTAGTCTTATGTGAGAGAAATTCAGATTTATTTTCAGATCTTTCTTTCTAATAATGTATTCAATGCTATAAATTTCCATCTAAGCAATGCTTCTGCTGAATCTCACAGTTTAAGTAATATTTTCATTTGTATTTAGTTCAAAGAGTTTTTAAATTTCTCTCAAGACTTATTTTTGACTAATGTTATTAGAAGTATGTTGTTTAATGTTCAAATATTTTTTATTTTCCAGCTTTTTTCTGTTACTAATTTACAGTTTAACTCCACTGTGGAATGAGAACATACTTTGTATGAATTCAATACCTTTAAATTTGTTCATGTGTTGTTTGTGGCCCACAATGTGTTGCATCTTAGTCAATGTTCCATGTGAGCTTGACAAGAAAGTATATTCTGTTCGTATTGGATAGAGTATTCTACAAATGTCAATTCAATCAAGCTAATTGATGGTGTTGTTCAGGCCAATTATATTCTTACTGACTTCCTGCCTGCTTCATCTGTCAATTATAGAAAGAATATGTTGAAGTCTCCAAGTACAATAATGGATCTGTCTATTTCTTCTTGCAGTTCTATTCATTTCTGCCATGCATATTTTTATGCTCTGTTGTTATACATGTACTTGTTAAATACTGTTATGTCTTCTTGAATGATTAACTCCTTTATCATTCTATAATGCATTTCTTTATTCTTGATAATTTTCCCTGTTCTGAAGTTGGTGCCATTAAGAAATTAATATAGCTACTCCAGTTTTCTTTGTACTAATGTTAGTGTAGTATATCTTTCTCTGTTTCTTTACATTTAACATACCTGAATCTTTATATTTAAAATGTATTTTGCAGACAATATACAATTGTGTCTTGTTTTCTTTAATTCACTCTGAAAATCTCTGTCTTTTAATTGGTGCTTTAGACAATTTACACAAAAATTGCTTATTGGTATAATTATATTAATATTGGCCTTGTGTAACTCCTTTATATTTGCTTAACTTATCTCATGTTTCCCTCTATTTCTTTATCTGATTGTAATTGGGTATTTTATGATTCCATTACATTTGGATAACAATTATACTTCTTTTTAAAAATTTTAGTGGTTTTCATTGTCTTTGCACTTTACTATATCCACCTTCAAGACATTACACTGCTTCCACCCTATAACACAGTGTTCCTAATTTCTCCCTGCCATCACTTATTACATTGTAGTCATTCATTTCACTTATAAAATATGCTATAATCACCTAATACATTTTACTGTTATTATTGTAAACAGTTATGTTTTAGATCAATTAAAAATAAGAAAAATAAAAGATTTATTTGTATTTATTTAATTCTTCTCTGATGCTTTTTCTTTCTTTATATGGATTCAAGTTTCTAATCTTTGCCATTTTCCCTCACCCTGAAGAATTTAAACATTTCTTATATGATTTTCTGCCAGTAATGAATTCTGTCACTCTTTATTTGTCTAAGAAAGTCTTTATTTCTTTTCCACTGTTCAAGGATAATTTTCTGGAAATACAATTCCACATTGGCTGTTTTTTTTCAACCCTTTAAATATTTCAGTACACTCTCTTCTTATTTACATGGTTTCTGACAAGAAGTTCAGTGAAATTATCATTCTACAATAGACAAGGTGTTTTATTCTCTGGCTTCTTATATAATTTTTTTCCCATCATTTTTCCTCCCTTTAAATATGATGTGCCTGGGTGTGGATTTTTTGGCATTTATACCGCTTGGTGTTCTTGGAGTGTCTTTGATCTGTGATTTGTTGTCTGTCATTAATTTTAGAAATTTCTCCATGATTATTTCAAATATTTCTTTCATTCCCTTCCTGCTTTCTTCCTCTCATATTTTGATAAGGTATAGGTTATATCTTTGATTCTGCCCTGCAGCTCGTTGATGTCACCATTGTTGTTTCTTGTTCCTTTTCTCTTTGAATTCCATTTTGGTAAGTTCTATTGACATCATCAAGTTCATTGACTCTTTCCTTGGCTGTGTGCCTTCTCCTGAAGAACCCAACAAAGACATTCTCCATTTCCATTACAGAGTTTTTGCTTTCTAGCGTATTCCTCTGATTTCCATCTTAGAGATTTCATTTTTCCAAGTACATTACCCATCTTTCTTGCATGCTGCCAAATTTTTTTCCATTAAAGCCCTTAATACATTAACCATAGGTATTTGGTTATATCCTAATAATGCTAATATCCTAATGTGTGTCATATCTGAGTCTGGTTCTAATGCCGTCTTTGCCTCTAATGCCGGCTTTGCCTCTAATGCTGGCTTTGCTTTTGCTTTTGTTCTATACCCTGTAATTCTTGTTGAAAGCCTTCCATGATATGTCAAGTAATAAGAACTAAGGTGAGTACCTTTTGTGTGTATTTTTAAAAATATTAATCTGGCATATAGTTGCGTTGTGTTTGTTTTTGGTTTTGTTTTTGTTTTTATAAAATCTTTCTAGCCAGAGCTGCGTTTAATGTTTGATGTAGTTGTAGGTTCCAGAGGCTTCAAATTCCTCTTGCTTTAGTCTTCCTTGTTGTGTAGGAATGCTTATGCAGCGTCTTTATCTTAGAGCTCTTTCAGCCATATTCCAACATTATACTGGACCCTGTGGATGTAGTGGTAGAATTTGGATGAAGGAAAACATTCTAATCTTATGATTAAACCTTGATCTTCAAATGGGCCTATGTCCCTGAGCTGTAACTTTCACATGTGTTTCTTTCTGACTCCCATCACTTCACTCAACTTAGGCGAGACAGGAACTGTAGAGAGGACTGCAGCAGAGCAGATGCCCTTTCTTCAGCTGGGGTAAGTCACAGGAAGTCTTTCCCTTTAGAGAGCAGGGCTTTGGGAGAATGATCATAATGGTTATGTCTCTGCTTCCTCAGCCAGAACCATGAGAAGATCTTTCTCAGTTATTCAATGTGAGAACCTGGTAGGGTTCTTGGAAGTAAAACTTAATAAACTTTCCAGGTCCCCTTAAGACTCTGGCCTCCAAGAGTTTCTAACTTTCATTCTTATTTCTATTCAGCCTCCACCAATTTGTCAAAATTACCCTTTAAGTCTTCCTACCACTGTATTGCTCCAGCAACATGTTCCAGGTGAACAGATCTTGGAGGGGGCTCTCTGGATTTGCTTAGTTCTCCAAATTTGGGGTGGTAGTTTTTTCTGAGACTTCAACTCTCTGATAGGTCCAAAGCTAGTAACTGATTATCAGCTTATTCAGCCTTTTTCATGTTGTAAGGACAGGAGTTATGATTTCCAAACCCTTTAAATGTCAGAGCCAAAACTAGAAGTCTCCTGGTCTCTTTAAAATTTAATGCCATGAAAAAGAAAAGGTAAAGGGAGGACTGTGCTAGAGGAAAAATGTGTTAACATAAATGCTACCAGCTGGGTGCAGTGGCTCACACCGGTAATCCCAGCACTTTTCGAGGCTGAGGTGGGTGGATTTCTTGAGTCCAGGAGTTCAAGACCAGCTTGGGCAACATGATGAAACCTCGTCTCTACAAAAAATACAGAAATTATCTGGATGTGGTGGTGCGTGCTTGTAGTCCCAGCTACTTGGAAGGCTGAGGTGGGAGGATTGCTTGAGCCTGGGAGGCAGAGGATGCAGGGATCTGAGATCCTGCCACTGCACTCCAGATTGGTGACAGAGTGAGACTTTGTCTCAAAAACAAACAAACAAACAAAAAAAAATACAAACGAACAAAAAACTCTTAAATGCTACCAAGTGAAATGTAGGTTACTGTACTGGATCCTAGTTTGGACAATATGTATTTTTATATGCCACATAATCTGTATTCAGTTGGGAACATTTTAACGTGAAATTGGTATTAGGTAATATTAAAAAATTGTTGCTATCATTTGGTGCTATAATAGTATTGGTAATTGTTATTTTGAAACTGCTTTTTTTTAAGAGATGCATACTGAAGAATTTGGGTTAAAATGCTATGGTATCTATAATTTATTTTTTAAAAATTAGATAAAGTAAATGTCAAAATGTTAAATCTAGCTAATAGATATATGGATGCTCATTGCACTATGCCCCAAAATTTTTAGATGTTTAAACTTTTTCATAATAAAATTTAAAGATATGTAATAAATAAACCTATCTTGCCATGTTAACAAATAGTAAAAGGTACACATGAGACAATGTAAAGTATAATCCATGGCACGTAGAAGCTGTTCAAAAAGTGATACATAATTTGATCCCCAAATTGAGAATTTTTTATTCTAGGGTAAGGATTGTATATTCACTTGGAATAAACAACGTGGTCCTCTAAAATTAATTTCACTTCACCTACCACTCATCTTTCTAGAGTCATGAAGGGTAAATCAATATTGCTTGTCAAACAAACACTATTAGCATGAATACAGCATATGTTAGTGCTATTGCAGCTTAAGGATAAATGATCAATAAAAGAGGTAGACATCTATAACACCATCATCACTATGTGACATTTGGTGGCCATCCACTCAGTGATAGATGCTTATTGAAGGATTGGCAGGTAGGTCAGCAAATTTCTTGATTTTCTGGGCTTCAGAGAAAGTTTCAGTACGTGAAAATAAGCGTCAAGGTGGTTAACATGAATTTACTATATACATAGTTCGCAAACATGAAGTTGCAAGTCTTCTTCACACTCCACTAGGCTATTTGAACATTCTACATTCTATAAACTATGAATTGCTTTCAGAATCAATGAGAACTTAAGCATCATCTTAAACAACTCCCTTATTTCAAAGGTGATGAAACTAACCCTCAGATAAATCCAATGACTGCCCAGATCAGAAAATAGGAAAATGGGACTCTCAGACTTCAGTTCTGTGCCTTAATTTATATACATAACACATAAAAAGGATGCTTTTAAAAATTTTTTTGAATGTGACTTCAACATACAGCTTAGAAATCACTCTATTTTTCTCACATAATGTTAGTTCAATCAAACACACATTTATTAATTGCTTACTATGTGCCAAGCAATCAAGCTGCTAAAAGAAATGAACTCTTTCTTGCCCTCAACAAACACACAATCCAGTGGAAAAATGCAATGAGAAATGGTAAACAAGTCAGCTGTGGGCTATGGAGACATCAAACAGGGAGGAATTAACTCCATGGGAAGACAGGGTTTATGTCGCCAAAAAAAAAAAAAACACAAAATGGATTTGATGTGAGTCACAAAGATAGTAAGTGTGAATTCACTGAATGAAATCTGAGTGGCAAGAAACAGTGCAAACAATGGCAAAAACATTTAGAAGGGCTTGGTGCCTTTAGAGAGGGGTGAAGAATGTGGGTAGTTGTGATGTGTGCAGCAGACAGGTGTGATAACAGAAGTTTAAGTTAGTAGGATATGATTCTCAGCTGTGGCTGTCTATTAGAATCACCAGAAAACTTTCTAAAAATCCTGATGTCCATGGCCCCACTTCCAGACCAATTATACCTGGACATCTGGTAGTGGCTGCAGGTATGGACATTCTAAAAGTTCCCCAGGTGATTCTTCTGTGCAAAATTGAATATCAGGGAATTAAGACAAGCTTATTATGGAAAAAAAAGATTTTAAGTAAACCGTTATGTGGATCATGCTGACCTGACCCAAGATCAGATCCTTAATATTAAATGACCTTTTTTTTAACTTCTAAGTGTTAGTCTCAATCAAAAGACAACAAATTTATCTGATGACAAGAACCTAGCTCTTGCTTAAATTATTAGTTTTAATTAAGGTAGTTTCTAATGCTCTGTAAGAAGGTAAACATCAGACTCAAGGTAAGAAACTCAATTTAGGCTTGCTTCCAAGATGGCTGAATAGGAACAGCTCTGGTCTGCAGCTCCCAGTGAGATTGACGCAGAAGACGGGTGATTTCTGCATTTCCAACTGAGGTATCTGGTTCATCTCAGCGGGACTGCTTGGACAGTGGGTGCAGCTCATGAAGGGCAAGCTGAAGCAGGGTGGGGCACTGTCTCACCTGGGAAGTGCAAAGGGTCGGGGGATTTCCCTTTCCTAGCCAAGGGAAGCCATGACAGACTGTACCTGGATTAATGGTACACCACTGACCAAATACTGCACTTTTCCCACAGTCTTAGCAACTGGCAGAGCAGGAGATATGCTCCCGTGCCTGGCTCAGTGGGTCTCACACCCACGGATTCTTGCTCACTGCTAAGGCAGCAGTCTGAGATGGACCTGCAACAGCTTGCTGGGGGGAGGGGCGTCAGCTATTGCTGAGGCTTGAGTAGCTTACAGTGTAAACAAAGCAGCCAGGAAGCACAAACTGGGTGGACCCCACGGCAGTTCAGGGAGGCCTACTGCCTCTATAGATTCCACCCCTGGGGGCAGGGCATAGTAGAACAAAAGGCAGCAGACAGTTTCTGCAGACTTAAACCTCCCTGTCTGACAGTTCTGAAGAGAGCAGTGGATCTATCAGCATGGCATTTGAGCTCCGAGAACAGACAGACTGCCTCCCCAAGTGGGTCTCTAACCCCCATGTAGCCTGACTGTGAAACACCACCCAGTAGGCACCGACAGACAACTCAAACAGGTGGGTGCCCCTCTGGGACAAAGCTTCCACAGGAAGAATCAGGCAGCAATATTTGCTTTACTGCAGCCTCCGCTGGTGGTATCCCAGGCAAACAGAGTCTGGAGTGGACCTCCAGCAAACTGCAACAGACCTGCAGCTGAGGGGCCTGACTGTTAGAAGGAAAACTAACAAACAGAAAGCAATAGCATCAACATCAACAAAAAGAACATCCACCCCAAAACCCCATCTATAGGTCACCAACATCAAAGACCAAAGGTAGATAAAACCACAAAAATGGGGAGAAACCAGAGCAGAGAAGATGAACATTCAAAAAAACAGAGTGCCTCTTCTCCTCCAAAGGATTGCAGCTCCTTGGCAGCAAGGGAACAAAACTGGACAGACAATGAGTTTGATGAGTTGACAGAAGTAGCCTTCAGAAGGTCAGTAATAACACACTTCTCCGAGCTAAAGAAGCACGTTCTAGCCCATCGCAAGGAAGCTAAAAACCTTCAAAAAAGGTTAGATTAATGGCTAACTAGAACAAAGAGTGTAGAGAAGACGTTAAATGACCTGATGGAGCTCAAAACCATGGCATGAGAACTTCGTGATGTATGCACAAGTTTCAATAGCTGATTTGATCAAGTGGAAGAAAGGATATCAGTGATTTAAGATCAAATTAATGAAGTAAAGTGAAAAGACAAGATTAGAGACAAAAGAGTGAAAAGAAACAAACAAAGCCTCCAAGAAATATGGGACTATGTAAAAAGACCAAATATACATTTGATTGATGTACCAGAAAGTGACGGGGAAAATGTAAGCAAGTTAGAAAACACTCTTCAGGATGTTATCCAGGAGAACTTTCCTAACCTAGAAAGGCAGGCCAACATTCAAATTCAGGAAAAACAGAGAATACCACAAAGATTCTCCTCGAGAAGAGTAACCCCAAGACACATAATTGTCAGATTCATCAAGGTGGAAATGAAGGAAAAAAAGTTAAGGGCAGCCAGAGAGAAAGGTCAATTCACCCACAAAGGGAAGCCCATCAGACTAATAGCAGATCTTTCAGCAGAAACTCTACAAGCCAAAAGAGACTGGGGACCAATATTCAACATTCTTAAATAAAAGAATTTTCAACCCAGAATCTCATATCCAGCAAAACTAAGCTTCATAAGTGAAGCAGAAATACAATCCTTTACACACAAGCAAATGCCGAAAGATTTTGTCACCACCAGGCCTGCCTTACAAGAGCTCCTGAAGGAAGCACTAAACATGGAAAGGAACAACCAGTACCAGCCACTGCAAAAACAGGCCAAATGGTAAAGACCATCGATGCTATGAAGAAACTGCATCAATTAATAGGCAAAATAACCAGCAAACATCATAATGACAGGATCAAATTCAAGCATAACAATATTAACCTTGAATGTAAATGGGCTAAATGCCCCAATTAAAAGACACAGACAGGCAAATTGGATAAAGAGTCAAGACCCATCGATGTGCTGTATTCAGGAGACCCATCGCACATGCAAAGACGCACATAGGCTCAAAATAAAGGGATGGAGGACGATCTACCAAGCAAATGGAAAGCAAAAAAAAAAAAAAAGCAGGGGTTGCATTCATAGTCTCTGATAAAACAGACTTTAAACCAACAAAAATCAAAAGAGACAAAACAGGCCATTATGTAATGGTAAAAAGATCAATTCAACAAGGAGAACTAACTATCCTAAATATATATGCACCCAATACAGGAGCACCCAGATTCATAAAGCAAGTCCTTAGAGACCTACAAAGAGACTTAGACTCCCACACAATAATAATAGAAGACTTTAACACCCCACTGTCAATATTAGACAGCTCAACGAGACAGAAGGTTAACAAGGATATCCAGGACTTGAACTCAGCTCTGGACCAAACATACCTAATAGACATCTACAGAACTCTATACCCCAAATCAACAGAATATACATTCTTCTCAGCACCACATCACACTTATTCAAAAATTGACCACATAATTGGTGGGAAAACACTCCTCAGCAAATGTAAAAGAACAGAAATCATAAAAAACTGTCTCTCAGACCACAGTGCAATCAAATTAGAATGCAGGATTAATAATCTCACTCAAAACTGCACAATTACATGGAAACTGAACAACCTGCTCCTGAATGACTACTGGGTACATAACGAAAAGAAGGCAGAAATAAAGATGGTCTTTGAAACCAATGAAAACAAAGACACAATATACCAGAATCTCTGGGACATATTTAAAGTAGTATGTAGAGGGAAATTTATAGCACTAAATGCCCACAAGAGAAAGCAGGAAAGATCTAAAACTGACTCCCTAACATCACAATTAAAAGAACTAGAGAAGCAAGAGCAAACAAATTCAAAAGCTAGCAGAAGGCAAGAAATAACTAAGATCAGAGCAGAACTGAAGGAGATAGAGACACAAAAAACCCTTCAAAAAATCAATGAATCCAGGAGATGGTTTTTTGAAAGGATCAACAAAATTGATAGACCACTGGCAAGACTAATAAAGAAGAAAAGAGAGAAGAATCAAATAGATGCAATAAAAAATGATAAAGGGAATATCACCACTGATCACACAGAAATGCAAACTACCATCAGAGAATAATATAAACACCTCTATGCAAATAAACTAGAAAATACAGAAGAAATGGATAAATTCCTGGACACATACACCCTCCAAAGACTAAACCAGGAAGAAGCTGAATCTCTAAATAGACCAGTAACAGGTTCTGAAGTTGAGGCAATAATTAATACCCTACCAACCAAAAAATGTTCAGGATCAGGTGAATTCACAGCCAAATTTTACCAGAGGTACAAAGAGGAGCTGGTACCATTCCTTCTAAAACTATTCCAATCAACAGAAAAAGAGGGAATCCTCCCTAACTCATTTTACGAGGCGAGGATCATCCTGGTACCAAAGCCCGCTAGAGACACAACAAAAAATGGGAATTTTAGGACAATATCCCTGATGAACATCAATGCAAAAATCCTCAATAAAATACTGGCAAACCAAACCCAGCAGCACATCAAAAAGCTTATCCGCCACGATCAAGTTGGCTTCATCCCTAGGATGCAAGGCTGGTATAACATAGGCAAATCAATAAATGTAATCCAACACACAAACAGAACCAATGACAAAAACCACATGATTATCTCAATAGATGCAGAAAAGGCCTTCAACAAAATTCAACAGCCCTTCATGCTAAAAACTGTCAAAAAACTAGGTATTGATGGAATGTATCTCAAAATAATCAGAGGTATTTGTGACAAACCCACAGCCAATATCATACTGAATGGGCAAAAACTGGAAGCATTCCCTTTGAAAACCAGCACAAGACAAGGAAGGATGTCCTCTCTCACCACTCCTATTCAACATAGTGTTGGAAGTTCTGGCTAGGGCAATCAGGCAAGAGAAAGAAATAAAGGTATTCAGTTAGGAAAAGAGTAAGTCAAATTGTCTCTGTTTGCAGATGACAAGATTGTATATTTAGAAAACCCCATCATCTCAGCCCAAAATCTCCTTAAGCTGATCAGCAACTTCAGCAAAGTTACAGGATACAAAATCAATATGTAAAAATCAAGCATTTCTATACACCAACAATAGACAGAGAGCCAAATCATGAGTGAACTCCCATTCACAGTTACTTCAAAGAGAATAAAATACTTAGGATTCCAACTTACAAGGGATGTGAAGGACCACTTCAAGGAGAACTACAAACCACTGCTCAACAAAATGAAAGAGGACACAAACAAATGGAAGAACATTCTATGCTCATGAATAGGAAGAATCAGTATCGTGAAAATGGCCATACTGCCCAAGGTAATTTATAGATTCAATTCTATCCCCATCAAGCTACCACTGACTTTCTTCACAGAACTGGAAACAACTACTTTAAAGTTCATATGGAACCAAAATAGAGCCCACATAGCCAAGACAATCCTAAGCAAAAAGAACAAAGCTGGAGGCATCATGCTACTTGACTTCAAACTATACTACAAGGCTACAGTAACCAGAACAGCATGATACTGGTATCAAAACAGATATATAGACCAATGGAACAGAACAGAGGCCTCAGAAATAACACCACACATCTACAACCATCTGATCTTTGACAAACCTGATAAAAACAAGCAATGGGGAAAGGATTCCCCATTTAATAAATGGTGCTGGGAAAACTGGCTACTCATATGTAGAAAGCTGAAATGGGATCCCTTCCTTACAGCTTATACAAAAATTAACTCAAGATAGATTAAAGACTTAAATGTTAGACCTAAAACCATAAAAACCCTAGAAGAAAACCTAGGCAATACCATTCAGGACATAGGCATGGGCAAAGACTTCATGACTAAAACACCAAAAGCAATGGCAACAAAAGCCAAAATAGACAAATGGGATCTAATTAAACTAAAGAGCTTCTGCACAGCAAAAGAAACTATCATCACAGTGAACAGTAAACCTACAGAATGGGAGAAAATCTTACAATCTACCCATCTGACAAAGGACTAATATTCAGAATCTACAAAAAACTTACACAAATTTCCAAGAAAAAAACAAATAACCCCATGAAAAAGTGGGCAAAGGATATGAACAGACACTTCTCAAAAGAAGACATTCATGCAGCCAACAGACACATGAAAAAATGCTCATCATCACTTGCCATCAGAGAAATGCAAATCAAAACCACAATGAGATACCATCTCACGCCAGTTAGAATGGCGATCATTAAAAAGTCAGCAAACAACAGATGCTGGAGAGGATGTGGAGAAATAGGAACCCTTTTACACTGTTGGTGGGTGTGTAAATTAGTTCAACCATTGTGGACGACAGTGTGGCAATTCCTCAAGGATCTAGAACTAGAAATACCATTTGACACAATGATTCCATTACTGGGTATATACCCAAAGGATTATAAATCATGCTACTATAAAGACATATGCACACGTATGTTTATTGCAGCACTATTCACAATAGCAAAGCTTGGAACCAACACAAATGTCCATCAGTGATAGACTGGATTACGAAAATGTGACACATATATACCATGGAATACCATGCAGCCATAACAAAGGATGAGTTCATGTCCTTTGCAGGGACATGGATGAAGCTGGAAACCATCATTCTAAGCAAACTATCACAAGGACAGAAAACCAAACACTGCATGTTCTCACTCATAGGTGGGTGCAAACACATGGACACAGGAGGGGAACATCACACACTGGGGCCTGTCGTGGGGTGGAGGGCTGGGGGAGGGATAGCATTAGGAGAAATACCTAATGTAAATGATGAGTTGATGGGTGAAGCAAACCAACATGGCACATGTATACCTATGTAACAAACCTCCACATTGTGCACATGTACCCTAGAACTTAAAGTATAATAATAAAAAAAAAGAAACTAAATTTAAACTTAAAAAATCAATTTCCCAAGTTTAGCTCCCACTCAAATGTCCAATGACATTGACATTAAAGAAAGCCCTACAAGGGACATTTCAACTTCCCTGCATCTGCCACGTTCTCATATTACAATTCCAACCCAGTTCTCTAGCATTGTTTAGCTTAATCATTTCAATGTCCATTCATTCAATAAATATTTATTGCATATCTACTGTGTCACAGGCACTGGCCTGAGCTCTGAGGACACAGCTGGGCATAAGTAGCCCCAGTTTCTCCATTCTTAGGGCTGACATTCAATGAGAGGACTTCCTTCTTTCAATTCAGTTCAGCACTTCTAACTTCAGCCTCTCATTCTTTAAACAATCCAAACAAACAACAAATTTTGAGCTTGATTAAAATATGCGATCACTTTTCCCATCCCTCCTCCTATTGTCCTCTTCCATTCATCTTCCATATTAATCTTTTAAAAGCATCAGTGTCACTATATGCCACTCCCACTTCAAAAATCTCCAATAGTTCCCCATGACTTACAGCAGGGAATCTATTGACATTTATAAACCTCCTCTCTCTGCCGTTTTTGAGGACCACTGTTATGTCAGCTCCTGCTATTGAGATGTGTACGGCCCAGTCCCCAGGTATATTAGAATGGAGAATAAATCACAAACTCCTTACACTAACTGCAGCTATGCCTGACTTCCCTTTTCTGTTCAGTCTTCTGAATCTCTGATAAAGGAGCATTAGTACACTCTGTTGTCAATTAACCTTCCATATCCCTGCCTGAGATGTCTATGTTTACCCCGATTCTCCTATCTAAAAGGCCCCAGTACTTTTGATCCCTCCCTTTCTTTAGCAATTTGTTTCTCTTGAACTAATCTCTCATGCTATTATTTTAATCCTTATTTATCTAAAAAGAAAAATCGTCTCTCGAGAAATCAGGGCTTTGTTTGATAAATGTGTGCCTTATTCACAGCATTTAAAAGTAGTGGGCACACAGAGGCATTGAGGGTGAATGCAAGAGTTTTAGGCTTAGAAGCTGCAGACCTTGGTTTAACTCTAAGAGCCGACATAGTCAAACTCACTTTCCTTGTATCTAAAATGAGAACTATAGCACTCGCCTTTCAAGTGCCAAAGAA
This sequence comes from Homo sapiens, assembly GCF_000001405.40. Classification (NCBI taxonomy): domain Eukaryota; kingdom Metazoa; phylum Chordata; class Mammalia; order Primates; family Hominidae; genus Homo; species Homo sapiens. The sequence goes on from NC_000008.11 coordinate 36,733,042, forward strand.
TAAAATTGAATCACAAAGATTTTTTAAAAAATAAACACAGCTATGTGTATGTTAATTTGCCAACAAGGAAACATGCCATTGAAGAAATTCACTTAGTTGTATAATAGCTAGAGAAAAAGAAATCAAGGGAGTTTAAGTGCTGGAAAGAAGGAGTTAATGGTGGTTATGCTAGTTAAGCTTTGAAGGCTGGCACTATGGATAGAATGAGTCCGTGGGTCCAGAACAATTGGTTGAAATGTGTCCCATTGTTCATGGGTTAGAACAGCTTCTTCAGTTATGCCCAGTAAGAGTCTGGAGTACTGGTGTCATTCAAAGGTTATGTCTTCCATCTGCTTCAACTGGATAGGGTAACTTATGAAATACAACACTGAATTTTAGTATCTCCTAGGAAAGTGCCACCTTCAACGAAAAATATCCTTTATAAAGGTTTGTTTAAAAAATCTTAAAAGCCAAGTAATTAAAATGTATATATTGTCCAGCATATAGTAAACATTTAATAAATTATACGTGGCATTCTTATTGAGTAATATTTGCTCATTAATTAATTCTTAGATTGGTTCCAAAAGGCATGCCCTTGAGTTTTGATTATCTTTGGAAATAATTTTGAAAATGAGAAGTAAAATTATTTTAAGAAATAATATGTTAGCAGCTGTATGGCTGAATTGTGTCCCCCCAAACCCAAATTCATATGTTTAAGTTTTAACTCCTAGTACTGCAGAACATGGCTATTTTTTTTATTTAGGGCCTTTAAAGAAGAATTATAGTAAAATCAAGTCAAAGGAAGTGGGGGCTAATATGATATGTCTGATTTCCTTATAAGAAAAGGATATTAGGACACAGACACATAAGACAGGTATCAAGAACAATGTGAAGACACCAGAAGACAGCCATCTACAAGTCCAGGAGAAAGACCTCAGAAGAAACCAACCCTGCTGACACCTGTAGGGTAAATGTGCCTGACACCAATAATTTAAGCATACCCTTAGAATGACCCTGTATGGCAGACACACTATAGAGTGTGTTCTGAGCTATCGAATCTGGGAGTGGCCAACCTGAAGATTCATTCCTTGTCTATAATAAACATCTAAGCCCCACACCCTGTCCCATGGAACATAAGCCATACAGGGGATTGAGGGAGGCCCTGAGTTTGGGGTTAAGTGAGATTCCCAGGTGGAGATCATTAGGGGAAGGGTGTTAAGTGAAAATGCGATATAAAGTGCATGACATTTGGAGGTGATTGTGTTTTCCTGTCCATCTTGCTGCCACTGGGGCATGCGGTAATGTTGTTCAACCTGCCACCACTGGACCATTTCTATAAGTAAGTTGGTTATCCTGTCTAGCCTGCTGGTACTGGACTCCTCTGTATCTAAGACCCAATAAAACCCCATGTCTTGTTTGCTGGCTATGGGTCTCTTCTTAGGCCTCTTGAACCTGGTTTCTTCCCAACTGAGGTTAGTGGAGTTTGGCACAACACCACCTTGATGTTGGCTTCTAGCTTCCAGAGTTGTAAGGAAATGTATTTCTGTTTAAGCCAACCAGGCTGTCTATCGTTTATTATGGCAGCCCTAGCAAACTAATACAGGGGCTTTCATGTATTATATCTATTTTAACCATAACCCTGTGTAGTAGATAATATCCTCATTTTATAGATTCAGAAGCTGGGGTTAGAAAAATTAGGTACACTGGCTTGTATTTTTATAGTGTCCTAAATGCTGCAGATCTCATTGAATCTTTAGGATCAGGGTTCAGACCAAGATGAGGCTGGTGAAGCACTTGCCTCAGGCTCAAAATTTAAGGGATGACAAAATATTCATCAATAAAGATAAATGGGTCTGGCGTAGTGGCTCACGCCTGTAATCCCAACAGTTTGGGAGGCCGAGGTGGCCATCCATCTGAGGTCAGGAGTTCGAGACCAGCCTGACCAACATGGTGAAACCCCGTGTCTACTAAAAATTTAAAAAAAAAAAAATTAGCTGGGCATGGTGGCGCATGCCTGTAATCCTAGCTACTTGGGAGGCTGAGGCAGGAGAATCGCTTGAACTCAGGAGGCAGAGGTTGCAGTGAGCCGAAATCATGCCATTGCACTCCAGCCTGGGCTACAAGAATGAAACTCCATGTGGTGGTTTCATAAAATGGAAAATGTTCCTTTCTCTTCAATTTTCTGGGAATATGTCTTTTGAATTGGTGTTAATTTCTTTTTAAAAGTTCAGTAAAATTATCTACTGAAACCATCTGGGCATGGAGATTGCTTTTGGGGGAATTTTAAAATTATGAGATCAATTTTTTTAACAGTTGTAGGGCTATTAAAATTTTCTATTTCACATTTGTGGAGTTGTCTTAGTGTTTTCTGACAAATTGGTTCTTTTCATCTAAGTTGTAAGTTTATATATGTAGAGCTATTTGTAATATTCCCTTATTATCATCCTAATGCCAACAAGGTCTGTAATGACATCCCCTATTTCATTTCTGATTTTGGTAAGTTATGTGTTTCTCTGTCTCTCTCTCACACACACACACACATCAGTCTTGCTAGAGGTCTTTGTGACTTTTATTGATATTTTGAAAGAGCCAGTTATTTGTCTTAGGTCTTACCATTTTTATTTCTGTTTTTATTGGTATTGTTTCTTTCATTCTCCTTGCTTTTGGTTTATTTTGCTCTTCAGTTTTTAGATTCTTAAGGTGGGAGCATAGATTATTGATATGAAACTTTTTCTCCTTTCCTTTTTCTTTTTTGAGACAGGTTTTGCTCTATCATTCAGCCTGAAGTGCAGTGCCAAAATCACGGCTCACTGCAGACTTGACCTCCTACCTCAGCCTCCCAAGTAGCTGGGACTGCAGGCATGCACCACCACTCCTGCTTAATTTTTATTTTTTTATTTTATTTTTTTGTAGAGATGAGGTTTCGCCATGTTGCCCAGGCTTGTGCTCCTGGGCTAGAGTAATCCACCCACCTCAGTTTCCCAAAGTGCTGGGATTACAAGCATGAGCCTCCATGCCCAGCCCTTTTCCTCTTTTCTAATGAATACATTTAGTGCTACCAATGTCCCTCTCAGCACTGCTTTAGCTGTGTCCCACACATTTTTATATGCTGCATTTTCATTTAGTTTAATATATATTTTGATTTCTCTTCAGACTCTTCTTTGGCCTATGGATTATTTAAAAGTGTGTTGTTCACTTTCCAAATGTTTAGAGATTCTCCTGTTACCTTTGTTACTGATTTCCACTTGAATTAAGTTGTTGGACAACAATTCAACATGAGCTCATTTTTCTATAAGTTTATTGAGGTTGAATTTATGACCCGGTATGTGGTTTGTCTTCATACTATATATCCTTTGGGCACTTGAAAAATAATGTGTATTCTGCTGTTGCTGGGTGGAATGTTCTATGAATATAGATTAGATACTATTAGTTGATGGTGTTATGAGTTCTCTTCCACAGTCGTACTGATTTTCTGTTTAATTTTTCTATTAATTATTGAGAAAGGTTAAGAGAGAGGACATAAATTACTAATGTGAAAAATGAAAATGGAGACATCACTACAGATACCATAGACATTAAAAGAAAAATAAATAAATACTATGAACAACTATATTCCCCCAAAATTGATCACTTAGATGAAATGGACCAATTTCTTGAAAGACACAATCTTCCAAAGTTCACAAAAGAGGAAGTAGACAATCACAATAGGCCTATACCTATTACAGAAATTAAATCAGTGATTAATAACCTTCAAAAAGAGAAAGCAACAGACACAGATGGGTTCACTGGCGAATTCTACCAAATACTTAATGAAGAAATTATACCAATTTTCTCTAATTTCTTTCAGAATATAGAAGCAGAAGAAATACATCCTAATTCATTCTATGAGGTCAGGATTACCTTAATATCAAAATCAAAAAAATTACAGAAAGAGAAAACTACAGGCCAATAGCTCTCATGAACACAGATGCAAAACTTTTCAACAAAATATTAACAAATCAAATCAAACAATGTATAAAAAGAATTGTACACCGCAACCAGTGAGATATATCTCAGGTATGCAAGTCTGGTTCAACATTCAAACAGCAATTAATAGAGTCTATCACACCAAAAGTCTAAAGAAGAAAAATCTTTATAAGAAGAAATTTTTATATCAGTAGATGCAGAAAAATCATTTAACAAAATTCAACAACCATTCATGATTAAAAAAAAAACACCTCTCAGCAAACTATGAATAGAGAAAAACTTCGTAAACTTGATTTTTAAAAAATCTACACAAAACCTACAATTAACATGACCCATAATCATAAGAAACTAGAAGCCAGCCAGGCGCAGTGGCTCATGTCTGTAATCTGTAATCCCAGCACTTTGGGAGGCCGAGGCAGGCGGATCATGAGGTCAGGAGATCGAGACCAATCTGGAAAACATGGTGAAACCCTGTCTCTACTAAAAATACAAAAAAATAATAATAATAAGCTGGGTATGGTGGTGCACGCCTGTATTCCCAGCTACTCGGGAGGCTGAGGCAGGAGAACTATTTGAACTTGGGAGATGCAGGTTGCAGTGAGCCAAGATTGAACCATTGCACTCCAGCCTGGCGACAGGGTGAGACTCCGTCCCAAAAAAAAAAAGAAAGAAAGAAACTAGAAGCCTTTCTGATAAGATTAGAAACAAAGCAAGGGTATCTTCTCTCACCACTTCTTGTTGATATTACTCTGGAATTCCTAGCTAATGCAACTAAGACAAGAAAAAAATTAAAAGGTATACAGATTAAGGAGGAAGAAATAAAATTGGCTTTGTTCACAAATGACAATTAAAGAATTGACAAAAAAAAACTTTACTTGTAATCAATAAGTGATTATAGCAAGGTGCACAATAATACAAGGTTAATATTTATAAAACTCAGTCTCTTTTCTATATACCAGCAATGAATAAGCACAATTTGAAACTAAAAATACAAAACCATTTACATTAACCCCCACAAAAATGAAATACTTTGGTATAAATCAAACAATTTTTATAAGATGTATATAAGGAAAATCACAAAATTCTCATGAAAGAAATCAAAGAACTAAACAAATGGAGAAATATTGTATGTTCATGGATAGGAAGACTAATATTGCATGATGTGAGTTTTTCTCAACTCTATCTATAGATTTAACACAATCTCAATTTAAATCCCAGAAGCTATTTTGTGGATATGAACAAACTGATTCTAATGTTTATAGAGGGAGGCAGGTGACCTAGAATTGACAATGCAATATTGAAGGAGAAGAACAAAGTCAGAGGACTGATACTACCCTACTTTAAGATCTACTAAAATGTTATGGTAGTCAAGACAGCATGGTATTGGCCAAAAAAAAAAAAAGCAGAAAAATTATTCAATAGAACAGAAGACAAAGCCTAGAAACAGACCCACATAAATATAGGCAACTTGATCTTTGACAAATGAGCAAAGGCAATACAATAAAGCAAAGGGTCTTTTCAACAAATGGTGTCAACAACTGGACATTTACATAAAAAGAATCTAGACACAGAACTTACACCCTTACAAATATAAGCATTCAATATATCATGAACCTAAATGTAAAATGCAAAACTAAAAATCTCCTAGACAATAACAGGAGAGAACCTAGATGACATTAGGTATGTAATGACTTTTTAGATACAACACCAACAGCCTGATCTGTGAAAGAAATCATTCATAAATTTGTTAAAATTAAAAACATCTTCTCTGTGAAAAACACTGTCAAAAGAATGAGAAGACAAGCCACAAACTGGGAAAAAGGATATTTGCAAATCACATATGGTAAAGTACTGTTAACCAAAATATACAAAGAATTCTTGAAACTCAACAATAATAAAAATACAACCTCATTAAAAAAATGGCCAAAAGATCTGAACAAATAACCTCACTAAAAAAGATATATGGATGGCAAAAAAAAATAGTATTTAAAAAGATACTCAATATCGTATGACATTAGGGAATGGGAAATTAAAACAACATTAAGTTATTCTCATACCACTATTAGAATGGTCAAAATCCAGAACACTGACAATGCCGAATGCTGGTTTGGATGTGGAGCAATGGGCACTCCCATTCATTGCCGGTCAGAATGTAGAATGATACACAGCCATTTTGGAAGACAGTTTGGCAGTTTCTTATAACTCTAAACATACTTTTACTATACAATTCAGCAGTGGTGCTCTTTGGTGTTTACCCAAATGAGTTGAAAATTTACATCCACACAAAAACCTACACATCAATGTTTACAGCAGCTTTATTCACAATTGTCAAAACTTAAAAGCAACCAAGATGTTCATGACTGTTTTATATATATATCCATACAGTGGAATAGGAATGAGCTCTCAAGCCATAAAAAGACATACAGGAAACTGAAATTCACATTACTAAGTAGAAGCCAATCTGGAAACACTATATACTACATGTTTCCCACTATGACATTGTGAAAAAAGGCAAAACTATGAATACAGTAAGAGGACTAGTGGTTACCAGGGATTCGGGGGAGGAAGAGAAGAATAGGGAGAGCACAGAAGATTTTTAGGGTAGTGAAACTATGATACTAGAATGGTGGATCCAAGTCATTAGCATTTGTCAAAACCCATAATAGGTACAACCTCAAGAAAAAACTCTATTGTAAACTATGGACTTTAGGTATTAATGAAGTGTCAATGCAGGTTCATCAATCATAACAAATGTACCACTCTGTTAGGGATGTAGGTAACAGGGGAGGCTGTGCATGTGTGGGGGCAGGAGGCATATGGGAACTCTGTGTACCTTACAATAATTGTTGCTGTAAAACTACTGTAAAAAATAAAATCTGGCCGGGCACAGTGGCTCACGCCTGTAATCCCAGCACTTTGGGAGGCCAAGGCGGGTGGATCACAAGGTCAGGAGATCAAGACCATCCTGGCTAACACGGTGAAACCCTGTCTCTACTAAAAAATACAAAACAAAAACAAAAAAAAATAGATGGGCGTGGTGGCGGGTGCCTGTAGTCTCAGCTACTCAGGAGGCTGAGGCAGGAGAATGGCATGAACCCAGGAGGCGGAGCTTGCAGTGAGCCGAGATCGCTCACTGCACTCCAGCCTGGGCAACAGAGCTAGACTCCATCTCAAAAAAATAATAATAAAAAAATAAATAAAATACATTTTTTTAATACTGACTTCATATTGGCCTTGTCTGACACAATTCCTGTAAGGGTCTTGGGCATCTTATTTCATCTTCACAAGTGTCCCCACTCAGTTACCAATTTAATCTTTGCTGGCTTGGCTGGAGTGGAGCCAGTTTTTCTGCAGTATTTGGATAAAGCAGAGTAGCTATTTTCTAAAAGTTTCCTGTCTTAATAGACTGCCCCTTTCCTGATCCTTTGACTAGTGAAAGCATCTGTTTGCTGCTGGGACTTGTTGTCTGTGCTCTAATTGGCATTTGTGGGTTGCCTGCTCCTTCAGTTACATGTGCAAGTGACACAAGGCGAAAAGAAAATCGAGCGAGTTCACTGCTGTGTCATTCCTCTGGTCCTGAGAAAGCCTTCTGCCTTCATTACATATAAAATGTATGTCCAAGGTTTTTAGTTGTACTTAGTAGGAGGAATAGGTGAAAGTATTTGCAATTTATCTTTTCAGGAGCACAAGTCCCAATGCAATAATTTAAAAAATCAAAATTAATGCAAAAATGCATGATGAATATTACTAAAGTGTCCTCTTCTCTGAGCCTCCAATGTGGCCCTGTGCAGCACCATTATTGATCTTGCCTATATGTAACATTTAGAATTTGCCCTCCTTTAGCAAAGAAAACAACAACCAATGGCTTAAACAAAAGGGCATGGTTTTTTGTTTTTTGGTTTTTGTTTGTTTGTTTGTTGTTGTTGTTGTTGTTGTTGTTGTTGTTGCAGAGAGGAAGTCCTGAATCAGCAGCTCTGGGCTAGGAGAGGCTCCATAGCATTATCAGGAATTTGGGCTTCTCCCTATTTCACCATCTTTAGCCTGTGGACTCTTTTTCAAGGTCACTTTGTGGTATTCATGGCCAGTTGAGGCCAGAAGGAGGAAGAATGGCTGGAGAGCACAGATGGGCTTACGTTCAGCTGAAGCAGCATTTTTCAAGTAGCCTTTCCACAAATCCTACGCATTTCCATTCACATCTTCCTGGTAAAGAGATCCTTTTGCCTATTCTAGCTAAACACGAAGGTTGAATATAGTCTTCAGTTCTGAGCTGCAATATGCTCAGCTAAGAATCAGGGTTATCTATTTGAGGAAGAAGAAGAGATCAAATGTTGGAGAAAGGGAATTAACAATCTCTGCCATACATATGCCACTTGGTAAGTGCCCAAAGTCTGAAGGAGACTGGCCCAATTGCTGTATATCTCACAATGTTGTAAATGTTGGTAAATAGGAATAATTTTCTTTGGAGGGAAAAGCAAAGTCAAAAGCAGTAAGTATAAATGCAAGACCTCAAGGTACATGCACACTAAGCACTGCTGGAAAACATCAACACTCACAGTTCCTGTCCACCCTTTTCCTGGGGCTGACTTGGAAGTTCTCACTTATCATCCTGGTCAATGTGAATGGATGCTATTTTAGATCCAAAGGGCAATACGTCCTGTTCGCTGAAACAAAGTGTATGTTTTTATTTCCCAATATCAATCCCATCACTCTAGACATTTAAGAGGCAAGTTCTCATCAGCATTCGGGATACTGTGGATGATATCAATACATTCACATTTCCCGCTGTTAAACTCTCTGTTTTCACTGCTGACAGCTTTATGGGGTGGATATAAAGTTTTCTTGGGCAGCTCATCAGTCCTACAGCAGCATACCTATTCGAGAAGGAGGGACAGAGCCCATTATTGTAGCAATTTTGAACAAGGTCAAGAGTTTTTCTGGCATGACCCAACCAATGCAATAACAGGACAATAGCTCCAAGCCAAGGGCTGAAAGGCAGAATTTTATTAAATCTTCAAGGAAAAGGGCAAAAAAAAAAAAAAAAAAAGCCATGCATCTGCAACAGAAAAATTTGTGTTTTTTTAAAGGCTAAAAATAAATAAACAAATAAAATCACAGAAAAAATATAAAGCACACATGGAGTAAAACATACCTGTTCTTTTTTTTTAGTTTTCAATGATTTTTTCATTGTTTTTTAATTTTTAGTTTTCATTGATTTATATATTTTATATAAATATGTGTAAATTTTTATATTTACATACCTTTTGATATATTTATACATTTAAATACAAATATATTTCATTCACCTGATTTACAGATTTTAATATAACACAGCTTTTTAAAGGTTAATTCAGAAAATACTCTCATATACTTCAACTTGGAAGAGCAGGTGAAAAAAAATAAAGACATAACACTTGAAATGACCTTGTCAACTGGAAAACACTATCCAGATATTAGGAAGAGGATTCTGGCATTACCACCATCCATGAGCTAAGCGTGCAGTCTTACCTCTCAGAGAGATGAAAATATTCCCCAAAGGTACACGTTTAGAAGGAGTCAGAGTCAGGACTCAAACCGACATAAACTTCTACCTGCAAAATACATGCTCCTGTCCAGGTATAGGGACACAGTAGGCATGAATAGCAGTGACGCAAAGTGCAACAGCCAAGCCATACTGGAGAACAGCCGAGAACAGGAGTGGCCTGGTGCCGGGGTTCCCCAGGGTTCATGAATCCCGACAACACCTTCTGCCACACACTTAGCTAAGGGTCTTCATGTTTCTTATACCTATTACTCATTTTTTGAAAATGTGATATTCCTGTGTAATCCATGTTCATAGCTCTCCAATTCTTTTCTACCCTTGAGCCACACAAAGTGCCTCTGGTGGTGAATTAGGAGGAACTGTGCAAAGGATTAAACAAAAATCACCACATCACTTGACCTTAGAGGAAGATGAAGTTAAAGGCCCTTTCCTCCCCTAGGCTGATGATTTCTTACTCTGATTAACGAGGTTAGCAGGAAAAAGCCATTCTGCACCCAACTCCACTTCATTTATTGTAAGACTGCACACAATTGTATGAGAAGGCAACAACTGCCCAGTTGGTCACTGGAGAGTTTCTGTCTCTCCCTCTCTGACCCACTCACTTCTATTGGCCAAGTGCTCTCAGTGTGGGGCCACTAGTCCCAGGGCACTTTGAAATGGGGATGTGTGTTCCTCCATTCAGTACCCATTTCTCTAACTTGCCCATTATCTCTCTTCTAGAATTCTCAAGAAAATAGTTTTTAATTCATTAGCAACTTGTTAGCACTGGGTTGCTGTATCAATTCTTTTTATTATTATTATTATACTTTGAGTTCTAGGGTACATGTGCATAATGTGCAGGTTTGTTACATATGTATACATGTGCCATGTTGGTGTGCTGCACCCATTCACTCATCATTTACATTAGGTATATCTCCTAATGCTATCCCTTCTCCCCTCCCGCCACCCCACAACAAGCCCCGGTGTGTGATGATCCCCTTCCTGTGTTCAAGTGTTCTCATTGTTCAATTCCCACCTATGAGTGAGAACACACGGTGTTTGGTTTTTTGTCCCTGCGATAGTTTGCTGAGAATGATGGTTTCCAGCTTCATCCATGTCCCTACAAAGGACATGAACTCATCATTTTTTATGGCTGCATAGTATTCCCTGGTGTATATGTGCCATATTTTCTTAATCCAGTCTATCTTTGATGGACAATTGGCTTGGTTCCAAGTCTCTGCTATTGTGAATAGTGCTGCATAAACATATGTGTGCATGTGTCTTTATAGAAGCATGATTTATAATCCTTTGGGTACATACCCAGTAATAGGATGGCTGGGTCAAATGGTATTTCTAGTTCTAGATCCTTGAGGAATTGCCACATTGTCTTCCACTATGGTTGATCCAGTTTACAGTCCCACCAACAGTGTAAAAGTGTTCCTATTTCTCCATATCCTCTCCAGCATCTGTTGTTTCCTGACTTTTTAATGATCGCCATTCTAACTGGTGTGAGATAGTATCTCATTGTGGTTTTGATTTGCATTTCTCTGATGGCCAGTGATGATGAGCATTTTTTCATGTGTCTGTTGGCTGCATAAATGTCTTCTTTTGAGAAGTGTCTGTTCACATCCTTCGCCCACTTTTTGATGGGGTTGTTTTTTTCTTGTAAATTTGTTTGAGTTCTTTATAGATTCTGAATATTAGCCCTTTGTCAGATGAGTAGATTGCAAAAACCTTCTCCCATTCCGTAGATTGCCTGTTCACTCTGATGGTAGTTTCTTTTGCTGTGCAGAAGCTCTTTAGTTTAATTAGATCCCATTTGTCAATTATTAAGACAGATGTTAAAGTTAACAGAGGAACTTGAAAAAGAAAATCTCCTAATGCTAAGATAATACTTGCCTGTGAATTCAACGCTATGGAGAAAATAGGTAGGGATGTTGGAACTTTCAGTCACTCCCTAGAGACTTCTGTCAGGATCAACCTGCTCCCAAGGGTCGAATTTGAGCTCCCTGGCAGGCTTCTGACTTGAAGGAAATATGTGGAGAATAGTCATATCCTTTGTCCTCTGAAGTGCCACTGGTTTCTGTGGGCACTGGAAAAATCCAGAGATTGAGAACAGTTTGAAAAAAAGGTGCTTTTGTAATTGAGAGAAATGTCTACAGCTGTGACTTTCGCCTCACGGATTCTATGAGATCTCTTTTATTTTGCAATTCAAGACTGCATGGGTAGCAAAAAAAAATTATGTGGCATATCAGAAGCATTAAGTAAAATTTAAAATAGTAGAATAATACATCCGGTCACATCACTGTATATAATCCTGTTTAAGAAATGGTTCCTTCCTTTGTTTGTTTAACTTAGTCTAAAATTCCATCAGATATCTGAGGCATCATTATAAGATTTTAAACCAAGATTAGTTCAGCATGTTAAGGAGGAAGAAAATATTTCTCTTCAGAAATTTAGTAAAAATGGGTTGAAATGTTGAATACCATTCCTCTCAAATAAAGCTGACAGAATATAAATCACCCTTAATGTGTCTTATCCTCTTTAAAAAATGCACCAGGAGAAAATGGTCTCTGCTCTTCGTATACTTTGAAGGGTTTTAATCCTCATTCATTTTCTGACTTAGGTGCAAAACAAAGGACACTGAAGACCAAGGCAAGAGTTGGGTTTTCATACTAAATGAGATTTCTGGTTTATTTAAGATGTCGCCCAATCCAGAAATCATAATCTCAGAACAGCTGCCAAATTAGGTGGCAGTTCTGGGTTTTCCTATCACCTGACATTTTCCGAGTTTGCCCTTTGTCCAGACCGAGTTCATTTTCATGTTAATCAAATTTGTTGAGTTACCAGGCGGGCAGGACCACCTGACCTTGTGAAGCTAGCTCATCTGTTTCTCAAATCACAAGCAGTCCCTGGTAAGAAGTAATTCTTGTTAATAAGAAGTAGAAACCCCCATTCGTGACCAAAACAACTTTTAATTAGAAATACACAAAAAAAGAGCATTTTCTGTAGATATTCTCCACTTAAGAATTAAAACATTAAATATTTATGTTTTAAATAGAAAATACACCTTAAAAAGTCTAGGACCCTACTGCATTGAAGCCTATAATTACAGGAATAATCCATATATGATTGCTTTCTCAAATTAGAAGCACTAATTACCTCAGCAAGTTAGTCTTGGATTCATTTGGTGTGGACTTATACCTTTATGCATGAGTGTTGCTAAGCCAGGATGATCCAAGCAACCTTAAAAAATCTCCTTTATCCGCAGGCCTAGGCTGTTTGAGCTCAGTCAGTATTCATGAGAAATGTCCTGGCAATTAGTAGTGAAAGAACAGAGAGAGTTTGATAAACTAAAGCTCAGAAAATCTTTAGGATTCAAAATGGTGAGATAGTTTAAGGTAGAAATTTATCACATAGATTTCAATTCTGGATTCCTAAAAACAGATGTAGCAGAGGATTTCAGGTACAGACTGATAAGCCCTTCTTTCCATGGGGTGCCCAGTAAAGCATGGTATTGAAAATCTGTGGTTAACTTTGACACAGAGAGGAACGATGTCATAGAGTTTCTTAAGTACCTAGTCAGCGATAGGCACTCTAGGTTAACATGACAAAGGCTAAAGTTTTCTATAGAAAACATAAGGATACTCTTGGCTAAATTAAGGCTGTATTAAGTTTAATTAGAGCTGTCAGAACAGAATCTGTAACAAGGAATCCAGATTCTGAAAACATCTAGGTGCCAAGGTCATTCAGATTTTATTGACCTGAGGACCTGAAAAGGGAACTGATCATGGGGAGCATTGTCGCTGCAACAAGACAAAGTACTCGATGCTTTCGGCAGACATCATTTCATCTTAACACAGACCTTATGAAGTGGGTATTATGAATCTTCATGTTCACATAGTTTACTAGTAAGTTATGGCACCAGGTTCAAGTCCAGGCCAGTGTGACTCCAAAGCCCATACATTTCCCACTGCATTATACTGTTTATGTGGAGGAGGCAGTAGGCATTGGACAGTAAGTAAAATTAAGTTAGCTAAATTACAAATGCATTCACGCTTCGACCTAACCATTCTACTTGGAGTAATTTACTTTGAAAATATACCTGCAGAAGTCCAAAACATAATTCCCAAAGTTATTGACTGCTGCATTATTTGTATTAGTAAAAGCCAGGAAAGAACACTGAATGTATCATAATAAGAGAGAGGTAAAATGAGAAATGATGCAATTATACATTAAATTACTATGTAGCCATATAAAAAGGCTGAAGAAAATAAATATACACTTACATGGAATAATCTTTAGAATCAATTAATTAAAAAACTAAGATGAAGAACACTGTATATAATGTTAACATTTATGTGAGAAATGAGAGGAAATAAGAACATATATATATGACTTTATGTATTATACACATCCTTAAAGTAAGAATCATCAGAAAAAACAACCATTTTTTAAATGTTTACCTAGAGATGGTAGAGAGCTATGGGGTGAGGGGACAGAAATAGAAATTAAATCTCTCTGAACTTGTTGTTCTGATTTTTAAACCACGTAAACATCATACAATGCCAAAAAGTAAATAATAATAAAATAGAAAAACAAAGCAATAAAAATTTTAAAGTGAAAATTTGGAAGAGATAATTTATTTGGAGGAGATAATTATTTTACTGTCATTAAAAACAGCACTGATCTAACACTGGGATATATTCTAAGACAAAAAAAATAGGAAAATAAAAGTAAAACTTTACCCAGAAATTTTGTTTTGTTTTCCTCAGTGGCAATATTTATTTCCTTGTTTTGAATCATTTTTGTGAATATTGTATTATGCTACAAATAAATAGTTGTTTGTTATTTTATATCAAGATTTCATTTGTAAGGGAAAAGAGATACAAATCTAAAGTTCAAGAAGCTAAGTAAATCTCTTGTTCAAGTTAAAATAAAAACAAAATGATAAATTCATGATTTTAAAAAACGTATCCATGAAAGAGCCAAAGAGCAATAATACCTGAGTAGTATTGGGCACCACTTATGTCCAAAATTTGCTTTCTATACACCATTCTTCTCTAAAGGTGACCATCCTTATTTCTGAAAATAATAGATCTGTTTCCAGATCTAATAGGGAAAGTAGAGCGTTGTAACATTTGTTGGTCCCGGAAAGCAAAAAGTATTCCAAGACCAATGGAGTTCTGTCAAAAGGACCCAGGGCCCAGTCAAAAGGGATTCTATCAATCAAAGTTGAAACAATCTGAGTAACAAAATAAAGAAGAATGTATTTTATTGAAGCATATCGAATATATACAATTTCAGACTACAACGATACACACATACCCCTACACACTCACATAAAAAAAAAGCTTCCATTAGAAATGGAAGTACATCTATCTCTTATACCAAGTCCTTCTGTGGAAATTGGTAAATTAATGAATTAAGTGATTATACTTTTATTTTATTGACCATAAAGTGTCACCAAATAGCCCTAATTGATGAGGGAAAACTTTTATTATAGAAAAGCATTGAATAACAATTATAGATGAATGACAGGGGAAATACCACCACCATTTAATAGCTCCTAATAAGTATTTGATTCAGGCAAGGAGCAAGAATGAATGCTAAAATCATTAACTGGCAAGTTGATGGTGCTAAAAATACTGGCACACAGATAATTTCCTAATTGTAAAGGGAAAAAGATAACTTTACAATGGAGAAATCTGATTGCCACTGTCATGAAAAATGAATCAACCAATCATTTTATGCCTCCTGATAGGTTGCAACATGAAGTACCTAACATCATCAATAACTTATTTTGTTAAACTGTGGTTAAATATAAACAACATAAAATGTACTATTTTAACTGTTTTAAGTGAACAGTGACATTAAGTGCATTCATATTGACATGCAACTATCACCACCATCTATCTCCAGAACTTTTTATCTTCCTAAACTTACCACCCATTAAACACTAACTTCCTACCTTCTCTTCAAAGCTATGGTGACCATCATCCTACTTTCTGTCTCTAAGAATTCGACTACTCTAGGTACCTTATATATGTGGAATTATACAATATATAGTGTTCTTTGTGACTGGCTTGTTTCACTTACCAGTGCTTCGATGTTGTAGCATGTGTCAGAATTTTCTTCTTTGTAAAAATGAATAATATTCTATTGTGTATATTATACTAATCATTGTCTGAGCATTGGGCCTATTTATTCCCCCTAAAATTATCATTTATGAACCCTCAAAATGGCCATATTTCTCTGATATTCTCTTCCCCTATTAAGATGGATATACAACTATGTGTACCTCATTCGGTCATTGGATAACTATCCTGAAATTCTCCAGTGCTTATGCACATTAAATTTATTTGTATGCCTTTTTCTCCTACTAATCTGCCTCTTTATCAGTTCATTTTTAGTGAATCTTTATCAGTGGATTTCTCACAAGAGAAATCCTTCCTTTAGATTGTTATATGTTATATAACAAATTTATATAATTATATAATAAATATATATTATATAACACATATTATATAACAAATTTGTTCATTCATGCAACCTTTGATGGACACTTAGGTAGCATCCACCTTTTGGCTACCATAGATAATGGTGCTATGACCATGAGTGTATAAAGATCTGTTCTACCCACTGACTTCAATTTTGGGGGGTATATACTCAGGAGTGGAATTGCTGAATCATATAGTAATTCTATGTTTAGTTCTTTCAGGAATTGCTTTACTGTTTCCCACAGCAATTGCATCATTTTACATTCTTATGAGCAAGACAAAAGGGTTCCAATCTCTCCACATTCTAGCCAAAAATTGCTTTTTCTGGTTTTGTTCGTTCGTTTGACAATAGCCATCCTAATGGGTGGTAATTGGAATCACATGGTGTCTCTCCTGCTATTATTGTAGATCTGCCTTCAATTCTGTCAATATTTGCTTCATATATTTAGAGCTCTGATGTTTGGTGCATACAAATTTATAATTGTTATATCTTTGATTAATTGACCCTTTCATTATTATACAAGGTCCTTCATTATATCTTGCAACGGTTTTTGACTTAAAGTCTATTTTGTCTGATATCAGAATAGGATCTCTGCTTTCTTTTAGTTAATATTTACATAGAATTTCCCACCCTTTATTTTTCACTTTCAACCTATGCATATCCTTAGATCTAAAGTGACTATGTGGTAGACAGCATATAGCTAGATCCTTTAAAACAAAAATCATTCCATCAATCTATGTCTTTTGTTGGAGAGTTTAACCCATTTAAATTTAAAGTAATTACTGAAAGAGCAGCACTTACTTTTGAAATTTTGTTCTTTATTTTTCATATATCTTATAGCAGTTTTTGTCTCTTGTTTCCCGTATTACTATTTTTTTGCTTATTTAATTTTTTATAGTGACATATTCTAATTACCTTCTCATTTTATTTGTGTATATTCTATAGATATTTTCTTTTTGGTTACCATGTGGATTATATTTAACCTCCTGAAGTTATAATAATCTATCTTAAATGAATGCCAACTCAATTTCAATTGCATACAAAAACCCTACTCCTTTGTAGCTCTGCCCCCTTTATGTTACTTAGTCATAAATTACCTCTTTATATATGTGTACCTGTTAACAGATTTATAATCAATTTTATGCATTTGTCTTTTAAACCTTATCAAAAATAAAAGATTGAATTATAAGCCAAAACTACAGTAACAATTTTTAAAAATGTCTTTGTACTTACCTTTATCAGAGAACTCTATATTTTTGTATGGCTTTTGAGCTACTATCCAGCATCCCTTCATTTCAACTTGAAGGACTACATTTGGAATTTTTTGTAGAGAAGATTTAGTGGTTATGAACTTTCACAGATTTTGTTTATCTGAGAAAGTCTCAACTTCTCTCTGTTTTTTGAAGAACAGTTTTGCCACATACAGAATTCTTCACTGATGGTTTTGTTTCATTTATTTTTTTCAGCTTTGTGTATGTATCATCCCACTGACTTCTGGCCTTCAATGTTTCTTCTGAGAAATCCACTGATAATCTGGGGACACACTGATAATATTGGGAAATTCTGTGATTTATCCATGACATGAATAGTCATTCTGCTGTTGTTCTTCTCAAGATTCTTTGTCTTTGACTTAGCAATTTGATGATGATGTGTCTCACTGTGGGTCTCTTCGAGTTTGTTGATCATTGAGCTTCTTACACTTGTAGACCCATGCCTTTCCTCAAATTTTGAAAGTTTACAGCTATTATGTTTTTCAAATAATCTCTCTACCCTTTTCTCTCTTTCTTCTCCTTCTGAACTCATATAGTGTATTTGTCTGTTTAACGGTGCCTCGTAAGTTCCTTAGGTTCTCTTCACTTTTCTTAATTCTTTTTATTCCTCAGACTAGATAATTTCAAATGTCCTGTTTTCAAATTTTCTGATTCTTTCTTCCGTCTGCTTGAGTCTCTTGTTGTATTCCTGTAGTAAGTTTTTTAATTCAATGATTATATTTTTCAGCTTCGGGACTTCTGTTTTGTTCTTTTTATTAAATAGTTTCTAGCTCTTTGTTGCTCTTCTCATAGTGTTCATTTATTACTTTCCTAAGTTTCTTTAGTTATCTGTCATGTTTTTATTTAGCTCTGCAAATATTTAAGACAGTTATTTTAAAGTATTTTTCTAGTAAACATGATGCTTATGTTTTTTAGGGATAACTTCTGGAGATGTATTTTCTTCCTTTGAATGTGCCACAATTATTTGTATGACAAATATGGGAAAATGTTCTAATTGTTTGATTTAGGTAGAGGATATATGGGTAGGAATTGTACTATTCTTCCTGCTTTAAAAGATATTTAAAACTATTAAAAATAAAATGCTCAAAATTCAAGCGGTCTAAGTAGAGTAGAACAGGATTAAACCACTTATAAGAGCAGAAACTTGTGGTGGAAACAAACAGGGAGTTGCAGTAGCTAAACACAGTTCACAGTAGTTGGAATACTCCTCAGTCCCACTGATTTTTCTCTTACTCATGTTTCTCTAGTACATATGTGTTAGACAATAATAAGCTGGGGATGCTTGTACCTGTAGATCTCAGATGAGGTTGATACTTTCCTTCTCCATAGATTACAGGCAACATAAATATAGAAGCAGTATTTTTTGTTCCTTTTGTCACTCCTTATAGCATCTACCTTTACAGACACTGCCATGGTTATAAAAGACCAAGAGGCTTATGAAAATTTTAAGAGGGGAGTGACAATGATAAACATTGTTATAATTTTCTACTTCAACCTTTGTCCATACTTCTGTGCAATGTGACTTTACAGTACTTCCCATCAAAAGGTGGAATCTATTCCTTAATTGTTTGCATCTGGGCTGTGACTTGCTTTGACCAATAGAATGCAGCAGAAATTATATTTGTACCAGTTCCAAACCTACTCTTCAGGAGGCCTTGCATGCCTACACTCTCTCTCAGAATCCTCCCATCCACCTTGTGAACCAATACAGGCTAGCCTGTTGTGTATTAAAAGATACTTGCTCAGTTCTCCCCGATACCCCAGTTAACAGGCAGCCAACCTGGCTGACCATAAGCTGACAGATGCATAACTGACAACAGAGCAGAATAACTGGACAGCTGAGCCTAGCTCAAATTGCTGACTCACAGAACTGTGAGCTAAAAAAAATTGTTATCTTTTAAGAGATGGGGGTCTTGCTATGTTGCCCAGGCTGGCTACAAACTTCTGTTCTCAAGCAATCCTCCCACCTCAGTCTCCCAGCTGAGACTACAGGTACATGCCAGAGCAAATGTCTCAAATGGTGGATGTTTTAAGCCACTCAATTTGAGGTGGTGCTTTGCACAGAGAAAGATAGATGATGCTAAAGATGAAGGGGGATGATTTTAAAAGGAAAGAGAGAAGAAAGAAAAAAATAAAAGACTTCCTGAGCATATGTATGACTTCTTTTCGTGGATCTCTTAAACCTACATTTTATTTAATCATAGTTTCTGTTGCATTGGTAGCATTCAGCAAACACACAAAAGTTATGTTGCATTACTTATATTTTCTCATGCATGGGATTTGAAATATTTTTACAGATAAAAGAACTCATTATAATTCAGGAGAGTTTATCTTATTTGCCATTAGTTCATATCTACAGAAGGAGCATCTGTCTTCCAGCAATAGGTAGCTACTTAGTCTCATCTATCAGTTTTCCCTTTGATCAAGCCCACAAACCAGAACATTGTTGCTTTCCTGTGTCTGTTACGACTTTACTTTTTTAACTGCTTTACTTTTTTAAAGCTGTTAATAGAGTGCTAAGTGAGGTGACACCTCAGACACTGACTAGATTCCAGAAGACACAAGAATTCTGGTCCCCAATTCGAAGCTCCTAATTTCTTCCTCTACCTCCACCATACACCACCTCTGAGTATAAGACAATATACCAGGAAATACATGATGAATCTTATCCAGTAAAAAACTACTAGCAAAGACCTAAAAAATGATCAATATCAAAGTCTACACTAAAGGTATTTATTTGAAATATTTATTCACAATTAGAAAGTCAGCGTGCTGTCTTGATCCTGTGTAAGGATCTCAAAGAATATCTGTGGACAGAGAAGATTAAAGAAAAAGTAGAAGAAGTAAATTTAGAGAAATATCAAATTAAAGAATCGCTCAAGTGCCTACCCTTCTCCCTCCGCCTCACCTTTTCCCTCGCCCCATCAAAGGTTTTGAAAAATTGTAAGAAGTCTGGGGAATTTGGAGGCTGAGCAGAGCAGAGATGCTTATGTTCGCCAGAGAATACGTTGGAATAAAATAGAAGAAGCAGAAGAGACATCTGATCTACTTCTGCTTCTGTAATATTGGCTTCAGCTACCTTTCTCTTGGGTCCTGATCTTCTCATTCAGTGAGATGCTCTGACAGATTGAAATAAAGTGATTAATGCCAATAAATTTAATTAATGGACCTGTCAAGCAGTTCAGCTGCAGTAGTTAATGTACTTCTGTGGCCCTCTCATCCCTCCCCACCTAGGGTGAGAAGGACAGGAAACCAGTGGCTCCCAAAACACTATGCAAGAGAATTGCCCAGATATTTTAGTTAAAAAGGTAGACAAGGCTCCATCCCTGACCCACACTGAAATCAACGTATTTAAGGATGGGGGCCTACTAATTCAAATTCAGAAAACTATCCCAGTTAATTTTCCTGCAGCCATTCAGATGCTGGTTCATGGATAAAATTTTGGAAATCACTGGAGAAGATGAAATTAAGATCAAGACTTTATGATGTGATATTTGTAGACATTTTGGTAGAGTTAGTTTACTTCTATAGAATTAGTTTGGACATTTCCATAAATATGTCATTTGAGTGAAACTCTAAAGCAGGCAACACAAATATAAATACCACAGAATAAACAGGCAAGTAGAAAGTGCCAAAAATCAGAGACTAAAGCCCTCTCTAAAAGTCATAATCCATTACTGCCATTTAGAAATGAGGGCTCAGTGCAATTGTTCAAATACATACAAACATTTAGATATTTTAAAGTGAAATTTCTTAATTTTAAAATTGTAACAACTTAGTTGTAAAAACTTAAAATACTGTTTTAATGCCTAACTGGATGCTTCTATGGGTCTGAACATGATTGCTCTGTGAGCTCCCTTTAGGTATCCGCAAATAAGTTGTTACCTTTGTATAATTTCAAACTATAATAAACATTCTGAAGTATTCCAAGTATCAAAAGATGTTAAGCACAACAAAAAATTACCCCAGACTGAGTAATGACTAATCTTTACCAAATATAATTTTTTCACTTGGTATGCATTAGGGTAGTATAGACATCATTCTAAACACAACTTGTATGGGGCTCAGCAGCACCCCCTCCCCAAACACAAACATGAACCCACACAGATATTATCTATCAGGGTCTATCTGTATGATGTTATATACACCAGGTGTTTATTTTAGGCTGGAGGAGGGCACCTTATTCAGGGAGACTTGGGATAATGAGATAATGAAACAACTACTACTACTGGCAGCGCTTCCTGAGCTGTGGTTTTTGACTCCTTGTGGAGAAAGATGTTAAAACCACAAGATAAAATAGCTGTTTCCTTGAGTCTTTATGGGACTCTGAGTACAAGTGCTGCTTGGGGGCCTGGGTAAGAAGGTCAACACAAGCCAGGTGATTGGTATTCTCTACTTCTCTCTGGTTACTCTATAGCTCCAGCACCTGGAGGGCTGAAGGAGACTATAGCTTCATTTGGTGTCATGAGACGCTGCAGCTTTTATGGAGGTGGGGTCAGGGCCTCAGCGTCATTTGGAGGGGCAGCCCTGACAGTGCCAAATGATGGACTTTGAGTCACTTGTGAGCAGGCACCACCTACAAAGACACCACAGGTGATATAAGCCAATTTGTTCCTGTATCTCAATGAAACTATGCAGGCAACTCCCAGAAAATTGATGCCTCTGCACCACATACCTACCACCATCACCATCCATGGCCCTACTGAAAGCCTTATTTACCCTAATGATTTCTGTTAAGGATAGACCTAAGCCAATTTAGCCATTCAGAGTCATCAGGTTCTCCCTGGTAAATATTGGTTGCCTCCAGTGACTAGTGATGGCTGGAGCCAGTTGTTTTCTCTACAACGTTATTGCTAGATGCTATGTTAAAAAAAATACAAATTCTGAAACAAGTATCAATATTTATTAATGAGCAGGCATCAAAACATGCAAACAATGAGGTCTTGCAAACTTGAGGAACTGCTAGCTCTCTACCCTTCCCACTCTTCTCTTTTGCACTCCACAAGGCCACTAACAGCTCATCCTGAGACAACCCTACAAATACTCTGATGGCAGAAAAGCAATGTTTGTAGTCTCATAGAGCAAATAATTCTCTATTAGGCGAGAAAGTTGTGAATAAGTGGAGTTTTAGAGCTGAGGTGCTGCTCAAAAAATATTAGCCTGCTGGGATCACAGAGGATTGATCATGCAAGACTAGATTTTTCTGTACAGACTTTTCCAGCCAACAGCTATTGAATGCTATTTATTTCTCCAACAACATATTTTTAATATTCCTTATGTCAGTTAATAAACCCTCCAGTACTGAATCAGACTGTGATATGTGAAACATATTCCGTGTAGCTACTTCTGTAAAGTGTGAACTGTGGGATACAGTTTTCTAAATTCCAAACGACCACCTCTGAAGCATCTTTAAATGGAAATTGCTGGGTAGCATTCTTTATTTATGTGATCATCCCTGCAATATAGATTCATGTTAACTTGCACACACATCCACACCTCACACTCTCCAGACACATTTTAGATAATAGAATAATATCCCACAGAACATTATTTTTGGACAAGGAACCTATTTATAGTGAATTAACATTACAGTAAAGGAGATCAAGCTCGTGGGTTTCACTGATCCTACTCTCTATTCAATTGTTTAGAAGCAGCTGGCTCTGTAAAATAGAATGGTATATGAAGACTCTGGCACAATGTTAATTAGGAGAAAATACCACATGAGACAGAGGTGTTGCTCACAGGCTTGGTATCCACTCTAAACAGCAACCAACAAGAGGCTCTTTCCCCCTGAATATATAGGCACAGAATTTAACTGGTTGAAGTCAAAGGAGTCCCTCTTATTTTTATACACATAATGGTCTTCTCACAAAATTTCACCTTATGCAGCAGCAAATATATACCTCCTTGATAAGCAAGATCAATTTTATTGGCCAATATCCCAATATTATAAACCTCCTTTCCTTCTGTTGAATCAGTGGCTGGAGAAGCCCAAATTTATCAAGTGGATGTCTCAGCTTCACATACAATGGAACCATTGTTTAGTCTCCTGCTGGAAGCACCAGTGTTCTCCTGAAATATTAAAATCTTAAAACCATGGGAGCCTGAGGTTTATCTTGTATTGGACAATGAAAAGAGTGGTATATGGCAGTAATGAGACTTGTTGCCTGATCATTTAATATGATTTGGCTGTGTCCCCACCCAAATCTCATCTTGAACTGTAGCTCCCATAATTCCCATGTGTTGTGGGAGGGACCTGGTCAGAGATAACTGAATCATGGAGGCGGTTTTCCCCATACTGTTCCTGTGGTAGTGAATAACTCTCGAGAGATCTGATGATTTTATAAGGGATTTCCGTTTTTGCTTGGCTCTCTCATTCTGTCTTGTCTGCTGCCATGTTAAGACATGCCTTTCCTCCACCATGATTGTGAGGCCTCCCCAGCCACATGGAACTGTGAGTCCATTAAACCTTTTTCTTTATAAATCACCCAATCTCGGATATATCTTTATCAACAGTGTGAAAATACCATTATTTGAATCTCCTTTCAATATTTGGGGAATTCTTGATGAGAAGCACAACATACCTCCCCACTATAAAAGCTGATTATTCCAGGTAACCACTCTCCAAGCCTCTTTTGTAGTTAGTGCATGGCATATGGTCTAAGCATAGCTAATAACAAGCACTCATTCTGGAACTTGAGTAAGAAACTGATGAAACAAAGAATCAAGATAGGAGGAAACTTCTCTGCAAGCAGATGAGAGGTACATCTAGCTTCCAAGGTCACCAAGCTATGAAATGCCAGCAACAGCATCCAGTGATGAGTGTCACAATGAGCTCGATGCCCACTATAGTGCTCAGGGATCATATTAATTTTCTATTACTGTATAACAAATTATCACCATCTTAGCCCTAAAAACAACACACATTGATTTTCTCACCAATCTGTATGGCAGAAGTCCAGGTGGGTAAGACTGACTTCTCCATTGCAGGTTTCACAAGGAAGAAATCAAGGTAGTGGCCAGTCTGAGCTAATTTCTAGAGGCTCTGGGGAGAATCTGTGCAGAAGAGTGGCTCTTCCATGGTTTCCTGGTGACTTTTCATGTATTTACATAGCTCATGCATGCAAAGGCTTGAACCACAGCTTACCTGAGCTTTAGAAGAATGCTTTGTGACCCTTCCAGAATAGGAGAGGCTAGGAGGATGATGAGGAGCTTCTGTGAGGCCATCTCCCACTGAACCTACCTCTCCCAAGAGGCATTCATGAGATGATATGGTTTATTGTGGCTTCCCAGGTTATGGTGAGGGATGGGAATGTCTTCTCTGCTCCTCTGAAAATGGAGCTGTAGGATATGAGACTGCCTAGCTATAGTGTAGAATTAGCTCCTCAGCAACACCATAGCCCGTAATCCATATTACAGCCCCCTTTTGTTTCTGTATCATTCTTTCTGCTGTGAGGTATTAGGACCATAGGGAACTGCAGCCCTTGGTTAATCTTCCCTCTTGCTGTCTATATAAGTAAATCAGCTGTTTGAATCTAAAAGTGGCTTATTGTATTTTTACTAGTTTAAACAGTAAACGAGTCTTGCCTTGTCTTGGGTTTGCTTGGAGACCTGCTTCCAAGCTCATCCAAGTTGTTGGCAGAATTTAGTTTTTTTGTGTATGTGGGCTGAGTCTCCCATTTTTGCTGACTGTCTGCTAGGAATGGCTCTCATCTCCTTAAGGCTCCAGTCAACCCTCATCATGTTGCCACCTCCATCTCCACACCAGCAATGGTGCAATTTTTCTCATGCTTCAAATCTCTCCAACTTCTCCATCAGATCTCTTCTTTCTCCTTTCAGAAAAAGTTCTGTGTTTTAAGGCTCATATTATAACATTGGGCCCACCTGGGCAACATGGAATAGTCTCCCTATTTTAAGGTTCATAAACTTAATTACATTTGCAAAGTCCCTCTTGTCATGTAAAGTAACAATGTAATGTCACAGGCTCTGGAATTACGGTGTGGATATCTTTTGGGATACATTCTGCCAACTAAAATTGGAAATGATGTTGGCATCTCATCAGACCAGATTTATGGCACAATTTTGACTCTTGCTGTGCCTAGATGGCTTTCAAGCTTGGTTCTACAGCACTTCTAGCTACTCAAGCTACTGTGAGCTGCTCAATATTCCTCTATAAATCCCTCTCCTGCTTGCAGAGTCAACTTTTATTTCTTGCAAGTAAAATTCTAACTGATACAGATCCACATCATTTTTAGCACTGTTGACAAATATTGGATGACATTTCTTAGGGCTTAAAAATTTTTGCCAAATGATCATAGCCCATAGACTGGCATACAAATATATCCTTCACAACTTTAAAATAACAATGACATCTTGGCATAAAAAGCTTCCTTTTCTTTTTTGAGACAGTCCCCTCTGGGGCTTGTGGTATCAATGTCTGTAACTGTCTTATGAAATAATTCCTTATTCTCGACTGACCATTATAAGAGAAAACAATTGAGAAAGTAGTCACCCAAAGACCAACACCTTACCTCTCACTCCCAGTGAGAATCTTCCATCCTACTTTCCCCTCCCTCAGTCTTATTCTCAGTCAAGGTTGTTACACAAACATCATCTGGAATTGCAGAGGAAGTAATCACTCCATATCATTTAACTTCTTGCTACTGTACTTTGAACTAATTGTTCCCCTTCCTCTAGGAACCATCAGAGGTAACCCCACAATGTCTTGCAACCCTGCTGACCTTACGTACCACCTGCACTCTTGTCCCCTTCCTGCTTGGGACCCCTCATAGTCTGGTACATTGCCTTCCCCTTCCTGCCCATGCAAAGCCTACACTGTGCACTTTAGGTAGCCTCACCTGGAAACAGCTAGTCCTTCTTCAACATTTGCTGATTGTGCCTTTACTGAAAGCTGACTTTCCCCAATGGACTCCATTTCTCCAAAACTCCCCCAGTTGAAGGCCTTTTATATCCCTCTCTCATTTCCCCACACTGCAGAGCCATGAGGCAGTATGAGTGTTCTCCGTGCTCCCTCTTGCCTCTTCCATATCCTTTCTCCTTCCTCCTGCAATGTCCCACCTCCTCCGATATTCAAGCCGCCAGAATATACCAGAGATGCTGCTCCCTCCTTGCTATCATCTGCAGACATCTCATTCTTTCCCATCTCTTAACTGAAGAGGTTACCAAGTAAAATGGCTTGCTCCTAAATGCACAGGAAGCCAATATTTTATCCCTGGGTTTTTGAGAAAAGAAAAGCATTTTTTATTGCAAGTTAACTAACAAGGAGACTAGAGTCTAGCTCAAATCTGTCTCCATGTACTGGCTCCAAGGCAGTCATTTTATTAGAAAAGCTTTAGGGGGTGAATTGTGAGATTAGTGGGTAATTGGTAGGCGGAAAGAGGAGGACTAAAAAGTTCTCAGGCATGCACAGGTGTCTCTTCACTGCCTTCTCATGAGTCAGTCGCATGTGCACATTTGACAGGCATTAGTATGAAACATGTGGTCGAAATTTGGGCTGTGACGTCAGCAAGCCCATTCTTTATAGACTTCAGTTGGTCATATTGGTTCCAATCAATTTTAATCAATTTTTGGCAGTCTTTTAAATCTCGTAAGTTGGGGGAGCTCCAGCATTTCAGCAAGTCTTTTGTTGTTATTTAATCTCCCATCCTACAAACTCATGAATATGTCTTAGTCATTAGTTTCTTTAACTATTTTGGGCACAGTTTCAATTTGATATGGTTTGGCTGTTTTCCACCCAACTCTCATCTTGAATTGTAGCTCCCATAATCCCCACAGATTGTAGCAGTGACCTAGTAGGAGATAATTGAATCATGGAGGCAGTTTCTCCCCTATGGTAGTGAATAAACCTCGTGGTAGTGAATATGTCTCATGAGATCTGATGGTTTTATAAGAGGTTTCCCTTTTTGCTTGGCTCTCATTCTTCTCCTGCCTGCTGCCAGGTAAGATGTGACTTTGCTGCTCCTTCGCCTTCTGCCATGACTCTGAGGCCTTCCCAGCCCTGTGGAACTGTGAGTTCATTAAATCTCTTTCTCTTCTAAATTACCCAGTCTCGGGTAAGTCTTCATTAGCAGCATGAGAACAGACTAATACACAATTCTTGTGGTCTCTGCTCAGATTCCACCTTCTTAAAGGAGCCTTCCATGCCACCCCATCTGAAGTCACTTTACCTCCACCCCATTTCGTCTCTAGCCCATCATCCTGTTCATTTCCTTCAGAGCATGTATATTCTGAAGTTTTTTTAATTATTTTATTCATTGGTTTAGTGTATGTTTATCCTCATTAGAATAAGCAAGGTCTTCATCTTTCTATTTCACAGATATAACCTCAGTACCTAGAATAGTGTCTGACATTTTAAGAAAAATTACCTACCTGAAATTAAGTCACAGTTACATGAAGTTCTACCTTGATGTTTCACCCAAATAGCCAATTTTCCTACTGCTATTGATAGAATAGTAAGCTTTGTTCCTGCTAACATGCAATGTTTTATGATATATTACATAGCGATAAAGGGATTTTCTACTCAGTCACTTGGATGCATTTGTCTGACTGTTCTGGCAAAGCCAAATTGTTTTCATTACTGTGACTTGATAAACTTGGTAATAACTAGTAGGACAAGTTTCTTCCCACCCCTCCTTTTTTTTTTTTTTTTTTTCAGACGGAGTCTTGCTCTGTTGCCCAGGCTGGAGTGCAGTGGCAAGATCTTGGCTCCCTGCAATCTCTGCCTCCCAGGTTCATGCTATTCTCCTGCCTCAGCCTCCCAAGTAGCTGGGACTACAGGCGCCTGCCACCACGCCAGCTAATTTTTTTTAATATACTTTTAGTGGAGACGGGGTTTCACCGTGTTAGCCAGGATGGTCTCGATCTCCTGACCTCGTGATCTGCCCGCCTGGGCCTCCCAAAGTGCTGGGATTACAGGTGTGATCTTTTCCCCTTTTAAGCTTTTCAGAGGAAGTCTCTTTTATATGGACGTTAGAGTTCAACCTATTAGGGCACTTTCAAGGTACAATGACAATGGAGTAAATCATGAGTGGAAAAAAAAACTTAAATTTGATTATATAAAAATATGAACACTTTGGGAGGCCAAGGCAGGCGGATCACCTGAAGTCGGGAGTTCGAGACCAACCTGGCCAACAAGGTGAAACCCTGTCTCTACTAAAAATACAAAAATTAGCCAGGCGTGGTGGTACGTGTCTGTAATCCCAGCTACTTGGGAGGCTGAGGCAGGAGAATCACTTGAACTCGGGAGGCAGAGGTTGCAGTGAGCCAAGATTGTGCCACTGCACTCCAGCCTGGGAGACAGAGCGAGACTCCATCTCAAAATAAATAAATAAATAAATAAAGTTAAATAAAAAATAAAAATAACTTTAGTATGTTGCAAAACACCAGAACCGAACTTGGGAATGTAGCAGTATTTGTGTTGGGGTTAGACAGAGTCTGTGAGTCCTCTTAAGGAATCAAGTCAAACAATCCTCAGGACCAGCCTCAACCTGCCATCAAACTCCCAAAGGCCCTACCACCACAGAATGCTCAGGGACAGTGCAGGGATGCTGCACAGAGCCCATCACTTGGAAATATCTGGGAGCCAGTGAGAAAGAGAGAACAGCAACCCTCAGCATAATCAGTATTTAAATGTGTCCACAGATCTGACAGATGGACTGGACAGAAAGCAGGAAATGGAGGAGTGTGTCTGGAAGAAAGGGCATGCTGCTTGATGCACTAGAAGCCAACATCATGGCTTTGGATTTTTAAGCAAAGAAAAGCTTTTTATTGTAGAGCAACCAACAAGGAGAGTGGAGTCAAGCTCAAATCTTTCTCCCAGTGCTGGCCTGGTATTTTTATTAGAAAAGGTTTAGGGGGTGGATCTGGGGATTAGTAGGTGACTGGTGGAAGGAAAGGGGAGGTCTGGAAAATCCTCGGACATATGTAGTTGTCTCTTCATGCCTACTCCTGGGTTGTATGCATAAATTCACAGGGAGTTAGTATGAAGCATGCAGCCAACATTTGAACGAGCTTGTTCTGTGCAAACTTCAGTTGGCCATATTGGTTCCAACCAATTTCAGCCAGTTTTGTTATTTTATAAGCAGAGGGAGTTTTGGCATTTCAGCAAGCTGATTTTATTTTTTATAATGTCATCATGTAAACTCAAGAATTGGCTACTGGTTTCTTGACCTCTTTGGAGCACAGTTTCAAACGTGTCAGAGCCTAAAGATCAGTGAAAAGGCTGCTCAAGAAGTGGGTGAAGCTGGCCTGGCCATGCCTGTTGCAGCCCCTCTATTCTTGGAGCCCTCTGCTATCTGAGAAGGAGAAACCTAAGGCAGGAAGGAGCAGAAGGAATTCTGTTTCCAAGAACCCAGTGAACTGGTGTAGAAAGCTCTTTCTGAAGAGCTGGTCCTGCCAGTCAGTCACAGAGAAGATCCCCTTGTTGGTTCAGGAACGCGGAGAACAGCATCAGGCTGATGGCCAAGGATGATGAGACAGAAGGAGCAGCCATCACGGAAAGGTACAGATGCCTGATTTTCTTGCCAGTTCCTCCCCTTTCCCTAACCAAGTTCTAGGGAATAATAGGGTGAGGAGAACCCCAGTAGAGTTCCATCAGGAGGTGGAGACTCTAATTTGTGGAATTTGGAATTGCTAAATATTTGTAATCACTGGTAGGTGAGGTCAAGACACCTATGAGCTACAAATAAGAGAACCAAAGTGTTAATATTATCCTCAATGGAAAAGATGTTCTTAACTCAAATAAAGAAAGGACTGGCTTTCCAATGGAAAAAAAAAAGTCAAACTGTATCAATAGATAATTTACTAGTGAAGGACTGTGACTTATAAATGCACAAGTACAAATACTCAATTTGAAAATAAAAAATAAAAATTAAATTGATAAAAGATGTATCAACTGAGCATATATATATATACACATATATATACATATATATGTTTAATATACATATATATGTACATACATATATATATATTTTTTTTTTGAGACAGAGTTTTGCTTTGTAGCCCAGGCTGGAGTGTAATGGCACAATCTCGGCTCACCACAACCTCCACCTCCCGGGTTCCAGTAATTCTCCTGCCTCAGCCTCCCAAGTAGCTGGGATTACAGGCATGTGCCACCATGCCCAGCTAATTTTGTATTTTTAGTAGAGACGGAGTTTCTCCATGTTGGTCAGGCTGGTCTCGAACTCCTGACCTCAGGTGATCCACCCACCTCAGCCTCCCAAAGTGCTGGGATTACAGGTGAGAGCCACTGCACCGGCCTATACTTTTTAAATGTTAAATATAATAATGTGGGTGAAATGCAGAAGACCTAGGAGTTCCAGTAGGCATAAAAATATTTCAAGCTTTCTAAGAAGAGATTTGGCAACAAATATCAAACATTTTAAAAGAGCTCATCGTCTTTAAAATCGTAATTTTATTTTTAGGACTCAACCCAAGGAGCTCACTAGAGATGGAAACAAATATTTACAAAGATGCTTATGCAGCATTTTAATCATAAAAACATTGAAAACTGCCTAAATATGTAGGAGATGGCTAAATAATTAAGATAATGTAATAAGTGTTAGGCAGTCATTCAAACGATGTCTTAATGTTAGTGACGTGGAAAATATTCAATATATAATGTTCAAAAGAAGGAAAAAAAAGATGCAAAACGATATAGTATGATTACCTACAAGCCATAAAATCACTGAACTGTACCTCAGGCATTACCCAGGCCACTGCGATCATTTTATGGATGAAGAAATTAAGGTTCAGAAAAGAAATTAAAGATCGGAGAGGATAAACGACTTCCTCAAAGTCACAGAGTTAGTTTGGAACAGAACCAGGACTAGAATTCTGAAGTCCCTGAACTCTCCACTGAACGTTTCTGAAACTGGCTCACAAAAATTTTCCTTAACCATAATATGCATGTATGCGTTTTTCAGGGGCTTCCAACCTCCTACCTATATCACTACATTTCTCTCTCTTTCTCTCTCTCTGTCCCCCACCCACTTTTATTCCATTACTATTACCCTTATCAATCTATTATGACTCTGGTTACTAAAACTGCCTTATTTCCAAATCCTTATCTGACTTGGTAAAGGGAATTCTTTTTTGTTCTTTTCATCTCTATCAGATCATTAACACTTTAAGAAATATACATTCATGTCTACGGCCATACCACACTGAACACGCCCGATCTCATCTGATCTCAGAAGCCAAGCAGTACTTGGATGGGAGAAATATACATTCATGAGGGGAATATCCCTAGGCCTTCTCAAATTTGCAAATCTGAAAATACGCCTATTACATATCATTTTTCCATAAAATGCTATATAAAGTACAACTTAAAATTTTAAGTGACCCCCTTAGACAATTAATGATTCTATAAATTCAGTGCTGAAGGCTTTTACACAGCTATTAAAATAAATTCTGGCAGAAATAGTTGCAGAAATAGTTCCACAGATTGCTCACTCTTGTTTCTCTGTAGAGTGCATGATAATACTGAGTTGAACTCATCATTTGACTCTATTTTTTTTTTCTTTTCTGTCTAAGAAGTATAACCTTTGGAACCACTTAACTTTTATCCCAAACTTAGCTACTGACTTTCTTTTCGAGGTCATTTTTTCAAAAGAAATAAATGTGTGTTTTCATGTTTGGTTTTTGTTGTTGTTGTTGTTTTGTTTAATTCAATCACTACCCATAGCCAAGAGGCAGTGCTGAGCAGAGAACAGAGTTGCGTCTAGATTTAGATACAGGGAAGCCAATTATGTACTCACCTATTAAGATCACTCTAAAATACTAAATTCGAATGCGTGATGCCGTTGTGATGCAGGGTGCCTGTAATCCCAGCTACTCGGGAGGCTAGGCAGGTAGAATTGCTTGAACCCAGGAGGCGAAGGTTGCAATGAGCCGAGATCAAGCCACTCTGTCTCAAAAAAAATATATAAACAAACAACAACAACAAAAAAAACAAATTCATGATGCCCGCAAAATTATTAATTACTATGTTCCAAAATAATCAAAATTTTAAATGTTATCCCAAAATGCCAAGTTTTGTTTTCCTATAGCGTTTCATTCCTAGTAAGACACTTTATCATGTCGAGTCTATTTTTTAATATTTTCCTTTGCCTACCTATCCCACTTCCAATTAGCTGAGGTGGCTATTGTGTGTTCCTAACCTCGTCTGTAGCCCAGTGATAAACACGTTAGCAGTTGCTCAGCACTTACCTATTTGTCTGACAAAAGATCTGCAAACACTTCAGGCCCAGATTATTAGTGGGATGGAAGCAGGAAAAGTCTAAAATGCATGCTTTTGGGATACCCCTATGGTCTTATACAACCCAGTCTGATTTCCCACATTATCCCAAAGCAAATGCTTTCCTCTATTATAAGTGATTAAAATCTACCATGACCTATCAAGTCCTTTCTTTAATGAAAGTAGAATGAGAAATATGTCAGTTAATACAGCAAATGAAAGGGGGAAACTGCATTGTAAAAGTATGGTTTAGGAATCAAATTTCACTGTCCCTGGCATGAAATAAAATAGAGATAGACATTCTATAGTCATGTTCTTCTTTCCTTACCTAGAAAATACCAGTCACCTCAGAATTATTGGATAAGTCTGTCAAGACAAAGTCTGGCCTCATTATGCTGACAACCATGAAGGGTCTAGAATGTGGCCCAACATGCTGGAAGCCCAGACTTCTCACTGGTGACCTAGGAACAGGCCCTGTTCATTATTACATACATATTTGGGACTTTGAACAATTCAATTATATTTTATTTGTACTTAATCTTGGAATATCTTTCTGTTACAAATTCATTTTGGTTAAGGGAACATCATAAAGGGCGTTTTTCCTACAATTATGATAAAGTTCACCAGCTGTTAGCAACTCTTTGCATCTAGGAAATAAATCTCAATTAGATTTCACATGATAAATACTAGTGTGTCTTGCCACCATTCCCATATGCAGTCATAAACAAGTCATCACTATTTTACTCGTAAATATCTCTCAATTTCACCCACCCTTCTCTATTTCACCCTCATCCACTTCCACGCTGTCCTATGATTGCGCACTGACCACCCTTTTTCATTCTGGTTCCCCACCAATCTCTTCTTCTCATTGCAGAGCGAGGAGAGATTTAGAAAATGTAAATCTATTGTCAAATCTAGGCTTAAATGCTTCAAAGGTTTTCCAGTGCTTTCAGGAAAAAAAATGCACAGGATAAAAATCCCAGGATCCAAGAGCCTCACACCCTTGGCCTGACTCTAGCCATGTCCAGTTCCACTGTCTGCATCTTCTCCTCACCTCAGCCCAGTTGTTCTCCAACCACCAGGTTGAAGGCTATGTCACCTGGAGAGTGGGACCTGGGCTGGAGGAGAGAAGGGTGGGGAGCAAGCTAGGGATTGTTGTCGGTTAAGTGTCCCAGGTGATTCTAATATCAGAGTTGAGAACCATGCCTCTCCAGTAGTTTGGAGCAGGTTACTTTATTCTGAAATCTTTTTTTTTTTTTTTTTTTTTGGTGATGGAGTCTCACTCTGTCTCCCAGGCTGGAGTGCAGTGGCACGATCTTGGCTTACTGCAGCCTCCGCCTCCCGGGTTCAAGCAATTCTTCTACCTCAGCCTCCCAAGTAGCTGGGATTACAGGCATGCGCCACCACGCCCAGCTAATTTTTGTATTTTTAGTAGAGATGTGGTTTCGCCATGTTGGCCAGGCTGGTCTCAAACTCCTGACCTCAGGTGATCCACCGGCCTGGGCCTCCCAAAGTGCTGGGATTACAGTAGTGAGCCACTGCGCCCAGCCTCTGAATTCTTATAGAAACTTATCATCTTCATTCATAGTACTTATTTTTATTTGTAATTTTACACTGGATCATACACTTGAAAGTTCCTTGGGAGCAGAGACTCTGTGTAGCATAGTGGGCAAGTGCCTGCCACCACATACAAGCTTCTCTGCAATGACTTGTTCAATGAATGAATGAATAAAGGAACAACGGCAAGCTAGTTGATTATTTTACTTAAAATATTTAATATGATACAGGGCATTTTCATTTTAAAGACAATAAAAAGTATATTTTAACAATTTTTTTTACTTTTTTTTTTTTTTTTTGAGACAGGGTCTCACTCTCGCCCAGGCTCACCATAGCCTCAAGAACTTCTGGGCTCAAGCGATCCTCCTGCCTCCATCTCTGGAGTAGCTGGGACCACAGGCACGTGCCACCATGCCTGGCTAATTTTTTTAGTTTTTTTACAGAAGGGATTCCCATTATGTTGTCCAGGCTGGTCTCAAACTCTTGGGCTGATGTAATTCTCTCACTTCAGCTTCCCAAAATAATGGAATTACTGGCATAAGCCACTGTGCCTCACCAAACATATATATATATATAATGCCTATATTTTCACACTAAAAGATAGCAAATGATCCTGTATTAAATTTCCTTCTGGTCTTTTTTCTAAACATACATATTTCAATATTAATAAAGATAATATTGTACATTTAATGTTGCTACTTAAAAAAAATTTAATATTCTTGGCTGGGCGCGGTGGCTCACGCCTGTAATACCAGCATTTTGGAAGGCCGAGGTGGGTGGATCACAAGGTCAGGAGATCGAGACCATCCTGGCTAACACGGTGAAACCCCGTCTTTACTAAAAATACAAAAAAATTAGCCAGGCGTGGTAGCAGGCGCCTGTAGTCCCAGCTACTCAGGAGGCTGAGGCAGGAGAATGGCGTGAACCTGGCAGGCGGAGCTTGCAGTGAGCTGAGATGGCGCCACTGCACTCCAGCCTGGGTGACAAAGCGAGACTCCGTCTCAAAAAAAAAAAAAAAAATTAATATTCTTTTGTGATAATTTTCCATACTATGAATGGCAAGATAACCCACCAGTGGATGTCTTTATTTTTTTTTTCATTTAATACTTAGGTACTTTCCATTATTTTTCCATTAAAAACAAAAATTATTCTTTTGAAGTTTATTTTGAAGTTGTAATTACTTCCTGAGGATAGATACCTTAAAAATGAGTTACTAGGCCGGGCTCAGTGGCTCATGCCTGTAATCCCAGAACTTTGGGAGGCCAAGGCGGGCGGATCACCTAAGGTCAGGAGTTTGAGACCAGCCTGGCCAACATGGTGAAACCCTGTCTCTACTAAAAACGCAAAAAATTAGCCAGGTGTGGTGGGGCGTGCCTGTAATCCCAGATACTCAGGAGGCTGAGACAGGAGAATCAATTGAACCCTGGAGGCAGAGATTGCCATGAGCCAAGATCACACCACTGCACTCCAGCCTCGGCAACACTCTTGTCTCAAAAAAAAAATAAATAAGTTACTCAGTTAACAAAGTAAATATTTTGATACTTCTGCAATATTTACATTTTTAACAGCTGTATATGAGGCAATATTTTTGCACTCATGACAAAGAAAACTTTCTTTTACATGAGTTTTCATATCATTATCAAATATTAGCTGTTGTCTTCATCACTGAATGTTCACGTTTCTTTTCATTTTGCCAGTAGTGTTCAGTATTGCTTACAAATTTTATGAGTTATATATAAGAGGTACCAAATTTTGTACCAATTATTTGTTGTAAAAATGTATTGCTTGGTTTTAATTTTATGATGTTTATGAACTATAAAGAATTTAATTGTCATATAACCAAAGAAATCTATTTTTGGTTACTTTTTTCATTCTTTTTATGCTTAGAAAGTCTTTTCCCCTACCATATCATATAAATAGTAACTGGATTCTTTTTTTCTGGTTTAATTTTTTTTCTTTTTAAAAGACATTTATTAGTAAATCACACTCTAAAATTAAGAGGAGACATGGAAAAAATCCATGCTTTGGGATCAGAAGATTGGGCTTTCTATTCCTAATTAAGTCTGTGATCTTAGACACATCAACTCACATCCTAGAGTTAATTGGGTATCATAACACTAATTATCTGGGACTGTTATTGTAAAGGAACTATAAAATGGCTAGATCCCAAAAATGTTATTTCTTCCTCTTTCTCCCCTTTTCACATATGTTCATTCTTACAGTTCCTGACATTTTCTCATCTGGAATGACTCTGTCGCCTTTATCCTGTAAATTCTACCTAGTCATTATTATCATCTCTTCCTTAAAAACAGTTCCTGATCTCACATCCCTCCTTCGGGTTGCATTCTTGAGGTTATAATAAAGTACTAAATTTATTTTTCATAGTTTTTCATTGTGTGTGTGTGTGTTCCCTCTCATCGCATAGCTATCTCTTCCAGCAAACTCAGTGTTTAAAATATGAACAGATTTTGCTAGATGTTGTGGAGGATGCAAAAGAAGATCTGAAACTCTAGGCTTCCTACCCTACCCAAACCAAGGAGATAGTACTTTTAAAAGATAAAGGGAACGGACAAACTAATCCCAGACATGTACACCAAGCAAGGAATGGCAAATGATGTATCATAGGTTATATCCTCTTCCTGATGCATTTCAGAACTCTGGAGCTGTTCCCAGTCTCCAGAGTTCAGACCTCAAACTGAAATACTTCTAGATGACCTTGGCTCCACCTGCTAGAACCCACTTCTTCCTGTCTCCTAGGGGAAAACATTTCCTGCAAAGAACCACACCCTCCTCATTTGGCTGCTCCTCAGGAGAGCTCTTGTCTGTGCAGGCTGCAAATGCAGCTAATTAGGTGTGGTGACTGGCTTCAGCCTTTCCTGTGCTTTTCCCTTTTCTCCCACTCCCAGTCCCTTTTCTCGTTAGACTGAAGAGGTCCCCTTAGATAGAGCATGATTTCCAAATCAGAGTGGTGGAGGCAATCAGGAGTTACCTAAAGCCATTAAAGATCCTTCATTAACATGGAGTGCCCCTTTGTAATGAACCATGTGGCCAGAAAGAGGAAGGAGGTTTAACCTCTTTACAGAGAAGCAGCCTCAGATGCTGAAGGTTTCACTGTCCAAGATACAGGCAGCAGCTTGCAACAGATCTGCCTGTAAAGCTTAATAGAGCAAAGATTTTGGAGCCTGCTAGACTGAACCGTGAGTCAAAACCACCACTTATTGGCTCAGAGACCATGGGCAAATCAATGAATGTCTCTGCCCCTGAAATTTTTAATCTCTAAAGTGGATCAATGTATGTCTACGGTGAACCCCAAATATCTAAGTCAGGTCTCCAGTCAATTTAGAAAGTTTATTTTGCCAAAGTTAAGGACGCGTGTCTGTCACACAGCCTCAGAAGGTCCTGACGACATGTGCCCAAGGTGGCCGGGGTACACCTTGGTTTTATACATTTTAGGGAGACAGGAGACCTCAATCAATATATGAAGCTGTACATTAATTTGGTCCAGAAAGGCAGGACAACTGGATGCAGAGAGGAGGCTTCCAGGTAACAGGTAAATAAGACACAAAAAGTTGCATTCTTTTGATTTCTGATTAGCCTTTCCAAAGGAAGTAATCAGATATACATTTATCTCAGTGAACAGAGGGATGACTTTGAAAAGAATGGGAGGCCGATTTGCCCCAAACAGTTGCCAGCTTGATTTTTCCCTTTAACTTAGTGATTTGGGGGTCCCAAGATTTGTTTTCCTTTCACACTACTATGTGCTTACTGTTGAGATGATTTAGTGAGGCAGTCTGCAAAAACTGTTTAATATAGAACTCTGTGCTCAATAAATAACAGCTATTATTACAGTAGTCCCCCTTTATCCACAGGGCATATGTTCCAAGACTCTCAGTGGATGCCTGAAACCCAATACGTGCATATAGTACAACGATTTTTCCTACACATGCAGAGCTACAATCAAGTTTAAGTTATCAGTTAGGCACACTAAGATATTAACGACAATAACTAATAACAAAATAGAACAATTATAACACTATCTTGTTCACAATTTCACAGATAGAAGATTTGCTCTTACTATATCTCTTAGCAACCTCAGCATACAATTTCTTTTCTTTCCTTATGGAGAATTTTCACCTTTTCACTTAAAAAAAGCCCTTGATGGCTTCTCTTTGGCAGATCTGAATTGCCAGCATCACTAAGGTTGCATTTGGGGGCAATTATGAATAAATGAAGTGGCGTCACTCATCTGGGGTAATACCTGAGGTTCCTTGTCCCACGGCCATGGAAAACTAGGATTTGGATACACCAGGGTGAGGTTCAGAGCAGAAGTTCAATAGGCAAAAGAAAGAGAAAAGCTCTCTAACTGCAGAGAGGGTTCCCAGAGAAAATGAGTTGCCAGTTCCTTTGTGAAATGAACAGGGTTTCATAGACTACCTTGAGGAAGTGGTGTCTGATTTGCATAGGGAACAAAGAACTATTTGGACCAGATGTGCCATTTACATAGTGTGCAAAGAGGCTGGCTGCCCCAGCCGAATCTGTCATTATGCAGACCGGTTCTCTACCTGGCCGATGCCATGTTGCCTGCTTCTTTACTGTACACGTGGCGACAAAAATAAAGGGAAGATGGAGCCTCCATGTTGAATATACCTGGCTTTCAAGTAGCCCTTTTCTATTGGCACAGCTGCTGGCACTCACCTGTGCAATCTTCCAGCTTGCTTAGGTCTGCAGCTCCATTTTTCAGGCTGCTCTTTGTGAGAAAAGAAATAATTTGGGGACTGCTCTTTATTAAAAGGGAAATTCCACCGAGGACCCTCTTACCCTCACTATCTGCCTAAATAATTTCTTTTTAGCTCCTGTATCATAAGGGCGACTCGAACCTAAGCACTACAATTCCACCGCAGTCGGTTTAATAACCAAGAGGGCTCCTAAGTGACTAGTGGGCGGGGAGTAGAGACAGCGTGGGTCCTCTGGTTAAAAGGATTCATGTCCTTGATGGAGGTAGAGCAGGATGATGTAAAATTTTATCACACTACTCAGAATGGTGTGCAATTTTAAACGCAGACATCTTTTATTTCTGAAATTTCATGTTTAATATTTTCAGATTACAGCTGACCATGGGTGGCTAAAACCCACAGAAAGTGAAGCTGTGGATGACGGGACTGCTGTATTGGGTGCCCGAGTGCTGTCACACTGAGGGCCTGATACTTCAAATTGAGAAAGAGCTTTCCTCATAGTACCTAACTTGACCTCATACTGTCTACAAGGCTTCAGGGTAAGGTAGGTATTTTATCTCCATGGATTCTGTAGGGTTTTGTTTGTTTTTTTGTTTTTTCCCAGATCTGATAAGTAGCAAATCCAGGACTCAAAGCCCTCCCTAGAGGATCCAGGGCACTTTTCCCCTGGCCACAGGCGCTCTTGCCTTTCCAGCAGAGGAGCTCCAATTTGCGGAGGCCGTGATTCCCCTGTAATAACGAGCTTCTAAACAACGAACAGTGGTTTGTTTGGTTTGTTTTCATTCCATCTACTGGAATCAGCCAGGTAGTATTGAAGCCCAGAAGCCTCGCTACTGTGTGCTATCAATTTGTTCAATGATTATTCGAGGAGCAGGTGATTTCCATTAGATGGTCCATTAAAGGGGGATGTGTGTCTTTCAAACTGGAAACTCTCAGCAAACAGAGAAGCAGAACTGGCTGCTCTGCCTCCCTAGGAGCCACTGTCCCCAGGCTCACCTTGGGTGGGAAGGATAACAATGTGGTTATCTGGGTGTTGTGTGGTCAGGCCGGGTACTAGACTCTGAACATATCCACTGCCAACTGTTACCTTACCCAGCAGTGAGAAGGATATGAGATGGGTCAGGGAGGGAAAATGACAACCAGTGTGTGACAGACAGGTTTAGAAGAAGACTCCAGAAACCAAAAGAGCTCCCAGAAGCTTATTTTCTAGCTGGAGAAGGGGTTAGGGAGAACTCACAAAGCCAAGAAGAAAGTCCTAGATGATCCTTCTAACATCACCATGATCTTTCTGGGGAAAATGAGTTAATTAACTTCTACCTTTCTGTGTTTTTGTTTTGTATGGGCATATTAAATGGGGAAAATTGTTAAGACTCTCACACTTATGTCTTGATTTCTGTGTTAGACCTTGATAACCTATGACTGAGATCATCTTGTAACATGGTCTTTCCTGCAAGAAAAGCCCATGCTCAGGACGACATTTTGAGTGGAGATGCAATAAACGAGTTTATTTTTTAATTCTTTCACTAAGTTTACTAATCCAAGGATGGTGATCCAGGACAAGGATGAACTTTGCAAACCTAAATCCTCTCTGGATTTTCACACGTTACCTGTGTTACACGCAACCACCCTGCCTAGTTATACTAATGAGATTCATATCCATAGCCCCGAACACTTGTCCTTCCAGTTTCATTGAGGTGAGCACCAAGGTAATTGCCAGGAAAGTCGTCAAGGGCTCTCCTGTATCTCATTGTTAATCAGGACTGCATTTCTTTCCCCCTATTCTGATCAGGGACTGCAAAGACGTGATTTCTGA
This sequence comes from Homo sapiens, assembly GCF_000001405.40. Classification (NCBI taxonomy): domain Eukaryota; kingdom Metazoa; phylum Chordata; class Mammalia; order Primates; family Hominidae; genus Homo; species Homo sapiens. The sequence goes on from NC_000008.11 coordinate 36,773,639, forward strand.
AGGGTTTATTTGGCATACCCCTGGGGGAAAAAGAAAAAAAAAAACCACACAACTTTTCCTTATAAAGGGGGGTGGAAGTGATGGAAGTTGTGGGGGGGGTGTTGGCAGTTCCCTAAGAGCAAAAGTTAGACAGTATTGCCCTCTGGTGGCAAAATTTCCCAAGAGCGACCTTTGCTTTGAAGGAACTGCAATGACACTGGCTCATCAGGGACTGGACACAGGGCGCGCGGGACACAGCATACGTGCATGCGGAGAGGAAGGGGTCACTTGCTCAGAGTTGGCCATTCCATAGAGAGTTGCTACCTTGACAAGCAAATAAAATCTTGCCACCAAATTGCTGTGCTTTCTCCTTTCACTGTCTCTCCTAGCCACAAAGGATTTGATCTTTATCTCATCTGTAGTACTCCCTTTTCTCCCATCAGTTCAATGCTTGTTAGAAATGAGATTAGAAGATATTTTAAAACTCAGAGGATTTGCCAAATCAAAGGTTTTGCCAAATAAGCTTACCATTCATCCTTATGACTGCTTGCCATCATAGGGTTTTCTTTTTTTCTCTGAAATACTATGTGTGTGGATGAATTGGGGTAGCTCTGCTTTCGCAGTTTGAAGAACAAATTCTTCTGCCTGGGTCTCAGTTTCCTCCTTTTTAAATAGAATGAACAGGATTAAGTGCTAAACAGATTTAATGCTCAATGACTCTTGTACCCCAATACTTATCTATATAGTTTTTGCATTTTATATTCCAAAGACCCATACTTCAAGGACATGCTGAAAAAAGAAAATACATGTATTAATGCAAACAGCTCCACATGAAGGGCATTGCATAGAAAGGCAGCTTTTAGACAAATGCAATTAAAATTACAATACTGATGAAGAAACTCAGAAATACCAATAAGGAAGGCAACATTACCCTTTGATGGGAGAAAGAACAAAGCTGGGTGAATAAGTAAAGCTCTGCATAAGAATATGTTAATCATGTAAATTTGCTTGAGTTCTTTGTAGATTCTGGATATTAGCCCTTTGTCAGATGCGTAGATTGCAAAAATTTTCTCCCATTCTGTAGGTTGCCTGTTCACTCTGACGGTAGTTTCTTTTGCTGTGCAAAGCTCTTTAGTTTAATTAGAAGGATATGAACAGCCACTTCTCAAAAGAAGACATTTATGCAACCAACAGACACATGAAAAAATGCTCATCATCACTGGCCATCAGAGAAATGCAAATTAAAACCACAATGAGATACCATCTCACACCAGTTAGAATGGCGATCATTAAAAAGTCAGGAAACAACAGGTGCTGGAGAGGATGTGGAGAAATAGGAGCACTTTTCCACTGTTGGTGGGACTGTAAACTAGTTCAACCATTGTGGAAGTCAGTGTGGCGATTCCTCAGGGAACTAGAACTAGAAATACGATTTGACCCAGCCATCCCATTACTGGGTATATACCCAAAGGATTATAAATCATGCTGCTATAAAGACACATGCACAAGCATGTTTATTGAGGCACTATTCACAATAGCAAAGACTTGGAACCAACCCAAAGGTCCAACAATGATAGAGTGGGTTAAGAAAATGTGGCACATACACACCATGGAATACTATGCAGCCATAAAAAAGGATGAGTTCATGTCCTTTGTAGGGACATGGATGAAGCTGGAAACCATCATTCTCAGCAAACTATCGCAAGGACAAAAAACCAAACACCGCATGTTCTCACTCATAGGTGGGAATTGAACAATGAGAACACATGGACACAGGAAGGGGAACATCACACACCGGGGCCTGTTGTGGGGTTGGGGGGAGTGGGGAGGGATAGCATTAGGAGATATACCTAATGTAAATTGCGAGTTAATGGATGCAGCACACCAACATGGCACACGTCGTATACATATGTAACAAACCTGCACGTTGTGCACATGTACCCTAAAACTTAGAGTATAATAATAATAACAATACAAAGAATATGTTAATCAGTCCAGGGTATTTCATTTGCCTCATGCATGCACCTTATAGCATTTGTTTGTATTTTCTTGTAAATATGTGAATTACAATAAATTATATTATGAGAGTTATTTTATCTATGGTGTTTTAGTTTCTCTCTTAACTGAAAAACTACTGGGCTGTCTTCAAACCAAAGGTGGACCTAACGGCCAGTCCTTTCAACTCCTGCCAGAGCTCGCAAGGCGACAGGAGGCTGTGGAGAGGAGTGTTTGCATGAACGTGCAATTCAACGAGATCTGATACAGAAAAGATGGCTTTCATTTCCTATGCTGTTGGGGGGTGACAACTGTTTTTTAACCTAAGCCTCAAGTTGGGACTCAAACAAATACACAGCTCATTGTAATTAGGATTTCAGAAACACATTCACACAGCACCCATGGAAATAATGCAACCAGTCACTGGGCCAATGCTTGGTGATTTGCTTTAGTCTTTTAATGATAGACCACTAATTCCAAACAGGAGAGGTAGAGAGGATGGGCAAAGGGCTGGCATCAGAAGCTTGGCCAGAGTTGCTGGTCAGAACTGCCAACAGTAAGCCTCCACTGCTGTCTCCTTCACTCCGCTTTGTGGTGGACATTAAGCATTCCAATAAAATCACCAGCTTGATGCTCAGCTGGCCTGATTGCTGAGGAGACTGATTGCATTATTCATTCTCATGAAAAGATTTTTAGGACTCTCAAGGATCTATAGAGATTATATTAAAAAGAAAAAGCTCCATAGTTATCGACAGTTTAATTTATCCTCCTGTTCTCTCAAAAGGAACAAAATCACAGAAGACAATAGACAGAGCCTGAACAGAAAACAGGTTTTTGCTGAGGCTGAATGAGTTTGGAAGCCCTGCATGTTATGGGATTGGGTGCCCCTCTCTTAGTCTTTTATTTTTTTTTATTCATTTCCCCTTTCCACTTTTTTTCCAGAGAGATTCCTCTATCTTCTTTAAAAAATAAATAAACAAAAAATAAACAACACCCCCTCCACCAAAAAAAAAAAAAAACACCAAAAAAGGCCCAAAACAACAAAAGCTTCTGCTTGCTAATTCCCTATGAAATACTTCCATCTACTGGCTGAATGGAGAAGACTCATGTTTTAACTCTTGTTGTTGAATTTGTACCACAATTTATGAACACCACTCTTCAAGTATTTAATACAAAAAATTAGGAATCGCAAATCCAAAAATTAAAGAAACTGACAAATGTTTTACTTTGTATTTAGCAATAGACCCAGGTCATACGCCCACGTATTTGATATAGGTACGAACATACAAATGCACTTTGCAAACACTTAAAATGAGGCACAGATCTGCAGTACTGCAGAAAACAAATTGGTGAGAAAAAAGGAATTGAGAGACTAGGGAGAGCAACGGTAAGAGATGATCTTTCTGTCAAGCCAGTCAGGATATTTCAAATCAGACCACATAGGGAACAAGGCCGTGGCGTTAGAGATGAAATCAGAGACAGTGGCCAAGGTAACCACATTCTCTCTATGAAGAAAAGTAATTCCGTGAGGTCTAAAAAGAAACCAAATTGGATTTCAAGTTACATTATTAAAGGGGAAGCCTTCAATAAAAAGCCATTCAGAAATGATGCTTCTTCCTTTGTGTTCATTTTTTAAAAGAGTCCATTTGGAGAATGAGGTCAGATTCTAGAAATATGGTAAGGTGTTTACAGTCTGTTACAGAAATAATCTAAGATTATAGAATAAAAGATTGGTAGTATGTCAATGCCAGAAGGGATCTCAGAGATCAGTTCAGACTCTACATTGATGAGAAAACTATGCTTCAGGGAGCATAAGAAATTTGTTCTGAGTCTTATATTTCAGAAGTATATTAACAAATTCAACAAAAAATACAAATAAAACTCAGGGTTTCCATATGGATTTTAAATGCATTATATTGTTTGTAATATTCTTTCGAGAGTTGTTAGTTTCTAAAAGCAGATCCATATGCACAACAGAGCATCACAGACATCCTGCTATTGGGTTAACATTTATATCACAGTGAAACATCTTCCTGCGGTTTGTCCATTTAGAATAAACAGGGAACAACAGACTGCAGAGAAAACACAGTGCCTTTTTCAAAGGGTAAGTCTCAATAAGTCATGGGTCTAAACAAAATACGGATTGAATTATGTTCCCTCATTAGCTGGGCGTGGTGGTGTGTGCCTATAATCCCAGCTACTCAGGAGGCTGAGGCAGGAGAATCACTTGAACCTGGGAGGTTAGTGAACTGAGATCGCACCACTACACTCCAGCCTGCCTGACAGAGCGAGACTCTGTAGAAAAAAGGAAGGTTCCCTCAAAAAGAAGCTTCTCGGAAAGTAATTAATATGTTATGTACCCTACTGGTGAAATGTAAAAAGAGGAGTTAAACCAAAAATGAATCCTTAAGGAGGTCTAAGTAAAGACTTGGTGACTTAAATAACTCCATGTACACACCTTGAGAAAGTGAAGCTGTAATCTTTAAGTCAATTTCCTTAGTGAGAGATATAAGAACTCAGCAAGGAGAGATTTCCCTGGAAGCAGCTGGCTGTAATGGGCTTTCACCATGACTCTAGTGCTCTGTGGCATTACAGCCGTTTCCATCCCCAACTTCAGACCTGCTTCTGCCATTGACTGGCTGCATGAATTGAGGACTGAGGCTTAGCATTTCTCAACAGTGCAATTTCCCAATGGTATGAATGTGCTCTGAGGATATAAAAAAAAGCTCTGCTTATAGAAATAGAGAAATGTGGGGTTATAGCATTAAGTGCAATGGATGGATTTAGGCACTTAAAAAGGCAACATTACAATATAACTTATTACTTCCAGAAGCATTGCAAATACACACACACACACACACACACACACACACACTCATTCCTGAGTGCTGCTATCTACACTTAAAAATGTAATTCTTACTTTCCTTTCTCAGATATGGCATGTTGCTTGAAGAGAATAAATTTTTAAAATTAAACATTTATTCAATCCCATTATAAAGTATAATTTTGCAGAATATTTGAGTGCCCAGAGGTAAATTACAGAAATGTGTACAAAGTGAAGCAATTTTTCTAATCAAATCACTGACATGTTAAAAAATTCATCTGAACTTAAAAAAAAAGGAAAAAAAAAGAAAAGATTCCGTAGCACAGTCTTCACTTCTTAGATTTACTATTAAAGGCATGGCAGTGAAAAGCCCCCAGAACTACCCAGAGGTATCACTCAGAGACCCAGGATCACCTTTGAGGCTTCCTGGCCCTCATGTCCCAAATGCTGATTTTTCCCCAGACATCACTCACACCTGCCCACTTGTGTCTCTTCCCACCAGCCCCATCCCATCAGGACTAGCGTCCTGTCACTATCGAGACCAGCAGTCTCTGCATGAAAACCAGTGTGATGCTTTTACAATCGAAATGCAATGACTTACCTCCCTTCTTTAGAACCTATCAAATATTTCCTCTTGACCTTAGGATAAAGTTGTTCTTGGTTTAGCCTAAGCTGGAACACAAAGCCTTGCATAATCTGGTTCCCTTTGAGACAGCCAGGTTGGAAAGGGTCCCCGGAAAACCTCCAACGAGCCTGCGCACTAGGAGAAATGCGCACTGGGGTGGAGACACAGAAGTTCGTGCCCTTTGGAGCAGGGAGGAGCCTGGTCCCTCCTCTTCCTGTGTGGAACCCGGGATTCAAGCTGCAGGCGGGAAGCGCTCTAGCAGGGGCTCGCCTTGCGAGAGTCCCTGATTCGAGCCTCTTTTCTTCCTCTTCAATCAATACTACTCTCTCCTACTCACCATTCAAACCGTCTATGAGCCTAAATTTTCACGGCCATGGGACGGACAAGGACCCCGTCTTTAGCCGAACTAAGGAAAAGTCCTGCAACACCTTTATACACGCCCAGCCTTCTTTTGGGTCACTGTGTTCCATCTGGCCGATGATTAATGCACTTCAGCACTTTGGGAGGCCGAGGCGGGCGGATCACGAGGTCAGGTGATCGAGAACATCCTGGCTAACACGGTGAAACCCCATCTCTACTAAAAATACAGGAGTGGTGGCGGGCGCCTGTAGTCCCAACTACTCGGGAGGCTGAGGCAGGAGAATGGCGTGAACCGGGGAGGCGGAGTTTGCAGTGAGCCGAGATCGCGCAACTGCACTCCACCCTGGGCAACAGAGCGAGACTCTGTCTCAAAAAAAAAAAAAAAGAAAGAAAGAAAGTGCATTCTCCTTTCCACATATCTTCTCAGCCTGATCATGTTCTACCCCAGCCTCCTTAACCCCTTCTGTTGTCCTGGCCTGGGAAGCTTCTCATTCTACAGACCTCAGCTTCAAACATGACGTATTTGAGGTAGCTTTCCTGACCCCCTCGATCCTCACCAGATTAGTTTATTTTCTAAACACTTTTTGCAGTTTGTTATTGTAAATGTCTTCCTCAGTTGACTCTCTTCTATGAGGGAATGAACTAGATTTGTTTTGGTGTCCCTGGTGCTCCCAGTCCTTGGTATAAGGTAATTGTTAAACACATACATACACACACACACACACACGACGAAGATTCTAGCTTGCAGCTGGTAGTCAAAAAAATAGTTACTGTTTTTTATCCTTATCAAACCATCAAGTACAAGGAGAGTACTATCTTAATTACTGTGAAGGGTATCATTGCTTCAAAGTTCCCTACCTTCCAAGTTCTGAACACTGAACTGCTACCAAGCTACGAAGGGCTTTGCCTAGTCACATGTCCACCCATCACCAAATAACTCACTAACCGAGAATAATTACCATTTTTTTTTTAAGACGGAGTCTCACTCTGTCACCCAGGCTGGAGTGCAGCGGCATGATCTCGGCTCACTGCAACCTCCACCTCCCGGGTTCAAGCGCTTCTCCTGCCTCAGCCTCCCGAGTAGCTGGGATTACAGGCACCCACCACCCCACCTGGCTAATTTTTTTGTATTTTTATTAGGGAGGGGGGTTTCACCATGTTGGCCAGGCTGGTCTCAAACTCCTGACCTCAGGTGATCTGCCTGCCTCGGCCTCCCAAAGTGCTGGGATTACAGACGTGAGCCACCGCATCTGGCCATAATTACCAAATTTAAATTTGCAAAGATGGTGACACTTTGACACTTGATCCAAATCAGGTGCCCTTTTCACTACACACACACACACACACACACACACACACACACTTACACACATGCACACACACTATGAACCATGCATTACACACTATGGATGATGCTTTCATCACAAGAACAGTTTGCCGTCAAAGATGGAGAATATGGAGCAGAGAAATCTGGATAACTTAGGTTAAGGTTCATGCAGATTCAGTATTTCATTCACCTAACAAATATTTTTGAGGATCAGCAATGTATTCATTCAATCGCCAAATATTTACGAAGTCTACACATTCCCAGGTATGTGCCAGGTACAATACTAGACACAGAGTAATCGGTGATGAGTAAAGCGGAAATGATATCCCGTGCTTGTGGAGCTTATAGTCTTGTGAAAGGAGATAGAAAATAAACCAGGCAACAAGTAAATCACATAACAACAAATCTTGAGTACCATGAAGTGCTATAAAAGAAAGGGTCAGAAAGCCGTAAGAGAGACCAAGGGAGAACTGAAGGACAACAAAATAGCAGCCACTATTGAAGTGAGTGCTCTGGGCAGAGGGAACAGAGGCATTGTGCTATAAGGGCCTGGACCAGGAAAAGGTTTGCATGTCCTCATAGCTAAGAGGAGGCAGTATGATTGGAGCGCAGCATAGATGATGTGTCGTGGGATGGGAGGTGACCAGTCTCTGTGGTTTGCCAGGACTAGGCGGTTTCTCCAGTCACTGGACTTTCAGTTTTGAACCTGGGACAGTTCTGAACAGGGACTGTTCGTCACTGTAGGTTCAAGATGGGTTTGAAGAGACTGATTTTGAAACCACCTGCACATTTTTCTACTCATTTGCAGACAGTAATATTATTATCGTGATAACAGCATATTAGAGGGACAAACTACCTGCCTGTTCGAATTGAATGGAATCCTTTTTGTGTTCATAAAGCAATATCTGCAAAAAGGGAAGAGGTGCCCAGGATGCATCATAATACAGCAGAATCGAAATACTTTGAAAATAGTGTTAGCCCAAGCAGCGCCATCCTGTAAACCCCTGCCATTTTGCACACCCTGGTTAGGGTGGAAAATTCCCCTGGAGGGGCTCGGGCCATGAGAAACATCCTGGCAGGTCCCAGGCCTAACCGTCTGACTGCAGGAAATTCTTCCTTTATCACATCCTGCCCTGCAGCGACCCATACTGCCCCACCTCTCCTGTCGGGACCTACAACTGCTCCAGTCTGTAAGCGGGGCTTGGGCTCCAGCGCTGTCTGGTGTTCCCCTTCTGCAAGTCTTTGTCCAATAAACCTGTGTTGCTGTTGAGCGACCTCCCCTTGTCTCTGTTTCTTTTCTCCATCCTAACAAACAGTAAATAGTAAAAGGGAAGAAAATAAGAAAATTAAAGTGATAATGATAGATAAAAGGGAGAATACTAAGTAAAGGATGTGGATGAATTTTGGCTTGGAAAGTCTGATCTTGTCCACATAGCTGTAAGTGTGTGTGTGTGTGTGTGTGCGCGCGTGTGTGTGTGTGTGCGTGCGCACACACACATATGTGAAAGAGATAAACAAGTGATTTCTCCCTCCCTCCTTCCCTTCCTTCCTTCCTCCCTCCCTTCCCTCATTCCTTCCTCCCTCCCTCCCTCCGTTCATTCCTTCCTTCCTTCCTTCCTCCCTCCCTACCTCCCTCCCTACCTCCCTCCCTGCCTCCCTCCTTCCTTCTTTCTCTCCCTCCTTTCCTTTACTTCTTCCTCCTCCTGTCTTTATAATTAATGCCATTCAAAAAAGGAACTGAAATGGCTAATGGCATCTTATATTGAGTTTTATGCTTTTCAAAATATGTTCACACTACCTTCTTGAATCCCCACAATAATTCTATCAAGTAGGTATTATCTTCCACATAAAATCAAAAGACTACGAACATTAAAATGACTTGTTAGAAATCACACAGTAACTTAATAGAAGGACTGGGCTGGAACGCAGGGCTCCTAACTCCTAGACCAGTGTTCTTTTAAACATCGCCCTTTGTTATTAGCTAGCTCAATGACAGGATTTTGTAGAAATGATAGGTAAGCTTAAAAGCAGGAAATGTAACTGTGGCAGCAGTCCTAGGAAATGCTACAGTTATCTTCTGAAACAGCCTGCCAAACAGTGTGGAGTCATGGCGGGCTCCCAAGGACAGCGTGATGATTCCTCTTGGGCCTCTTCACCTGGTGTCAGGTTATCTTGGTAATAACTGGGGTGAACTAGGCCCTCCACTGGGCTCTGACATTTTGCCTGCCACTTGTGCACACTGAAAGGCATGACATTTCTTACACCTTTGAAAACATCAGGGAAAATCAAAGAAATTTCTCTCATTCTGAACTTTACCTCTGCTGGGCCAAAAGGTTTGCTGCCAGGGCAGTAATAAAAGCAAGAAAGGGGAGAGTTCCATAAAGAAGAGATAAGTGGAATGGATTTATGGGCTGAAATAACAATCAACCAATGACCACACTAGTTAAATTGTCTTCTTCAATACCTGCACTCTATACTATGCCTTTCTTATGTAAAGAATAAACAAAACCTTTTTTTTTCTGTTTCAAGATAATCTTGATTTTCATTGTGTGTAATTAAGGAGTACAACGTGATATTCTTTGGATTGATGCACAGCAGATACACATATTTTCAAGTCACGTGATAATTTAATACATTCACATAATTTGTGTACTTGGGATATCAATCAACTTACATATTTGTATTTTCTTTGTGCTAGAAACATTCAAATTTTTCTCTTCTAGCTATTTTTAAATGTACAATAGATTATCATAAGCTATAGTCACTTCACTGATCTATAGAACATTAGATGTTATTTCTTCTATCAAACCAAATATTTGTACCCATTAATCAACTTCTCTTTATCCAACTTCTTTCCTCAGCCACCCTTCCCGGCATCTCGTAACCATGAATCTACTCTCTATCTTTATGAGATCCACTGTTTTAGCTTCCGCATACAAGTACAAACGCAAAATGCTCTTTTGATAAACTTATGCATAGTGAAGCAGTGACTACAGTCAAGCAAATTCATATATCTATCATCTCACAGAGTTAATCATCTTTTGTGTGCGTGTAACAAGAGCCCTTAAAATCTACTCTTTTAGCAAAAATCCTGAATACAAATAATTTTATTAATTATGTTCTTTGTTCTGCACACTAGATCTTCTAGACTTATTCATTCTGCATATCTGCTCCTTTGTATAAAGGATAAACAAAAACTTTAAAGTACTTCTCTCTTCTGTCCTTCCAAGCCTACTAAGCACGTGGCATCCTCCCAGATAGAGAACCAACTCATTCACACACATAGTTGGCTGTTGTTTCACTCCGAAAGAGTTGATTTGAAATTATTTGACTGCATTAACTGAACTGATAACCAGCTGATCATTGCTACAGATAATGGGATTTCTTCAAGGCATAGAGAAAGTCGTAACAATCCGATCTAGAATTATGATTTTTTTGACTATTCATATTGTAGGCCCCAGCCATCTCCAGTTGTGTATTCATTCACAACCCATGAGCTGGCACCGGGGGATTGGCAGACCCTTGTTCCTGGAACTTCTCACTGGTTATCACGCCTAATGTTGGAACACTGTGGTACAGTGAACTCTGATTCCTGGAATTGTTACCAGGCGACCACGGCGTCATCAAATGACCTGGCAATTCCGTCTACTGATGTCTCGAACATGTTTCAGACTAAGCTACGAAATGAAACTTGGGAAGACTTGCCAAAAATGTCCTGCACAACTGAGATCCAAGCAGCATTCATTCTCTCTTCCTTTGTGACCTTCTTCAGTGGACTCATCATCCTGTTGATCTTCAGGCTGATCTGGAGATCTGTTAAAAAATGGCAAATCATCAAGGGAACAGGAATTATCTTGGTCAGTTTCCTTGTTAGGGATCCCTCTGTGTGAAGTCAGAGATGAGTTTGGGGTAGTTTTGTGTTTAGTAAAAGATCTAAGCTTCATTCAGTTTTTCAAGCTAACAGAGTCAGCTTCTATAGCCTGGTGCCTCAGAAAGGGTGGTAAGCCAGACCTCAGGCCACATTCTGAGGCCTGAAGAGACAGGGCCAAGCCTCTTCTCTCTCCCATCACTGGAAAAAGCAATGTCTTGTATGGATAATGATTAATGTTAGCTCTGGAAACAGAGGTCACTGTTCTGAAAAAAAGTTCATAAACATTATGTCCATGCCTCTATCTCGAATTTTAACAAGACAATTGTGCTAGGTCATAGAAAGGAGGTGAAAGGGAACAAGACATCAACATCAACCTTGCTTTCATAAATTGTTCATGCATAATGCATATGTACTGACGTGTACATTGCCTTTTGTATACCATATGAAGACAACACATTGAGTTGCACATACACAGAGAAGCCCATGCATACATGCCTGTGCCATCCAGGCATAGATGCAAGGACATTTCTTATACCCAAACAAGCTTAGCAGGAGTTGATGTTGTTGAATAACAGCTGGCAAATGATGATGATGAGAATAAATGATGTATTATACAGATAAGGCATTGCTTAAGAGCTTGAAATAAAGCTCTCAAATGCTGTGTAATGGATGTTCTATTACCAGAGGTCAAAGGTGAAGAGTTTTACTATACCCTGTGTAGTTTGTTTCCAATTTTGCTTCCCAAACTTTCTTTCTCTGATAGATTATAGCAATTTCCATAACACAACACATTTCACCTGTGCATCATAATATTGAAAATTTGCTTAAAACATTTCTTTTAGTGCTAAAACCTACATAAAATATAATTCATAAATTGATAAGTTTTTAAAGTTATTGGTAATATGGAATTTTGTTTTCCATATTTGAAAATTATCCAATACTGAAGCTTATAGATTTTGTTCCTAAACAAGTTTATTCTATTGATTATTTCTACATTATGGATTTTAAGCTGTGGCACAATAATTGGAGAAAGAATTCTGGGATACTGACATATGGGTAAATAGCTATGATGGATCTGCCTCCTTGTTTCTACCTTGTTTTGTTGTTGTTAATGCACAACTGAATTTGTAGGATTTTTAAATCTTCTTAGTCTTCTGCTCCAGGCAATGTTCTTCTTCTCCATTATGTTCATTTTGTGTGATTACAAAAATGTGACAGTACATTTGTCAATTTCCTATATTTTTCATTTCTTACTTTGGGTGTAATTTATGTCTACACTTCGATCCAGGTATACCCTTTAATTACAAATATTTAGCAAATGTTACAAAATGTTAAGAAGTGAGCCTGAGCAACCAGAATGCTGTACCATTCTGCTTTTGAATCTTGAGGAAAGAGTTTGATCAAGTTGAGTTACTTTTCAATGATTTGTTTTATTACATCAAATTAAGAGTGACCTGTTTTTCTCTAAGCCTTTGGAGAAGTTGGACAAATGCAAAAAAAAAAAAAAATCAGAAATCTAGGTGTACTGTGAAGAGTTATTTTAAAAATTATTTGGAGAGTTACAATTTCTCTCCTTAAATGTGCATTTAAAACATGTATTACATCTATAAATATGAGTTTATTATATCTTAGGACCAATTTGTTTTTCCACAGAAGGTAGCTCCAATTTTATGATGGAATTCAAATGAGTATTCTATATTAATGTCATACCTAGGATTTTTTAAAATTAATTCTCAGACAACATTTAGAAACCGACATGAGTCATGTTTATTAGAGGGCAAATCATTGATCAGGATGTGAACTTTTATCAAAGAGTTTTTTAATGAGACTTCCCTTTTTATCATTCAGAAAATATGAGTAGAAAAATTAAGTGATTTTGAAATCCTGGCTTCATATAAAATGAGCTTTTTTGAAAGTCAGAGGGACTCATCTAGCTTGGTGTGGGTAGTCCTAGTTGGTTTGTGTATTTCTTTGTGGTGGTTCTAGACTATTATCAACAAACAATGAATGCCAGCTCAGGCCCCAGCCTTTCCTCATTGCCTGATATTAGGAAAGTCATTTAATTTCTCTATACCTTGGTATCCACATCAATATAAAATGTATTTAGTCATGCCTAACTTTATCATATGAGATTACCGTAACATTTAAATATAATAAGTAAAGACATTCTATAAATGTGAGGAAGGATTATAATTTCAGAATATAACACCAGGCAAAAAACTAAGAGCAACACAAAATTGCTGAAAACTTCCCCCTTCTCTCACAAAATGCGGACACTTAAGTAATCAGCTAAAAAATCAATTTGTAATCTTTTTCTCTTTGTCCACGTATCTTGATGAAAACTGCTACACTTATACCCAGAGCAGAAGGAGGCATGATGCTCCCAATTCTGATCATTGCAATGATGGCAGTTTGAAGGGTCTGGGACCGGGTATACATGAGAAAGACATGGAGGAAGACTGCAGAATTCAGTAGAAAAAAAGCTGTGCAGAAAACCAGGAAAATGCAAACCCAGTAAAATCCGTTTTATGAAATATTGAATAAGCAACTTCAGGGTTCCCTGGTTTGGACAAGGTGGAGTGATTTTCGACTGATACCATCACAAGAGGCTCCATCAACGTAAGTAGAACAGATTTCTTTCTCTCAGATCCAGCTCACATTGTCAATTTCTTTCTCTTGATTGTAGGAACTGTTCACATCAGGTACCATCGCTAGGAGCCATGTAAGAAGCCTCCACTTCCAGGGACAATTTCGTGATCATATAGAAATGTTGCTTTCAGCCCAGACCTTTGTGGGGCAAGTGTTGGTAAGTACATTTTCAGTGTTAGCTTGCTAACAAACTTTAGCCATAGGTGTGATTATAGTCAGCACAAATCAATTGATTCCCTAGGTAAACAACTGACGTTCCTTTGGTCGTCTTATCTATAATATCACCACCTCCCCATCCCCATCTCCTTGTGTCTACCACTCTTTACCCGTTATCTTGCTTTGTTTATCTCTGGAATGAATACGATTACTAATAATTAGATTATATTATTATAATAATTTTATAATATTAATATAAATCATATGATATGTTGTTAATAATGTTATATTATTAATAATGTATAATACATTATCCGTAATAATATGTAATTGTATAGAATATTATATAATTATTAGTAATTATATTCTTACTAATTATAGTTAATTACTAATTATATAATTATATATTTATAAATAGTAATATATATTGACTAATTATATATTTATAATTATATAATTACTAATTATGTATTATAATCATATTTTATATTTATTTTCAGTCTTTCCACTAGGAAGAAAGCTTTGTTAGGGCAATATTTGTGAGCGTTTGGTTCTCCTTATATATGCAGATGGGTGTGCACATAGATATTTTCAAAAAATGTTTAGTAAACTAATCAGACCTGAAATGTATAGCTAGTTTCCTCTCCTTTGATTTCAATAGACTCTTTATTTCATTATGCAAACTAGCCTTTAGTGTCCCTCTATGATATTTATCACTCTACTTCCTATTTTAATCTCGGTAATTTGAATGTATTAAATCTCACTTTGGGCATCATCTTCTCGGGGCATCCTAACCTTACCTCTTTATTAGGCTAAGAGTTCCTCCTCTAGCTTCTTTAATAATCGTTGAGCATTGCTATTAAAATTATCTGTGCACATGCTTGTCTCTCCCAGAGTACAGTGAGCTCCTGTCTAGACTATGTCATGGAAATGTTTATTTCCCATTGTCAGGAAATAGCAGATGCCCTATAAATGAAGATTGCCCTGATCCTCCTTTCAGTAGTGTAGTTTGATCTAAAATATGAAAAGATGAAATTTGTAATTAGGGGTATGCTGCCATCAGTTGGTCTTATGGTGGAAGTAGTTTCATGTGAGCTAAAGATTATCCTCTGTTTTTTATAACTAGCAAAAACATGGCTCTTTTCCAGTTACTGTTTAATTCTGATCTAATAAATTACTAAAGCTTGGTTGGAAGTATTAAGTAAAACTGCTTTCATAAAAGCTGCAGGGAATGTTGAATCATCTGGAAATGTGCCTCTCCTTTTTCTGTCTTCCGAAGTTTTTGATCTCTTTTCCTGAAATCTCTGTGGGTATGACCCATTGAAGAAGGATTTTGTAATTCTCTCTGATGATATCAGGGATTTGTTGGTTAGGATCTCTTCAAATGTTCAAGTCATGTTTGTGTGAGAAACTTTGGGAATAATATATT
The DNA here is from genome assembly GCF_000001405.40 of Homo sapiens. Lineage (NCBI taxonomy): Eukaryota > Metazoa > Chordata > Mammalia > Primates > Hominidae > Homo > Homo sapiens. Next base: position 36,788,854 of record NC_000008.11, read on the forward strand.
AAAGGTCACTAGGGTGAGGGAGAAGGGAACTTACAACATCCATCATATGAGCATTGCATATGGGAAGTGGGTGGGAAAGGAATGATGAAAAATTACATACCAATAAAAATGACTTATTTAATGAAGGGAAACTGTATTATTTTAGCCTATAACAGCTGGTGATTAGCTAGTTGGAACAGCAGGAGGCAAGGAGTAAAGCTTAGATTAGAATAAATGCTCTAGGCCGGGTGCAGTGGCTCATGCCTGTAATCTAGCACTTTGAGAGGCAGAGGCAGGAGAATCGCTTGAGCCTAGGAGATCAAGACCAGCTTGAGCAGCATAGCAAGACCTCACCTCTACAAATAATTTAAAAGTTAACTCAGCGTGTTGGCCTGCACCTGTGGTCCCACCTACTCAGGAGGCTGCGATAGGAGGATCGCTTGAGCCCAGGTGGTCAAGGCTGCAGTGCTGCAGTGAGTTGTGATCATGCCACTGCACTCCAGCCTAGGCGACAGAGAGAGACCCCATCTAAAAAAAAAAACACTCTAGCATGGAAAGGCATAACTGAGTCTCTTAGAGATCCCAAGTACAGTTTTAAGTTCTCTTAAAATGTCTTATAGTTCCTTCCTTCTATCCTTCTTTCCTTCCTTTGTAATTCTTTTACTTCTTTCAACAAATATTTATTGTTTGCCAAGTACATGCTAGGCCAACACTCTAGGTATAGTGGAAAGTTCAAGCAAGAGACTTGCATTTAAGAAACTTAAATTCTAGTGGGGGTAGATACGAAAATTACATACATACATAAATAAGATAAATTCAGATGAGGAATGCCATGAGGGAAATATGAGTGAAGTGTTTGTGAGGTATGGTTGTTACAGAGTAAGATCACAGTGGTGAGAGAAAAAAATCTCTAAAAAGGTAAGATTTGAGCTAAAGCATGATAACAAAGAATAAAGCAATTGAAGAATTAAGGAAATAGAGTTCCAGATTGAGAGAATAGAATTGCGGAGGCAAAGAGCTCCACAAGAGTTTACTGCAAGTACCAGAAGGAGGCTCCTATGCTAGGGACATGGAGGGCAGGGGACAGCGAGGTCTGAGAAGAGACTGGAAAATGGCACAGTGTCTTAAGATTCATAGGGAAGAGCTACAAGACTCAAAGGGAATCACTCTATTCTAAGGTAAAGGGATGTCTGAGATCTTAAAGTATGAGTTGACATGGTCTGATTATATTTTAAGGTTCAAGAGGCACTAAAGGCTGAAAATAAAGGAACTGTCAAAAGTAAGCCAGGAAAATGATGGTAGAAATTAGGAATACAGTTTTAATATCACATAAGCTTAAATTCAACAAAATTCAACCATAACCTTTGAAATGATAAATGTAACAAACCACAAAGAAGATATAACATCATTAACATCACTGCACCAAAAATATAACCTCAAGATATGTAAAACATTAAAAAGTTATTTTGATAAATGAAAAATAATTAAAATTAGTGAACTAAGTATCAAATGCAAAAAGTTAGAGAATAAAAACATTAAATCTAAGCAGAATAAATTTAAAAGATAGTTAGAAATTAATGAATTATAAAACAGCCGATTACTTCAAACAATGAAATAGAGAAATAAATAGCTAGTCTATAAAAAAGGAAAAAAAAAGGAAAAAGTACAACTATATGAAATAAGACATTTAAATGAGAAAATAAGTATAGATAAAAAGGAAATTGAAAATATATATGTAATTAATTTTGAAAACTGGATGATTTCTTATGATAATATGAATTACCAAAACTATCCATAAAAGGAGAAATTTAAACAGACCAAATATCTGGATAAAACAAAGTTGTCAAAGACCCATAATCATCTTCACCACCCTCCCTTTTTGCCCCTTCGATGAGAGACTTGGATGATTTCAAGGACCAGTCTACAAAACCCTCAAGGAATAGATATCTCTAATGCTAATTAAACAGCTCCAGGTCATGGAAAAGAAAGCATTACATTTTCTTTTCCAATGAAGACACAGTACTTATATGAAAATCCCCCCAAATAGCAACTTTTTATATACCCTACAAACTAATGCCCTTAATACTTTGAGGGAGAATACATGGGCAACCACTCAATAGAAGACAAAGAAAAGGAATAAGGAGGAAGAGGAAAATAGGAAGATGGAAAAAAAAAAAAAGGAAAAAGGAGAAAGAGGAAAAGAGGAAGTAGGAACGTGAGAAGGGAACTCCAACAGTCAAATAAAAAGATTCCCTTCAAAAAAGCATGTCCTCTAGAGGTCTTCCTATGTTGTTAATATTAATAGAATATGACAAGGTATTGATCAACTCTGTAGCATCTATGGGTTTGATGTTTAGTGCATCTATGGGTTAGGTGTGTTATATCAACTACCTGCGGAAAAAAATTTTCTTCTAAATTTAGTTCCAAATATGGTTCTATTCTCAAGCAATTATCTTATTTCTTTTTGAGATTTTGTGTGGTTGTTAATTACATAACTGACTGTGTTTCTCTATTGCTTTGTGGCTAGAAAATGTAAAACCAAAATTATGGCTTATTTTTAGCAAATGTATCTATTTTTAACATCATCCTAAGCACTACTGTATGTTCACATTCTGTTTTTCTGGCTTCTCTGGCTTCTTTTTTCTTCAGGTAATCTAGCATTTTGTGTTTTTGTATTCTGCCTTAAATCCTTTCTGTAAATGCATAACCTTTTCTGTGAATGTGTAATCCTCTCTGTAGATAAATTAAGCCCCTAGCAACAACAACAGTTTTCAACCTTAGTATACAGAAGAACTAAGTGCACAAATAAAGCATCATAATTCATTTGGAAATGGGAAAGAATATTTCAAAAACGGTGCCTGGAATGACTAAATTACTTATTTTGCTGTTTTTTGCTCATTTTCCTAATGTAATGCAACCTCTCGGAAAAAAAATGAGAAAAACATAAAACATATTGGAAAAGATCAGTCTCTTCATATTTTATATGCATTGTTTATGTGAAAATAAACCTTTTCCACCACCTTGAGATGAGCTGTATCTTTGTTTTTTTCCACTTCCTTTCCTTATTCCATATTTTATATTGAATATACCATCAAGCATCAAGAATTTATTTTGGTATGTAGCATGAGAATACAGTTTAGAGATCGTTATCCTACAAATAAAGAAAACACTGTCAGGAAACACTACACTATCTTCCTAGAAAATTTTTTGCAGATGATTACCTTGTTTATGTTTTTTTCTACACTGATCATTTACGGATATTATTGTTTATATTTTCATGCACATGATACAGTATTTTAAAAGTACAAAGTAAAAACTAAATTCCTTCCTTACCCCTATCCCCAGAAGCAAGTACCTACTGCCATGAGTTTCTTCCTTCAAAGCTCTGCAAGTTCTCAGCAACATTGTCAGATTTATTTTATTTAGGTGTTCAGGCCACTTAGGATACTCTTCTCCTCCCATAATTGTATCTATAAATAAAAATTTTGAAATAATGTGTTACTTCTGTGGCACTTCTTTGTGGAGAGTAATAAAGTGTATGGCTCGTGAAGCCAGTGGAGGTAAAATTAGATCTGAATTCAAGTTAGTCCATAGATCCTGTCTTCAAATAGGGATAGACCCTGCGAGAAAGGGAAGGATGTCAACAGGTTTCTGAAGGGTCAGCAGGTGGAACAGTTCTCCAACTTTCCTAGGTTCTACTTCCTAACATTGATGAAGCTGCGAACTCCACATGCTCGTTTTCCTTTCCCCCACTACCATTTCACAATCCGTTTTTCAAGAGAGGCACTATCATTACCTGCTTTTTAAATGAGGAAACTGACACATATCTCATAGAAATACAATGTAAAATTTATAAAGTGGGGATGAAAAATGCTGTCTATAGATTTCAATAAATGAGCTAAAATATAAGAATGTGTTAACATTATAATCATTATTATAGTGTTGTCATTATTACACGAGTTAATAAGTGTAAAATATATATAGGTTCTGCATATAATAAGTATATATAGGTATTGTTATTAATATTTGTATAAACAAAATATCTCAGGACTTATATCTATAAACGTAAACCATGACTAATATTGATGTTGAACCCTGTCTCATTCTAACAATAAGTGATATCTATAAATACCTACATTAATTTGAAAAACCCAAATGTGGCACATATACATCATGGAATACTATGCAGCCATAAAAAATGATGAGTTCATGTACTTTGTAGGGACATGGATGAAGCTGGAAACCATAATTCTCAGCAAACTATCACAAGGACAAAAAACCAAACATCGCATGTTCTCACTCATAGGTGGGAACTGAAAAATAAGAACACTTGGACACAGGAAGGGGGACATCACACACAGGGGCCTGTTGTGGGATAGGGGGAGGGGGGAGGGATAGCATTAGGAGATATACCTAATGTAAATGATGAGTTAATGGGTACCACACACCAACGTGGCACATGTATATATATGTAACAAACCTGCACGTTGTGCACATGTACCCTAGAACTTAAAGTATAATAATAAAAAATAAAATAAAATAAAAATAAATAAATAAAAAGAAAAATCCATCTCATGGATGAATTTTTTATAAAATTTTACTTTTCATGTTTTGTAATGATCAGCTTATAATGTTGTTTAATGAAAATTATAATGACAATTCAATCCAGAAAAAAATATATAAAATAATATTTTGAGGCAGATGTCAAGAAATTTAGATTCCTTTTTGGTTTCTTGCACCTATCTTGAGATTTCAAATGTGCTCTCCAATTTTTCCGCTTGTTTATTATTGGAAACAATATTTGTTAGGGGCATTAAGCAGTAATTACTAATCAACATGACATTTTATGTTGTAACTAGGATGATCATAAACACAGATTTCTGCTAGTTGTCCTAGTGTAATTGTTAATAGAGCCTCTTTTATTCTTAAACGTCTATATATGGTCAGGCATAGTGGCTCACGCCTGTAATCCCAGCACTTTGGGAGGCCGAGGCAGGTGGATCATGAGGTCAGGAGTTTGAGACAAGCCTGACCAACATGGTGAAACCCCGTCTCTACTAAATATGCAAAAATTGGCCAGGCATGGTGGTGCTCGCCTGTAATCCCAGCTACTCAGGAGGCTGAGGCAGGAGAATCACTTGAACCTGGGCGGCAGAGGTTGCAATGAGCTGAGATTATGCCACTGCACTCCAGCCTGGGTGACAGAGCGAGACTCTGTCTCTCAAAAAAAAAAAAAAAAAAAAAAGGTCTATATGTTAGGACAATAAATAATATAGTCACCTTTGTTTTAAATGAAAGCAAGTCACAGGTCATTTTCCAAAGAAGAGGAGCCAACAGGGAGAAGACAACTTTGTCTCCTTGATGGCCCCACAGATTAAATTCCAGCTTTGATTAGAAAGAACCTTTTTTTTTTGGTATGCCTCTTTTTCTCTAATTTGCACCTTTCTTCCCCTTTCCTCATGGGTCATGTTCCTACCTTTTGATCTCATTTAGCTTTTTTGGAGATGTATATGTTTCATTAGTCTCATGAAAAAGTAGCTTTATTCATTAATTCTACATACATAAATATATATATAACTCAGTGTGTGAGTACAATTTATACACATACACATATGTATAATTAATATCTTCCTTAGCCTTCTTAATTTTAGTATTTTTTTTCCAATTTATCTTAATTTTCCTTTTCTCCCCCTCTAGTCAGTTATATGAACATATCACATGCTACACAACCAGTTCAGGATGAGCATTTTCTCATAAACTTTTTCTGGTACCCAGACTGCTTCCTCTTACCATCCAAAAGTCCATCCTGGCCAGGCATGGTGGTTCATTCCTATAATCCCATGACTTTGGGAGCCTGAGGCAGTAGAATCACTTGAGTCCAGGAGTTTGAGACCAGCCTGGCAACATAGTGAGACCTCATTTGTACAAAAAATAAAAATATAATTACCCAGGCATGGTGACACACACCTGTGGTCCCAGCTATTTAATTGAGAGGCTGAGGTGGGAGGATTGCCTGAGCCCAGGAGGCTGAGGCTGCAGGGAGCTGAGATTGCACCACCCACTCCAGCCTGGGCAACAGAGCAAAACTGTCTCAACAAAAACAAAAACAAAACAAAACAAAACAAAAACATAAGAAATGAAAGTCCACCCCAAGCTGAAGAAAGAGAAGCCTAGTTGGGCTCTAAATTTCTTGGGAGGAATCCCTAAATCCACGTTTCCTCTTTGCAAGGAGATGGGGCAGGGAGAGCTAATTCTACCCCACAGGGCAAAAAAGGATTAATGGGTAATAAACACATTGCTCAATGGTTCTTGTGAAGCTTGCCCTTTAAAAAGAACATCCTCAGGACAGGTGTTTTCAGTGGCAGTGGCTCACACTGTTAGCTTTGGCAGACGGGCCTGGGCTCCTTCCCCCTGGAGCCTCTATCTGCCTCTGTCACCAGCAGTGACTAGTCTTGGATGTCTCATGCACTTGGCACTTTCTCTTAATCACTGACCCTGATTGCAGATACCCAGCAGCTCTAGCAGTAACCCCCCTCACATCTGGCATCCACATCCATGCCTTGTCCAGGCTGTCAGTAATCATCCCCTTCAAGGCCAGGAAGTGGCTGGTCAACGAGGGGCACAGGGACTTGGTAGAAATGGCCGCCTGGATGGTGTGTACCTGATCCATCCCAGGCTGGCACCCCAGGAAAGTTCCTCAGTGGTTGGTGGAAGGTGATGTGGGGGTTGGGCTGGACACTTGCCCCTTCCTTTGCAGAAGCAGTGTGGTACTTTCCAAACTTCTCCTGTCCATAGTTCCCTGAGTCTGTGTCCTGAAGGATCTGGCTGTACTTGACTTCCTTCTTCCAACATCAAGTTGATGAATTCACTGGACCACTGGATCTTCCAACACAGAACTTGTGTTCTTGGCTGGGGCAGCTTTGATGAGTGTCTTTCTGAGATCCAGCTCATCCTTTGCCCTCTGGATCAGCTTGGCCTTGGGCTTGGGGTAATATTTGTTGTCAGTCTGGGTATCCCTGTATTCAGGACCAGAGTTTCATCATCTCCCTCAACTTAGCCCAGAGGCACAGGACAGCACCACAAGCCCAGGCTAGGTCCCACCATCTTGCACAGCCTTCACCATGGAAACAGCTATCTGGGCTGGCCAAATTTTCCAGCTTCTTGAGTTGAAATTAATTGTATCCGAATTTTTCCTCTGAGTACTTCTTTGGCTATATCTCAGAGACTCTGCAAGTAATGCTCTTATTTTTATTGATGCATAATTCATCTTTTCAGTTGTTTAAATTTTAATTTTGGTTTCTTGTTTGATACATTATCTATTTAGAGAAATGTTGTATGCTTTCACTTTCCTCGAATTGAGGGGTTTTCGATTGGGGATAGAGTGGCTATCTTTTCTACTTTGGTAGAAATTTATGGTCCAAGAATGTCAAAGCTTTTATGATTTCTACTTCACGGAATTTATGGAGAAATTCTTTGTTGCCTAGTACATGATCAATTTTTACTACCATGTAATGGTATTTTGAAAGACTGTCTATTTGATGTATAAGCAATACTAATTATGTTATATGTGTTTTCCATATCCTTAATTATTTGCTGAATGATTGAAAGGGACATGTCAGACAGCTTCATTTATAATTTTTTAGTTTTATTGACTGTCATGTATTTCCAGCAGACTTTGAAAGATATATTCTTATACGATATCCACTGATATACAAAGTCACCTATTGTATCTTCTTGGTTGACAGTGCCTTTCATCAATATGAAATATCCATCTTTGCCAAATTTTGTATTGTTTTTGGCTTTGTTTTGCTTTTGCTGGAATATTTTAGAATGCAATATTAGCATGTAACATTGATCCTCCTGTTTTCATTGTATTCCTACTGGACTAGGATATCTTTGCCCAGCTCTCTTTCAATCTTTCTTTCTTATTTCTTCTTAAGTATGTCTCTTGGAAGTGTCATATAGCTGGATTTTTGTTCTTGTGTTGTATTAAAAATACATTTATTTTTTAATTTGCCAGGAGAATGTAATCATTTTCCTTTATGGTGATCTATTTTATTGGTATTTATATTATAATATTTGGAGATTAAATATACTGCATAATAGAATATCTAAATATTAGTGGCTTAAACAAACAAATGGGAGATCTGTTAGCAAGAAAGAGAGAACAGGTATTGGACACACACTAGGAGCTCTGCTAGGGTCTGAATTTCCTACCTCACCAGAGAGGCAGAACTACATGGTGATTGTGAATTTCAGGAGATTTCGGTTCAAACACTCGCGCCTCCACTTCCTAGTATGTAATCTTGAGTGAGTTAATTTTTCTAAATTGGAATTCATTCACATAATATGAATATAAAGGAGGCTATAATAACACCCATTAGAGTGTTGCAAGGAGAATTCTATCATAATACATGTAAACCACTCAAGGCAGAGTAAGCACTGACCACTGGCTGATATTTACATTTCTACTTTTTTTTTTATTACTTTAATTTATTTTTTGGCATCCTCTAATGTGGATAATTTAATTTTAATAGACTATTATAGGGATTATGTAAATCAAATACAGAACAAACTGTCTGCCCTATATTTCTCTGTGTATCTTTGTGTGTTTGTTATGTCTATATGCTCCTTTTGTATGAGAATAATTGCACGGGAGTTCTGGTAGCATTATACATCTAGCATGATTTCTTCTTAATATTCGCTTTAAAGTTTAAAATTACATTGAAACCTAATTTTATCAGTTTTATTATGTACCAGTTTTTCTTACATAACACACTATTTCTTTCTGAATGTTTCTTCTTTTTTTTTTTTTAAAGAAGTGCCCATATTCATTTGCCATGGGGAAGTGTGGGTAGTATACTTTCTGAATCTTTGAGTGTCCAAAAAAGTTTTTTTCTTGCTCTTACAAGTAAACAACAATGTGGTTGAGTTTAGAATTCTTGGCTTGCAATCTGTTTTTCCTAAAACTCTGTAAAAGCTGCTCCAGTGTTTTCTAGCACTGAGGGCCACATGCCAGGTACTAAGCTATTGTCTAGCAGCTCCCAATGTAGCCTCTCTCCTCTGTTTTGTGAGGCGGGGCCAGAACTCAGCAAGTGTGTCTCTTCTGTAAGCCTGCTCCTAGACTGCCAATAGGGAGTACAAGACGAGGCATGAAGCCTAGAGGTCAGAAAAGGGAACCGTTTGTTGCTTCTGTGTTTCGTGTCTGTTCCTTTCAGTCCCACCTACTCAACAGATTTTTAGTCCAGTTGTTGTACTTGGTTCTTGTTTCCATTTTTTTTTCTTCCAACACTGCCACAAGCAGCTCACAGTGTCTCTGCAGAGGCACAATTACCATCCGTGCTGGACTCCTTCCTCTTAGGTCTTGAGGACTAAGCTCTGATTATTTTATCTTGCCCAAATTCCTATCTAAGGGATGTGGGGAGTCATGCCCTACAAACCATAAATTCTCATCAGATGGGTTTTATTTAACCCTATATATTGTGAGTTACTTTCCAATCTGAATGGCATAACATTATGCCAGAAGAAGAAAGTCAAAATATTTTACCCCAAAACATGTTTATTTGCCATATTTTGAAATGGCCCTGCAAAGCTGTCCTTTGTGGGGGAATATTTGCATCTGTAAAGAATCTCTATTAACATAGCTAGATCTTTTTCTTCCAGGCCTTCCCAATCCTGAAGAACTTAACTAAGAGTCCAGCACATTTTAAAGATCTGAATAGGAGACATTTGTCATCTATTGTCTCTGAGGGCAGCCATCATAAGACTTCAGAAGAACCTTGGTCTCCACAGTCTTTTACCTTAACCTGAACATTTCCTTTCTATCAATCCCAGGTCTCCAGACAAACTCAACCAATTGTCAACCAGAAAATGTTTAAATTTACCTATATCCTGGAAGCTCCCCACCACTGCTTTGAGTCCTGCCTTTCTGGACTAAAGCAATGTATTTCTTAAATGTATTTGATTGCTGTCTCATGCCTCCCTAAAATGTGTAAAACCAAGCTGCACTCTGACCACCTTGGGCACATGTTCTCAGGATCCCCTGAGGGCTGTGTCACGGGCCATGGTCACTCATATTTGGCTCAGAATAAATCTCGTCAAATATTTTACAGAATTTGACTCTTATCGTCGACAGTCTGAATCCCAACTCCAAAGAGCACCTCTTTTAAACTACTAAATTTTGAGAATTCCAACCTCTTTTTTATTGATCCCCCAGGCACCGGGGTGCAGAAGCTCACAGTTAGTTATGCCCGTGTTCCTCTTTCTGCCTTTCTGATCCTCCAATCCTGCTTAATAAATTTTTAAAATTCAATTCTCTTAAAATGACTGGTGTGACTTCTGCTTTCCCTTCCCCATCCTGACTGATACAGATTAGAAAGGAGAATTACAAAGTCAGTCTTACTCTCTTTAGTTTGCAGATAACCCATGTTTTTATATTTTCCAATATAGAAAGGTATAGCGTATCTTCAAAATCTGAAATTTCGCCATGATATGGCTGTGTGTGTGTCTTCTTTCAATGTTTCCTCCCTGACAAGTCTTGGTGGGCCTTTTCGATCTAGACTCAGGTTAGTTTTCAGTTCAGGGAATCATCTTTTGCTTTTTTATTTAGCTATTCTTTTTTTGGGAGGGGGGGCAGGGTAGAAGTGTTTGTCTTATCCTTTTAGAATGCCCATTATAGTTGTTTCCCTTGCATTTAACCTCCCTGCCATTTTTTTTTTTGATGGAGTATCACTCTGCTGTCATCCAGGCTGGAGTGCAGTGGTGCAATCTCGGCTCTCTGCAACCTCTGCCTCCCGGGTTCAATCAATTCTCCTGTCTCAGCCTTCTGAGTAGCTGGGACTACAGGCACACGCCACCACACTTGGCTATTTTTTTTTTTTTGTATTTTTAGTAGAGATGGGGTTTCACCATTTGGTCAGGCTTCTCTTGAACCCCTGACCTCAGGGGATCCTCCTGCCTCGGCCTCCCAAATTGCTGGGATTACAGGCATTAGTCACCGCGCCCAGCCCTTGCACTTTTAATTATAATTTTTATCTCAGGTTTTTGCTTGGTGGTTTTGGAGAATTCCTTTATTCTAGTTCACTTTCATCAGTATCCATTCTGCTATTCAGTACCTCTATTGAGACATTAATTTTGTCAATCACATTCCCTCCTGCCCTAAGACTTCTCTCACTTTCTTATCATTCCTTCTGATTGTAGGCTGCATTTATTTTATCAGTATAATATCCTCTCAAATCTCACTAGAAACTCTAATTGTAACTTTAAAATGCTGAATCGTAACAGATTCTGTGTTAACTCTTTCATGAAAGTCATTCCATATACTTTCTTTGCCTGATCCTCCTGTTTTCCTATACTTCTCATAAAACAGGCACTTATCCATGGTATGTTAATATGCCCAAGGTTTAGAGTACTCCTGGTGCCCCTTTTAAACTGCATTGGATTTTGTTTCTTATCTGAAGACCCCCCACAACTATCCTGTAACTAAACAGGTTTTTTTAGATCCCATTGTGAAAATCAAAGTCCCAGGTTTCTATGTGTTTTCTCATAAAGATAAGCTTGGGGAATAAGGCTGGGGCCAGCAACTCTACAAACAAGGCTCTGTCTGGATGAGGTCTCCACTCTTTCAGTTAATTTTTCTTTGACTTCTTTCTGATGTGCTTCCTAGAAAAAGAGCTGTTGTCACTAGCCAAGAGGTTCCTCCTCTGAGAGTGCTCAGCCTCAGGGTGTCTCCTCTCGGCCACTATTTGGCTGGGTGGCCCCATCTCCAATCCATGGCCTCCATGGCTCAGGTAAAGGGCTTTCTACCTGTCTCTGAACAGCCAGCTCTTCCAGATTTTGCTCCTCCAACCCAATGAAAAATGTACAGCTCTTCTCAGAATTATCTTTCATTCCTACCCGACTCACTGAACAGTGTCAGTCAGAGCCCTGGCATCAGAAAGTAGTCATCTTGCGAGTTGGTAAGAATGACTGACAACAGTATAGGTTTGAAAAAGGAAAGTGTTATTGGAAGGAAAGAAAACTGCAGTAGAGTTCAGCAACGTGCTTCAGCAAAACAGGACTGAGTGTGCACCAATGTGCTTCAACAAAACAGGACTGAGTGTGCAGCAAGGTGCTTCAGCAAAACAGGACTGAGTATGTTGAGATGGATTTTTCCTTAGGGGTGTTTCTGGACCTTAAAGCAGGAGCTTAAGGGAAATTTGAACCATATTAGCCACATGGGTCATCATAAATGATTACATTTGTAGACATTGTGGTGCCTTGATGTCAACAAGGGTTGCGCAATGAGTTTCTACATGCATGCAATCCAGAGATGTATAGAAATTCTAGTTACTTATAAATTTGGGGGAAAGAAACATAGAACCAGATGCCTGCTTTAGATAATAGGAAAGTCTGATTAGTTGTAAATTCCTCAGTTAAGGAGTTTTGAATTTGGATGGTCTGCTTGATGGGCACCAGGTGATCTTTCCTCTCGTTAGTGTCCACAAATCTGTCAGCTCCCAGTGCCTTCTTTTGGTTTTAATATACATTTTGCTGTTGGTTTCCTATGATTTCTGGGTAATAATCTTTGGGTTTGTGGTATTCAATTCTTTGTTTCTATCTTTTTTTTTTCTTTTTAAATGTACTTACATGTTTCTGTTCATTTCCATGGGTTGGGGGGGTTGTAAACGTAAGTAATATATGCCATCATCTTTCCAGAAATCTGTCAATATTTGATTTTTACTTGAACCTTTTATGGGATTTCATAAGAGAAAAAATGTACATAATCATATGTAAAGAAAAGCAAAAGGATTTCCTTAAAATTATTAATAATTATCAATATGCTGCTATTAAATGTATATATGTGTGTATATATACACACACATATATATATCTCCACTCCCAACAACTTTTCTGAGCTTCAGACCACAGTTGCAACTGAATATCTGCATGAAACCGTCAAACTTAGTACTATCTTCATCAACACTTAACCTAGATTTTTAAAATGGAACTTACAGGGCCAAGTGCCGTGGCTCACACCTGTAATCCCAGCACTTGAGAGGTCAAGGCGGGCAGATCGCTTGAGGCCAGGAGTTTAGGACCAGGCTGTCCAACATTGTGAAATCCCGTCTCTACTAAAAATACAAAAATTAGCCAGGTATAGTGGCGAGTGCCTGTAATCCCAGCTACTCCGGAGACTGAGGCAGGAGAATTGCTTGAAACCGGAAGGCGGAGGTTGCAGTGAGCCGAGATTGCGCCACTGCACTGCAGCCTGGGGAAAAGAGCGAAACTCCGTCTCAAAAAAAAAAAAAAAAAAAAAAAAGGAACTTACGATAAGAGCTGAGACCCCAACACTACCACTTACAAAGCTCTTGAAAGAAAACCAGTTGAAGCTCCTAGCCTCTTACCCAATCACTTGTAAACTAGGGTCAATTTGAAATAGAAGAGCGTTTTTGGAAGGAGCTCTGCTGTTGGAGAAATGTCAGGGTACTTTCCTCTCATCTCAAACTTAGGACAGGAAGCTGAATAGGGACCACTCAGAAATCTCAGTTTGCCTTCCTTGGAACTTTGGGAGCACAGAGGACGGGTCTGTGGCTACTTTGTGGCTCATTGTTGGCTAGCTGCTTTGTGTCAGACGAGTTGCCACCCAGGACATAATCTGTCCCTTCCAGTGTTTGTTGGAACAAAGAAACCTTAAGAGTTTCCATGTGCCAGACGTGAATCACATGGGAGAGACTTCTATAACCAGCTGAATGGGGAATCTGGGAGGATAATAGTTCCAGCAGAAAATAGGAGGGTGAGAAGTAGTGAGAGAAGAGTGGCCGTGAGAGAACAGGCTTCACCGAAATCAAGGGAACCGCAAATGGGATGCTTAGCCATTAAATATCAAAAAGATTGTCTTTCCTCTTCCCCTTCCCCTGGCATTTTCCCCCTTTATTTTGCTTTGTTTTATTTTCAAAGTATTTCACTTCTAACATATCAGATGATTTGCATATTAATTATCTTCATTTGTCATCCAGGCTGTGATGTCAATGTGGGGGCAGGGATCTTTGTGTATATTGATCACTGATGAACAGAAGAGTACTTGGGTCACAAGAGGAGCTAGAGAAATGTTTGTGGAATTTGAACATGAATTCAGTTGGAATCTCCAAAGAACAATGGGACCACCCATGAAAGTAAACATTAAAGACCTTTCATGCCCAGAGAGCCGCAGGGTGTGAGCATCATGATCTAACACCAGTCAGAGAAGCAAGTTCCTTCTCTGATCTCCCCTTTCTGATCCCTCCCCACATGGAGCTACAATTCTGCAGAGGTCAGAGGTAGCCTAGTCAGCAGAATCTAGGAATAAAAACCTAGAAATGGTTAATAGAGATGAAACTGAGTCCTTTCACAATATACGTAGCCCACTCAAGGAATATCTGAGCTAAAATAAAGAGAAGATTTAATCCTAAATGAAATCCAGAGTTTCATTATTAGAATTACACTGGACTGAACATGTTCAAAAGCTGGATGGTTGGAAACTAGAAATAACTGGAGGAATGTTAAATTACCTAAAATTAACCTCAAATATCATGAAAGCTGCCAAAGATTTTATCCAAACACCCCCAGGGCTTTTAATGGACAGTTTCCAATTGCATTCCCCGAGATACCCTATTTTACAGAGGCACTGGCATGGTAAAAAAAATCACCTTCTTCTCACTTGTAGCATTTCCCCTACTGTGAAAATTCTGGCTATCCTTTAGGGAACACATGTCTGGAATTTTTTCTATAATATAACCAACAATTCAAATCCAGGGTCTATTTCCAATAACCCCTTCTTTTCTAGCATGTGATAAATTGCATAAAGCCTATTAAGCACTTAATAGATGTTTGATGAGTGAATAAGTGATCACAGGAAAGGACATCTTGAGATCAAAGATTAAAAGCCTCTAGAAGCAGCAGGAAGGACAAACTGTGTATTCTGAAGTGTGCGCAAGTTAAAATTAGATAAGTAAAATGGGTACATATTCATTTTTTTAATACTCAGAAAAGGTCCAATCAAGTTGGACCTTGAATCGATAAACAGATGAATGAATGAATGAATACTAACATAAGTGAATATGTGAATAAATGGCTACACGTACACAGGCATGGTAAAAAGAGAAAACACACTTTTGTCGATTTATTTAATGCAAATGAAGTGGATTTAGACATTTGTCCCTGTTTTTCATTTTCAGGTGATCCTTGTCTTTGTACTAAGCATTGGGTCTCTTATAATCTATTTCATCAATTCTGCTGAGTGAGTACAATGTCCAGTCACACTTGTCTGCTATATCAGTACATTGCTCGGCTAATTTGGAATTTTCTCCTCAGGAATAATGCTTAATATACTTTCACACACACATGCACGCACACACACAAACTCATAAAAAGTGATATGTTTGGCTTCTCCCAGTAAGCACTAAGCCCAGCTCTGCAAAATATACAAGAGTTTCCTTGTATCCTGCCACTTTCCACTGCTAGGGGTCAGGGTGGTCTGCAACCCCCACCCGAGATTTACTCTGGAGTCTCTGGGACACCAGCCTTCAGCTTTCTTTCCCTCACTTAGGCCACTCATGAAGGTTTTATATGTCTTTGGTTTCCTTAGATTTGGAGCAGAAACGCTGTCGTAGTTTCAGGGTTTCTCATAGGTTTCAAGCAACTTCGGATGGTATTGAGAAAGGAAAATGCCAGCCCTCACCTGTGACAAAGAAGCAAATTGTTGCCTGCTGTCCTCTGAAAGCATCCCCTCCTTATTTTTCAGGGTTAGGGCAGCTATTTTGGACAAAGCCCAATCTAATCTGAATTCCATGTCAATCACTTGGGAATTATATTGGATTTCTAGCTAAAATGGAATTGGGATTGCAGGGCCACAGAAAGCCAAGCAACTTTAGAGAACCTAGGGAAACTGGTTGTCTTTGCATTGTGAATTCCTAAGAGATCTTTTAGGAGATTTTCTTTGAAATTGGTTCAGATCAATCCATTTGATCTAGAGTATCTCTGTATCAGAAGAGAATTAATTCAAAATATACTGACTAGATAGATGATCTTGCAAACCAAGAAGAGCCTCATCATCTCTCTGGCTCTGAATCCCCATTGTTAAAATGGAAATAGAACCAATACATCCTACAAAACAAATTATGGGTAATTTTCCTCTTATTTCCAGTGCTATTGGCAGTCCACTGGTTTTGTTCATGCATTCCTCTACTCCCAAGAGAAAAGTTAATTTCCTTGAGATCTTAACTTAAGTGTCTGGATTCATGGTGAATAAAGAAAAATTTTCCTATTCTTTCCCTTTAGTTGGTCTTATATAGACACCACTTTAAAAATGTTGATCTTCACAAACTGTCCTTCTTTCTTTTCCAGCCCTGTTGGAAGCTGTTCATCATATGAAGACAAAACCATTCCTATTGATTTGGTTTTCAATGCTTTCTTTAGTTTCTATTTTGGATTGAGGGTAAGTACCTATTGAAAGTGGGAGTGAATATCCAAACACCACAGGCACAACATACAGAGAACTAACTGTGTCTCAGTCCTACAATCTGCCCGAGTTTTCAACTCTAAAGATAGCTAATCTGTGCCCTAACTTGTTAAATATATACTGATCCCTAAAAACTCTCTCTCCTGCACGTGAAACGCTAAACCAGGTTAAAAGTTCCAACACAACACGAAAGTAATTCTTTTGTTAAATGCCATCATCGTGTTCCCATGGCCTCCTTACTGGCTTCCCATCTTTACTAATAATGACAAGCGAGCAGAACTTGAGTAGCAAGTCTCTGGAGATGTCCTTAGCTCCACTGGTGGCATGCCTGCAATACAACTGTGGAAAATAACTTTGTATCTTTGTTTCATTTTGTTACACTCATTTGTTAAATATTTCTCTCACTTTAGAGGTATTTATTAAGACCTGTTCTAGATCTAGATTTCAATCTCTTCATTTCTTGTTTGTGGGAGACTAATGTGTGTATATAAAATATACACATATATGTATGTATATATAGGCATGCTATATATAAAAACATCTTATTTTTTTTAGACATGGTCTTGCTTTGTCACCTAGGCTGCAGTACAGTGAAGCGTTCTTGGCTCACTGCAACCTCTACCTCCCAGGTTCCAGTGGTTCTCCTGCTTCGGCCTCCTGGGTAGCTGGGATTACAGGCAGCTGCAACCACGTGCAGCTAATCTTTATATTTTTGGTAGAGATGGGGTTTCGCCATATTGGTCAGGCTGGTCTCAAACTCCTGACCTCAAGCTATCTGCCTGCCTTGGCCTCCCAAAGCATCCACATAGCATATAAATATATGTGTCTGTGTATATGTAAAATAGAAGGAGATCAAGGCTTCAGCTGATAAGTAAAATGCAGCTGAATAATGCTATCTAGTGTTCACTTAAAATTCTTGAGGGTAACAGAATTTGTGTTATTCTGTTTCTATTTCATAGTTTATGGCAGCTGATGACAAGATCAAGTTCTGGCTGGAGATGAATTCAATCGTAGACATCTTTACCATCCCACCAACCTTTATTTCTTATTATTTGAAGAGCAATTGGCTAGGTAAGTGTGCTCTGGGAACGGGTAGCAATATCTATGAATAAAATAAAAACTCAACATTCATTTGTAAGTATCTATTTTTCATTTGTTCTTAATGCCTGACTGTCATTTTAAAAACCTCTCACCTTAATAGTATGGTTTTGTCATACACTTGCAGAAACCTTTTGACTTTAACACTTAGCAATGCAGCAGGCACACAGTAGGTGTTCAATAGTTGTTGATAGAATTGACTGCATTTGTAATGTGAGAGGCAAGACTCCAATATCTCATTCCCCTGGTAGCACCTTTATGCTGGGATCCCACAGGAGCTGGGGGAGATGAAAAACCTCCCTTTGTCATTAAAAGCTAATCATCATCTCCATATGTGCTATGGCATTTTAGATAATTATTTAATTAGTTGTTTTGTCTTTAAGGTGAATGTGTTGACAGTGCATGGACATTATGTAGCTTTTATCAGTTTCGTGTAATTTTATTGTATGATTTATTATCTATAAAATAAATATGAATTCCATTCCTTGCTAATGTTATTATCATACCACCTAAAGTAAAACATCATACAAACATTGTGAAGCATATCATAGAGATTGTATAGTCAGGAGTTTAAGTAGTTAAGGGAAATTTTGCTCTCCGTTCTAAAGAAGAGTTAAATAGAGTAAAATGAATAGTCCCCATAATATGTGAGGCATGCTTCTACATGCTTGATATGGATGCTACAACTCTGTGAGGTTGGTACTATTATAATAGTACCATTTTACATTTTACATTCCCATCTTACAGATAAGGAACTAGAGAAGGCGAGGGGATTGCCTTAGGTTACAACAGCGTCAGGGCTAGTATTTGAACTACAGCTTATGCTGTTAAGCCTATAACATGAGAATAGATTTGGAACACGTCTAGAAGAAAAAGAATGTAAGTGATTCCAATGCTGTTATAACGTAGGCTCCCTCTGGAGTGACCCTCTGATTTTGGCAGCTTTCTCCTTTCCATTGGTTTGTAGGTTTAAGGTTCCTAAGAGCCTTGCGCCTGCTAGAACTCCCTCAAATCTTGCAAATTCTACGAGCCATCAAGACCAGGTAAATAGCCCTGACCGAAGTACTGCTTACTTATTAGTTTGGATTAGAAAATGAATGTATTAACTGGACCCTAAACTCAATGCATTTCTTATCAGAATTTCAGTGCAAAGATCATGAAATCTCTCAGCTGCCAAAATATTATTTGTTCACATTCTCCCATTATATTACATCTTACACTAGCTGAAAACTTTGCAATCATTTTAAAGAGCTGGTTTAGTCTTTGTTTTTTAAGCTATGGTGTATAAGTTTATTTAGGTTTTAATTCTAGGTCCCTCCACCAAAAAAAAAAAAAAAAGTCAAAGCAATTCAGAGGCATTGGTTCTATATATTTGCTTTAGTAACTCATGTCTCTCCTGGCTAGGTAAAAAAAAAAGAAACACTTCTTCAGGCATTGGAATGTAAGACAATTCCTCGAAGCATACATTACCCAGCAGCAGCAAGCAGTGAACTATTGCTTGCAGAAATATAGCCACCTAAGTATTTCCAGACAATAAGAACACAATCCAAACTAGCTTTGAGCAGCAATACTTGTAAAATTTTGAGCAGTTTGGTCTGTTACCCAGTCAAAATCTCCATGCCTTGACAGTCAAACTAGAAGCATCAAATATTAGAGGCCAGGTGGATTTCACTGCTACGTGTTTATGAATTATGGAGAAGCTGGAGGAGGAAAGCCTGGTCCTGTGTGACGGGTGGTCCTGCCTGAAAACCAGAGAGATCTCAGCTAAGCTCTAGGGCTCTCCTTAGGTGACAAGGGCCCCTCTGATCTTTCTTCACTTAAAGACCTTGTTATCAGTCCAGCAGTCTGTGTGACTTTATATTTTTGTGTTCTGTTCAGAATTTTATTTTGCAAATCTGCTCCCTGGATTTCTACCCCTTGGATTCCTAGCATAATGAATTGTATATTATTATATCGGACAATATAACAATCTCTATGATCCACATGTAGATATTTTAAAAAGTGATATGAGGCTAGTGGATATCGCAGCAAAAGTCAAACTTCCCAAACAAGTATATGTGACTGGGCGAGTTTCAGAGCTGTGTTTCTCAACCTCTAATGTGTATATGAATCAAGCAGAGAATCTTGTACCAATGCAGATTGGGAGATCGGGGCAGGGACTGGGATGCTGCATTTCGAATATGTTTTCGGGTAATGCCGTTCCTTCTGGTCCATGAGCCACACTTTGTGTAGCAACATCTTAGAGGATGAGGTGTTTGTGTTGTTCTGGAATCTGTTAGACCCAACAGCTCTTTGTCTCTCTTCCTCTAGTAACTCAGTGAAGTTTTCCAAACTGCTGTCAATAATTCTCAGTACCTGGTTCACAGCTGCGGGATTCATTCACCTGGTAAGCATCTCATCACAATCCCTAGTGGTGTCTGTTGTTACCAGCATCCATTTTTTGAAAAATGGAAGGGAACCTGCTGAGCCCCTGTCTCCATCACTGTAAGCCAGTTGGAGGTGTGTCTTTCTACTTCCCATTTTCAGGTTTTCTTTACCCTCATATTCTCACAAATATGCATCTCCTACAATCAAGGTGTCTCTGTTCCCTCTTCCAACTTTCAAAACCTACTCTTAAGGAAAGACCTAGTAAGCTCCAAAGGTATCAGCAATAGGTAAAATGTATCACTATATCTTATAAGGGTTCTAGCATTAAAAAAAGATTAAAAAGTGAAGGAAATGAAGCCAGTTACAGGATTTCAGACTTATAAATGCTGGAGACTTATGAGGGAGGATTTACTGTTGCAAAGGGGAGTTTGGGGGCTTTCTTGATCCTCCTGAAATCAATCTGTACACCTAGCTGCCTCCTTTGCCTGTAGGAAAGTCTGGTTCTTATCCCACATAATGAGAAATCTAGGAAATGGATCTCAGCTATAGGAAAGGAACTCCTGGACTTTACTTCTTGAGGACAGTTGAAGAGCAGTCATTAGCAAATACAGAAATTGATGGGAGATGTTAAAAGCCCGCAAAAGCCTTTGAGATAAACAAAACAGAATGCATAACAGGTCTTTTTTATCTGAGCCCTTCTCTCAAAATTAATATAAAACAATAACAATTTAAAAATCCATTAAAAAGTTACCATTGTTCAATTCAACAAGAAAAATGTCAAATGCAAACAAGGATATGAACCTTCAAGAAATCTGAAGCTCTCTACATCCTCCTCAGCACTCAGGAAGGAGAGAGATTTTCCTGAAGTGTCACAGCAGTAAAGGCTGATTCCTAGATTTAGAGAATTGAACCTTAGAGTCCTGGGCCCACCAGGGGATAAGCAGACATTAGTGTCCCTGTAGAAACCTCGTGGCCACCACAGGATGCTAAAGGAAAAGTCATTAGGACTTTTTTTTCTTTTTCCTTTAATAGCTGTTTCAATGAGGGGCTCAAAGGCTTAATGTGGCCTACAAGCATATTACTATATTTGACCTAATTATGTTTTCACTTTTTGTTTGCTATTTTTTGTCACTCGCTGACTTTTATGAAGAGCTCATATAAAAATCAGAATTTCTGAATTCTTTGGGAAAATATAAGGTTCTAATAATCCCACTCTCCCAAGGCCACCAACAGCCATAGCTGAAGAATAGCTTCGGATCACGAGGTCGAGAGATCAAGACCATCCTGGCCAACATGGTGAAATCCTGTCTCTACTAAAAATACAAAAATTAGCCAGACGTGGTGGCATGCGTCTGTAGTTCCAGCTACTTGGAAGGCTGAGGCAGGAGAATTGCTTGAACTTGGGAGGGACAGGTTGCAGTGAGCTGAGATTGCACCACTGCACTCCAGCCTGGTGACAGAGCAAGACTCCATCTCAAAAAAAAAAAAAAGTAGCTTCTCCCTATAGCTTCTCCCTATGTACAGCAGGTGCTCTTGGGTTTAACACAGTCTCTGCCAGGCCTACTTGAAATCATTATAGTCTTGCTCCACTCCTCTAAGGATGTGAGCATGTTTCCCTGCTGGACATCTGGTCTCCCAGGAAAGGAGACCTCCAGCAAGGAAGTAAGCACAGAAAAAAGGAGAAACAATCAGATGGCGTGTGAATTAGACAGTGCCACTTTGAGCCATACCAGTTTCTAGAATATTAAAAACCTAGAAAAGCTATATCCCAGAGAAAAGAAAATAGCAGATTTTATTGAGGGGATATTTGCAAAGACAAGCCAAAATAAAAGCTATGGTTGCCCTAACTCACCATCTTCCCATTCTCACACTATCCTTCAGCTAAATG
This sequence comes from Homo sapiens, assembly GCF_000001405.40. Lineage (NCBI taxonomy): Eukaryota > Metazoa > Chordata > Mammalia > Primates > Hominidae > Homo > Homo sapiens. The sequence continues at coordinate 36,810,663 of NC_000008.11, forward strand.
ATGATATCATTCAAAGACGAGTATTAACTAGAAAGGAATCAATATGGCACCTGTGCCTAAATTCTGCTAAAAATAACAAGAAGGTGTGTTGGAAAGCAGAGAAACATTAGCATTATAGAAGTTACAAAATAAAACAGTTATGAGAGCAACAATTAAGATAATTTGCCCAAGGGAACAAAGGAAAAGTTAAGAAAAAATGTCCTTTATATTTAAAAAATAAAAATAAGATTTTAGAAAAACTGGAAATGATCCTTCATAGAATATTTATACGGTTTGAACCAAGGGATTATTAAACAATAGAAGTAATTGAAAGTGGGCCAAAAGATATCAGAGAAAAATAAGAAGAAGTGTATTACAGACCTGAAAACCAAATTAGAGGGAAGCAAAATGTAACAAATTTGACAAAATCACATTCAGAAACATGGTGGACAGGACTGGAGCAAAAATCTTGACATGGAAAATAAAGATACTCAAATGTTTGTAAAGAAGAAACATGAAAGGACAATATTGATTCAACCTACTGTAAATATCATTAGGGTATTACAGAAAATAGCACAATAAATGGCACCAGAAAGATGTTTTAAAACAAGGTGTTGAACCTGTAGATTAAAGGATAGACTGTATTCCATGAAACATAATTCAAAATTATTAATTCTAATCATATATTGGAGCAGTTACGGACGTCCTGGGATAAAAAAGATAATCCAAGCAGAACAAAACAGGGTCTATACAGGGGGGAACCAATGAGACTAGCTTCAAGTTTCTTGACAACATTGGTCAATACCAGAAGATGATACAGCAGTGTCCATAAAGTTTGCATAAAAGAAAGTGTAACCTGTCCTGTCATTTTAAGCATGCAAGGGGAAATGCACCAGTGAGCTTCTTTTGAATCTGTATTAATAGCTTAATGATAAAATTCAGCCACACAGGAGATTAATGTAAAGAGAATTCAAGAATGGGGAAGCCATGGTAAGAAGTAGTGGTAGTGGCTGGGCACGGTGGCTCACGCTTTTAATCTCAGCACTTTGGGAGGCCAGGGGAGGCACATCATTGGAGGTCAGGGGTTCGAGACCAGCCTGGCCAACATGGCGAAACCTCATCTCTACTAAAAATAGAAAAATTAGTCGAGCATGATGGCAGGTGCCTATAAACCCAGCTACTTGGGAGGCTGAGCCAGGTGCATCACTGGAGGGCAGGAGTTCGAGACCAGCCTGGCTAATGAAACCTCATCTCTACTAAAAATATAAAAAAATTAGCTGGGCATGGTGGCATGCACCTGTAATCCCAGCTACTCTAGAGGCTGAGGCAGGAGAATCACTTGAATCCGAGAGGCAGAGGTTGCAGTGAGCTGAGATCATGTCACTGCACTCCAGCCTGGGTGACAGAGTGAGAATCCATCTCAAAAAACAAACAACAAAAAAACTCTGATATTTTGGTCAGGCCCCTTGGCTCATGCCTGTAATCCCAGCACTTTGGGAGGCCAAGGAGGGGCGGATCTCCCGAGGTTGGGAGTTCGAGACCAGCCTAGCCGACATGGGGAAAACCTGTCTCTACTAAAAATAGAAAAATTAGTCAGGTGTGGTGGCAGGCACCTGCAATCCCAGCTACTCAGGAGGCTGAGGCAAGAGAATTGCTTGAGCCCAGGAGGTGGAGGTTGCAGTGGGCTGAGATCATACCACTGCACTCCAGCCTGAGTGACAGAGCAAGACTCCTCTCAAAAAAAAAAAAAAAAAAAGTAGTGGTAATGATTACTGAATGGATAAAAAATAGAGCTAAGACATAACCAAGGTAATTATCACTACAGACTAGAATGTAGATGCACAAATAAAAGTAATATAGCTAATATAAATGTTGATGGACAGGTAAGGGGAGAAGATAGAGTGTCCTCATATTTTTCTTCTTAGTGTATCTTATCTAAAGTTGAAACAAAGTTTAAAATAATAAGAATTCAGTTTTGAAATATGGAGTTAAAATAGATAATGATTCAGTCTGTTAACATTAGTCCATAATACTTTACCTTAACTATATTTCCCACCTTGGACTGATGGGTCAATGTAACATGGTTAAGAGGAAGAACAGTGTGAATAAGTGGACCCACAGAAGGCTGCCATCTCCCTTCCTCCATAAACTAAAGAGATACTGAGAAAGTGGAAAGGGATTTGAAACACCAAATTATTACTCATAAGGGCAGTGAGTTAAATTTTAAAGCGTTCTTTAAAAAATTATAAAGGATATCTCCAGTTTAAAATAAATTTAGTTTTACTTTGTACATGTTGTGCAGGGATAATATTGAATCCCTGTACTACAACATTGTAAAAGACACTATGGGATTTTAGCTTAAAGGGAACCGTGCCAGTAAATATGAATGATTTAAATCTGTGTGACTTAAATTTGGTTTTCTTGTAATGTATGTCTTGGAAAACAGTGAAGACTCCAGAAGTCAGTGACTTTGCAACAGTATCCGCTATCAGCCATAAGACTTAAGAACAGACATATAATCCCATTCTTACTTTGGAGTGGAGTATTATAGGGGTCCACACTCTTAACCTATTCATTAAATTTAAGAAAGGATCAGCACTTGGCACATCACTTTTAAAAAGGGAACAAATATCTGAGCAAACTGCATGGTTTCTAATTTCCATCCTAGTTCTTAAAAACAAAACAAAAAGCCCACTTCCCCCAGTCAGACATCTCTAAGATTTTATCATCTTTTGTGCTAAATAGAAATGGAAAACATCTAGAAAATATGTGAGCTGAGGAGAAAAAAAGGTCTAAAAGAAAAAACAAAGAAATAAATATTTTATTATAAACTATACATGTATAAATGTATGTTATATATAATATATTATGTTACACAATATTTTACATATATTTATAAAAAATTTATATATGATATAAATGTCTAAGTTACCTCATTTATCTAATATTAAAAATCTGATAAATCTAGTTTTCTTGAAAGGTGAAGACTCAAAGAAAAAATCAGAGGAAAATATTTTTAAAGGTTTTTTTAAAAAAAAAATCACTGAAAAGACGATTGTGCAAAGAGGAAAATAACTTGGAAAATTGGTTTGTTTTTCTGTAGACACTAGCATTCTATGTGCTTAAGCTCACTGAAATGAAGTGCTCATTTAAGTGCTTCTTTCCTTAATGATAATCCTAATCTAGTTAAAAAGTGAGAATATGTCATAATTGCTCAGTCTGAGGCCTTTGGAGTACCCTGGCTCCAGGATGCAATGCTTGTGCCCACTTGAAAAGAGAGCCCAGAGGCATCTGTCCCCGGTGGAGCTTTTCAAATGCTGTGCTGCAGCTACAAGCCCCCTCAGATTTCGGCAATGATCACGATTAAGGAAACCAAGACTTTACACTCACTACCCATGATTTACAAACTCTTCCATTTATGTAAACTCTTCATAGCAACCTGAAAGCCATTTGGTATTTCATTTGGATTGAATGAAGTGCAATTAATCTAATGTTTTGCCTATTCTTTAAAAATCTTCTCTTGGATTCTATTCAGATGTTTCCTGAGTCTTCTCTCTTTGGACAGGTGGAAAATTCTGGTGATCCCTGGCTCAAAGGTAGAAATTCACAGAATATATCATATTTTGAGTCAATTTACCTGGTCATGGCAACAACGTCAACCGTTGGATTTGGAGATGTGGTAGCCAAGACATCCTTAGGACGGACCTTCATCATGTTCTTCACACTGGGGAGTTTGGTGAAGAATATTTTTAATATATTTTGAATATAGCTACATAAACCAGAAATATTTGGTTAATGGTAATCAATGAAACAATATAGGTTTAAGAGTGAATGTTGCATTACTTGGGGCACATGTCAAGGGCAAATGAAAACATGCACAGATCCCATGTTTTCCAAACTGCATCCCCTGGAGCTCAGGATAAAATTGCTTGGTTTCCAGGGATGAAGGATAGTAGGCAAAGGAAGCAGACTTTCCTTATTAAGCTCTACATTGATTTGAGAAAACCTATCTTCCTTCATAGTTTGCCCATCAACTTAAAGTCTTTCTTCTAAAGAGGAAGGATATTTGAGATTTGATCTGAAGAAAATTCCATTCCTCCCAGCTCAAATGAGTAACCTTTCACTAAAACAGCATTTAACTTTAGAGATATGAACATCTGTGCCTGGCTTACGAATGTAGCAAAGGCAAAAGCCTTCTTTTCTTTTAGTGACTTTCATTTCAATTCCTTAAAAACCACAACAGAGTTCTCCACTCCACTTTTTTGATATCTACCCATCCACGGTCTCACATCCCTTTTTTTCAGTCATTGTCTCTTAACCCTCCTCTGTCCCATATGCTTTCATTTTTCCAAGCCCCAAATAGAATAAAGTCAGAGTGAGACGGGAAGTTAGAAGCGATAAAAAGAGGGCCAGGCACAGTTGCTCAGGCCTGCAATCCCAGCATTTTGTGAGGCCAAGGCAGGCGGATTACCTGAGGTCAGGAGTTCGAGACCAGCCTGGCCAACATGGAGGCATTCCATCTCTACTAAAAATATAAAAATCAGTCAGGCATGGTGGCAGGCACCTGTAGTCCCAGCCACTTGGGAGGCTGAGGCAGGAGAATCCCTTGAACCTGGAGGCAGAGGTTGCACCCCAGCCCGGGAGACAGACAGAGACTCTGTCTCAAAAACAAAAACAAAAACAAAAGTGATGAAAGGATAAGACATGTGGGGAAATCACCTTGCTGCTGTCCTTTGCTTTCATCATTTTGAATACAGAAAAGCCTTATATTAAATTTTAACAAAATTCAAAGGCTGAAATAAGGAAGAAAAACGAGGTCCCTTTAACATGCTATCATGTGCTCTTAGATGACAGAAAGTTTTATGTACCCTCCTTTTCCTTTCTAATCTTGAAATTTTTGGAGTATCCATCAAAATAATGAGAACTAAGGTTTTATTTTGCTGATCAATTTTAGATATTATTTGCGAACTATATACCTGAAATGGTGGAACTGTTTGCTAACAAGAGGAAATACACCAGTTCCTATGAAGCACTCAAAGGAAAGAAGTAAGTAGTGTTTTAAGTATAATTTCTACAGTTTAAGAAATTCTATTAGCCATATATCTCGTTCTAGACATCTATTGTCTGGCTTAGCTGTAGAACCCAAGGTGAATATATCAGCAACATCCCGTATTCACTAAAAAGGACTGTGCTAAACTAAATACCGTAAGAAAATGATATTTGCTACTTGACCCAAACCACTACATAGATGCTCATAAGAAAACTAAATCAACTAAAATGACAGATAATGTTGTAATTCACTGTCAATAAATATTACTGATTATGGCACTATTTGTACATTCCTTTCCACTAACTTCTCCTATAGCCATTACCAATTGTCTTACTCATTTTCCTTGTATGGGTAACTTATGGCTAACTTTACATAATGGATCGGATTAAAGCCATGATTCCAATTTAAAATAATTTAGTTCAGTTGTCTTAGCCAAAGCTCCCCTAAACCATCGGGGGCTCATTTACGGATGAGGATTTGCCAGCATGAGAAGTTTCTACCCTGTCTTCTATAGCGCCTCCTAGATGACTGATTTTTTTTCCTTGCCACAGCCATGTGTTCCCAGGAGGAAAATGGAGTGGAGTTGTTTTTATATTATTTCTTCTTGGATTCATGTTACCTTAGCTTCCATTAGGTTTTTTTTTCCCATCTAAGACAAAAAGAATGAAATGGAGATCTTAAATTAGATGTGATCCTTTTAAAAACTTAATCCCTGTCTGCTGTAATGAAAGAGGCATAATGGAGATAGGCTCCCTGAAAGCAGTCTCTTAATACAGTTGGATGAAAACTTTAATTGACCTGGGACTATGAAGAGGAAAGGAAAAATATGATGAAATGAACAAAAGATAAATAATGAGAAGCAGTGAATTTAACTAGATAAGCCAAAATCTGGCCTCATTTGTCTCAGGAAAGGCCTATGGGGCACATACTAAATCAGTCAATAGGTCTGGGAACTTTAATGTTAACTTAGGCTAAAATTATGTTTTCAGTTTTCTTCAATGGCTAATAGGAGGAAAATAGCTCCTTTAAATGCGTTAAACGTAAGAAAATTTTTCATGACAAAAACTATATGCATAGAGTTCTGCACCTGTCTTCAATGTCCCTCCACTGGGCTCATGTTTTTGTAACTACTAGATATTCGTAAATGTGGAAGATAAGCTGAAACAATCTGGAATGTGGTGCTTTCTCAGCCATGATATTTGGGTGAGAAATGGAAAAATTGATGAACTTTTCTGCTCCTCAAGAAAAAAACAAACAACAACAACAACAACAACAAAAAACCCTCTCTCAGACAACTAGGAATTAAGTGAAAAAATAAGTTAAAAATCTATTATAAGTTATAAATAAATGTGAAAAATCTAGCAATAGTAATAGTTGCTCTTGTACTCTTAAAAAGCTGGGTGCAATTTAAATGTTTGGCTTCATATTCTACTTGAGATGAGATAGAAGACTGTGGATATCTGATGCTTCTTTTGTATTAGAAATGCAGTCCTTAGTGTTTCAATGTTTAAAATCTGGGTGATGCAGGCCAGGCACAGTGGCTCGTGCCTGTAATCCCAGCATTTTGGGAGGCTGAGGTGGGCGGATCACCTGAGGTCGGGAGTTCAAGACCAGCCTGACCAACATGGAGAAATCCCATCTACTAAAAAAATACAAAATTAGCTGGGCGTGGTGGCGCATGCCTTTAATCCCAGCTACTTGGGAGGCTGAGGCAGGAGAATCATTTAAACCCAGGAGGCAGATGTTGCAGTGAGCTGAGATCACACCATTGCACTCCAGCCTGGGCAGCAAGAGCAAAACTCCATCTCAAAAAAAAAAAAAAAAAAAAAAAAAATCTGGGTGATGCAAATACCATATTTATTGGAAACTAAGTTTAAGCCAATTATTTATCTCTAAATGCTGACAGGAAGGTGCTTATGTGCCTCGGATGATCCACCTCACCTGTTTTTGCTGCCTAGGTTTATTGTGGTCTGTGGAAACATCACTGTGGACAGTGTGACCGCTTTCCTGAGGAATTTCCTCCGCGACAAGTCAGGAGAGATCAACACTGAAATTGTTTTCCTGGGAGAGTAAGTATATCTGTATGGCTCATGGGTTCTAAATTAATACTTAAAATACGTGTGAATATTTTTAATGCAAGAAAATTACCTTCACAATATTTATAGAAAAAGTAGGTATTGATCATAAACAAAACAAAAAAGAAAAGAAATCTTTGACCAAGCTAATCTCTGCAAATATTTTGGAATATATCTTGTCAGATGTTTTTCTGCATAGGTACTAATATGATTTAAGTGATTATCATTTGGCATTTAGGTTACTCTACACGTTATTATCATACATGACTATAATCTTATGCAAAAGCCTGGTGCACTTTATAATTATTATTCTGTTAATTCTCAGAATTAGAAATGTGAAGTTCAAATCAATACAGAAATGATTGTTCTTGATGCTGTTGTTGTTCTGTGCAGTCTATCTTTCCACTAGCAGAGCCTAAGTCAAATATTTTGTCAAGCACTAGGAAATACATATTTAGTACAGAAGGATTTTAAGTATAGCTTAGGTACACAAAATGATTTCTTATATTTTAATTTTGTAATTTTCAATTTGGTAAGATTGACTAATTTTCTATGTTTTGACTGTTGGCTTTTCTCTTTGAAATTTCTCTTTCTTTCTTTCTTTCATCCTCTCCTATTAAGTGGATTACCTGTTGCTTTATTGACTTTTCTACTCAATATATGTTGTTACTAGCCATTTCCTGTTATATGTTATACATGTTTTTCTTCCAACTTCACCTTTTAATTTTTTTCGTGCTTTTATTTTCATACAGAAGTGTTTGATTTGCATGCACTCCAGTCAGCTCATTCTTTTAGTGTTTAAGATCCATGGAATTGCTTTTGCCTGATGTGTAGAGAATTAACTTCTTTACTTTTCTCAAATGATTCATCGGTTACCCAAATATCATTCACTAAATAAGTCAGCCAGATTTTGAAATGACATTTTGATCTTACGTAGGATTGTATGTAGCATCGCCTCCATCTTCTGGCACTGTGTAGTTGAGCACTCTACTTTTGCATTATGACATGTTCAATTCACCATAAATTTGGGCCCTCATGTATGGAATAACCGATAGCAGTTTGAAGCACTCTATGATGTTACTGACAGCCAAGAATTCCGTTTAAGTAGCATCAGTGTGTCCATCTTTCTAGCAATCTGTGCACTATTTAAATCTTTTGTTAGAAAACAGTAAAAACAAAGAGTACTAAAACTAGGGATTAAAAGCTAATTATTATAATCCAATTGAGACAGAGAGGAAATCAATAGATGTGTGACGTGTTTTACCACTGTTGCACTTTTATGATCTAACATGCGTTGTTGTATGTACTTGCCAAGATAATGAACAAATTTTTTTTAATGGTGAAAAATGTGGAAAGTATCTATCTAAAATTTTGTTACTTTCATCTATACTCCGATGCCTGCAAAAATTTACATCTTCTCTTAGACATTCTCTGTGGCTTCATATTTACACAACTAATTGCCTCCTGGATATTTTTAACCTAGTGTTATGAAGGCCCCTCAAGCTCAACATTCTCAAAAGTGAACTCATGATCTTGTGTTCCCCTTCTCAACTCAAAGGCAAACAAACAAAAATCAAAGAAGGAAAGCAAGCAACATTTTCTATCCTAGTAAATGAGACCTCATTAATATACTTCCTTAAAACAGAAAACTGAGTATTATCTCTGATACTCCTGTCCCCCTCAATCCTTATATACATTTTCATCAATACCATTAATTTTGTCCCATATGTAAATCCTAATTCTGTTTCTACCATTTATTCTCCACTATCACAACTCTATTCATAGTTAAATCTTGTCTTCCCAAAATTTCTCTCAAGGCCACTTTATTTGTTTGTTCTTTGTGCTCCAAAGCTCTTCTTCTCCCTTTATGTGACCAATTTATTCCCATCCTTCCCACTCAGAGAGACAGTCCCTGTCCATTCTATCTAAATTGGTGTCCTCTAATTTCCTTCTATCTCATTACTCTATTTTATTTCCTTTAAAGCAATTATCACAATCTATAATTGTGGTGGTAGAGTTTCCTTTAACACAGCTGTTAACATTTCTTTCTTTTGCTATATACTCCTGCCCCTTCTCCCATTTAAATGTGAATTCTCTTTCTTCTCCCTTTGAATCTGGGCTGACCTGTGGCTTAATTTGATAAATAGAACACAGAAGATGTGACACTTTGCTACTTCAGGCCTAGCGTTTAGGAGGATTGACAGTTCCAGCTTCCACTTAGAGCCCTGAGTCATCATGTAAAAAGCCATACTACCTTGCTGGAGAGAAGGCCCAGTCAGCTGTCAGCTACTCTAGTCACATAGCTGAAGCAACAGTCATGTGTATAGCCACTTTGGACATTCCAGCTCCTTGTGAAGCTCCTGGATGAATGTACCTACGTGGATGCCCCTAGTCAACAATACATGGAACGGAAGAACAACCTGGCTGAGACCAGCCAACCTACAAAATCATGAACATAGTATATTATTGTTGCTTAAGGTCTATAATTTCTAGGATGGTTTGTTTTGCAGAAATAGATAATTGATACAACAAGTGGTACTCGAAGGGTGCTAGCATACCAAGAGCCAAAATGTGGCCTTTTCCTTGGAACTGGTGGAGACAGAGGCCAGAAGAGTTGCATGGAGACTCAGTAAAGGCTGGAAGAGCAATGAGGAAATTGCTGTAGGGTGATGGAGGAAGAACAGCCCATGCATGGTTTTATGGCAGAATTTTAGTAACACTGTCACCAGCAATAATATGGAAGACAGGAAATGTACCTAATGAAATTGTGAAGCTAAGAAGATTTCCCAAAAGAAAGTCATTTACTCTAGTTTAATCATGCATGCTAAGGTATTATAAGAAAATTCAGAAAAAAAAAAAAAGAAATTCTTTAGTTTTCGAGCAGAACTTAGAAGCAATACAGAAGGCCAAGAACAATCTCTCCAGATGGTCAAAAAAAGGAAGAATGACCTCAGAGAGAAAAAAAAAATCAAATTTAGGGTGCAATCTATAACATTTGACTTCAAGGTCAAAATTGAATCAAGGATGCAACTGTAAGATCATTTGTTAAGACCTCAGAAAGATTTAAGGTGGTGACTAACAGAGGCTCTCAGTCAGGCAAAGGGGCTGCAAAGAAGCTTACAGACATTCTTCTCGGAAGCCTGACATTGTCAAAGTGGAGAGAGATCTGTCTGCAAGGAATCATGGATCTGACTTTTAAAGCATGACATGAACCTGAATTAGGTTTATAGAAAATACTCAACAGAATTCTGCTTCAAACAGAATTTTTCTGATAGCAGCCCTACCAACTTGAAGTAGAAGGGAAAGAAAGAGTTGAAAATGAAAAAAAGAAATGCTTCTGAGCCCAATTTAGCACACACAAGAATCAGGCAGAGAAAGCTACTGAAGTATAAACATAGACCTTTTGTTAAAGAAAGGGAAGCATGATGACTCAGGATCAGAGGACAGAGAAAAGAATTACGGACAGTAGATTAACTCGTGAGCACAGAACTGGGCCATAATTGAGAAACATTCTCTACCCCTAATAACACATGCTCAGATTTCAGAATTTCTGTAGACCCGTGATTTCTCAGTGCCCTCCGTTACAACCCCTACCACTTTTGATGGGGCTTGCCTGTTGCAATTTTCCTATCCCTGTTGGTGTCATCATGGTAAGCTGGCTGTTGGAGTTGGGGTATTCACTTCTCCATTCAGTTCACAGGTGTTCACATCAGGACTAGATGTATTTAGGAGCCCCCATCCAGGTCTAGGCCTAATTTAGATGACAAGATCCAGGACTTTGAGCTGATTCTATAAAGAGATGAGACTTTGGGAGGAAATGTGAGAGTATTTTGTACAAGGGAGGGATGTGGATTCTTGTGGCCAGGATGCAGACTGTGGTAGTTTAATGATGGCTAATAGCAATTCCTCTTTATACATACAGATGGTCCCTGGTTTATGATGCTTTGACTTAAAACAATTTTTTTTTACTTTATGATGGTGCAAAAGTCATATGCCTTCAGTAGAAACCATATTTTGTATACTCACTTTCAGTGCAGTATTCAGTAAATAATATGAGATACTCAACACTATTATAAATAGGCTTTGTGTTAGATATTTGACCAAATGTAGGCTAATGTGAGTGTTCTGAGCATCTTTGAGGTAGGCCAGGCTAAGCAACGATGTTTGACAGGTTAGCTGTATTCAAAGCATTTTCAACTTACCACGTTTTCAACTTATGATGGGTTTATAGGGATGTAGCCCCATCATAAGTTCAGGAGTGTCTGTATTCTGCTCCTCCTACCAAAAGTGGAGTCCATTTTCCCTTCTATTGAATCTGGGCTAGCCTTTTGACTCATTTTAACCAAGAAGATATCAACAAGTGACAGTATGCCGGTTATGCCAGCCCTTAAGACTCCTGACAGCATCTGCTTTAGTATCTTGGAGCCTTGAAATATAACTATAAAAAATAAATACACACACATCTATGTATGTATATATGTATCAAACATATATACATACGTATGTATGTATGTTGGAGAATAAGGCCTATCCCACTGCCAGTCTTTCCAGCTAGCTCAGTCGAGGCAGCACACATGTAAATGATGCCATCTTGGATGTTCTAGACCACTAAAGCTCTCAGCCAAAGTCAGTCCTATAAAGGACTCTAACAAAACCACAGGGAACAGAAGTATCACCCAGCTGAGCCCAGTCAAAACAAGGAATACAAAAAATAATAACTTGTTATTTAAGCTACAAGGTTCTTGTAAGATTCTATACAAAAATACATAAATGATACAGTATTACCATTTTCTTTCTTTGGTTACTTGTTTATTGCTTGAACAAAGCAGTATCTAACATATTACTCTATGAAATGTTATGAAAATAAAATATTAACTTATATTTCCATAAGTCAGACTGCTTAGTTGCATGCAAGAAAAACTATGACTAAATTAAGCAGAAAAGAATACACAAATAGATATTACACAGCTCTTAAAACCACCAAAAGCCAGATAACTAGGCTTAGAGACTACACAGCAAGGAGCAGTGATATTGTGATACCTCTTTCCTTGAGTAATTTGTTTTATGAGTGGGCGCATAAAGGTCAACTTCCTTGTCATTCTTTATGCTGACTGCATGTGTCTTATACATTTTGTATATGTACTATTTTTTACAATAAAATTTAAAAGGTGAGAACTTTCTAGGTTTGACAGAAGAAATCAGTTCTCAGATGAGAAGGTACAATAAATCATGTATACTTCCATGTACTTGAAATGTGAAAATCAAAACATAGGGATAAAGAGAGGCATGCATGTGAGTGTTGTCATAACAGAGGGGGCAGCTAATTCAGCAATTGTTAGGGGATGGGGCAGATCAGAATACGCATTCAGAAGAAAGTACCATTCAAGAAAGTATTAGATTGGTGCAAAAGTAATTGTGGTTTTGCCATTAAAAGTAATGCCAAACAGTACATGACCATAAGTTACACATCAAAAGTAAAATACTTACCATGAAGTATTTATCTCTCCTTCCCTTTCCCCAGTCCTACTGCTCAGAGACAACTGCTTTCAGTTCTTTCAGACTTAATATTTCTTCAAATTTTAAGTCTAAATTTTACCACTTTTTGATTCCTCAGTTATAGATGGTATTTATTAACCATCAGATTTGCAAATGAGAATTGTTCAACACTCTGCATCACTTCTATTGTTTCGGTATTATGATCTTAAATCTGTAGTTACACAATTAGTGTTTATATCATTGCGGCAAATAAATATTGTTCATTGTAGATTCAAGTAAAAGTGTATAAGGATAACAGTATATTTCCTCAAAATTTTATTTTCAATCCTCAGTGATTGTTTCATTTTATGTTTATCATATATATTATATCATATAGTATATATAATAGAGGTACCATATGAATGCCAATAAATATTTTCCAATTTCTCCAATATGTAATAATACAATAGGAACAAAAGTTGAGTGAGAAATTTCTAAGAGTTGCAAATGGGTCATTGGACTATAGAAAAAATATGCCAGAATGTTTATTCACGTCTAAAATAGCAAGGAAATAATTAATCTCCTTGTTCAAACCTTTTTTTTTTTTTTTTTTGAGAAGGAGTTTTGCTCTTATTGCCCAGGCTGTAGTGCAATGGTGCGATCTCAGTTCACTGCAACCTCCGCCTCCCAGATTCAAGTGATTCTCCTGCCTCAGCCTCCCAAGTAGCTGGGATTACAGGCATGCACCACCACACCCAACTAATTTTGTATTTTTAGTACAGATAGAATATCACCATGTTGGCCGGGCTGGTCTTGAACTCCTGACCTCAGGTGATCCACCCGCCTCTACCTCCCAAAGTACTGGGATTGCAAGCGTGAGCCACCACACCCGGCCCCTGTTTAAGCCTTTTTTATTCCAAAATATAATTCAAAAAATCACTTAGAATTAAAGTGATTATAAAGTGAACATCCATATAACTACCACTCAAGTCAAGAAATAAAGTAGTGCCTCCTTATCTGCAGTTTTTCTTATCACAATTTCAGTTACATATGGTCAGTCGTGTTCTAAAACTTAGTGAGTACAGTACAATATGGTATTTTGAAAGGGAGACTGCTTACACGTACATTTTATTACAGCATATTGTTATAATTATTCTATTTCATTATTTGTTTTTATTGTTAATGCCTTATTGTACCTAATTTATAAATTAAATGTTATTATAGGCATGTATATATAGGAAAAATGGTACTGTATATATGGGGTTTGGTACTATCTGTGGTTTCAGGCATCCCCTGGGGGTCTTGGAATGTATCCCCTTTGGATAAGGATGGATTACTATATTCCATAGCTAGCACACCAACACAACCCTTTGCAGTTGAAGCTCCATCTTTAGTTCCTAGAAATAACTACAGTTCGGACATTATATCTTATTATTTTTTGTCTTATCTTCTATGTTTATTTAGAATATTATTTCCCTTTTCCTGTTTTTTTAAATGTGTATAAATGGAATATAAATTTATTTACCTCAATGTTATGTTTGTTATATTTATCCATATTGCAACTGGAAATAGTTGTATAATACTTATTGTTATTGCTGTGTAGACAATATTCTATGAATACACCACAATTTGTCTTAATTCATTCAGCCATTGGTGGCATTTCTCCCCTATACTTTGGCTATTATAAAGAATGGTGCTGTGCAAATTTTTGTATATGTATCTTGGTACCCAAAAATATAATTGTAAGGTAATAAAGTTTAAATATTTTTCTTAGGTAGAACTGTCAGTTGTCCGAAATGATATGAACAATCTGCACCTTACCAGTATCCCTGAGAGTTCCTGGTGCCCTACATCCTACTAACACTGGAAATGTAACTCGACAAACTAACACTTAGAAACAGCAGTCTTTTTAATCGTAGCCATTCTTGTGGGTAGTACTTTATTAAGATAGTGGTACTTCTTGTGGTTTTAATTAACATTTTCCTCATTACTAGTGAGGCCAAGCATCTTTTCAGATCCATAAGCCACCTGGACTCCCTCATATTAAATGATGATCCATTTGTCTTGACCATTTTTATGCTGAATCGTTAGACCTTTTTTATTTGCATAAGGTGATATGTGATTCGAGCCTTTGTCAGGTACATGCAGGATTAAGCTTATTTCATGTTATAAAATCTACCAACTTTAAGTTTTATGACAAATTTCATTAAATTTACCCTAACATTTAACCTTTTGTTCTATTTATCTCTTCTTGCACCTCTGCTCTTCCTTCCTATTATGATTTTCTTCATGCCAAAAAGTAGAAAAATTTTGGTATAAGTTTAAGGAGTAAAAGTGCAGTTTTGTTACATGGAAACATGGTGCAGTGGAGAAGTCTAGGCTTTTAGTGTAAGTGTCACCTGAATAATGTACATTGTACCCATTAAGTAATTTCTCATCTCCCAACCCCTAAAACTTTTAAATTTTCCTTAAATGCAGAACTACCAGTGACTAACTCTGTTGGATGTTGTTTGTTTTTTTAAGTGTAAAGATGTCTTTTTTTTTTTCATTGAAGGACAATTTCACAGATACAGAGTTACAAGCTGGCAGTTTATTTACTTAAGAACCATGAAATTTTATTCCACTTACTTCTGACTTCTGTTGTTGCTATGAAGAAGTCTGTTGAATTACCTTGTTGAAAGAGCTATCTTTTTCAAAGGTCATACATTTTACTTAATATGGTTGTATGTTATAATTTTCCTATGATGTGTATAGGTTTGAATTTCTATTAATTTACCTCTGGATTGGTGTCTTTGATCATTTCTGGAGGATTCTCAGTTATTATAATTATTTCTTCAAATGTTGCTTGTCACCTTTTTGTTTCTCCTTTTCTTCCGGGATTCTAATTACAGGTTAACTCTGCTAGCCTTTTTCTTTTTTATTGTTCCAGTTATATGTCCTGATTTTTTTTATTTTTTATTATTTATTTTATTTTATTTTATTTTTTGAGACAGGGTCTTGCTCTGTCACCCAGGCTGGAGCGCAGTGGCCTGATCTTGGCTCACTGCAACCTCTGCCTCCCGGGTTCAAGTGATTCTCCTGCCTCAGCCTCCCAAGTAGCTGGAATTATAAGTGCCCACCACCACGCCTGGCTAATTTTTGTATTGTTAGTAGAGATGGGGTTTCACCATGTTGGCCAGGCTGGTCTCCAACTCCTGACCTCAAGTAATCTGCCCACCTTGGCCTCCCAAAGTGCTGGGATTACAGGTGTGAGCCACTGCGCTAGGCCGTATGAACTGAATTTCTTACCCTCTCTTTTGAACTTCTCTCTTCCCTTTTTATATCTCTGTGTTGCATTCTGGATAATTTGTTTTGACCTAGATTCCAGAACCTTAGCTCTTTTTATGTGTTTAATCTACTTATAAACCCATCCATTAAGTTTTCAGTTTCAGTTATTATATTATTCAGTTCTAGAATTTACATTTGATTCTTTTTTTTAAAAAAAGTAACTTTTATTTTCATTTCAGGGGTACCTGTTCAGGTTTGTTATATAGGTAAACTTGTGTCATGAGGGTTTGTTGTACAGATGATTTCATCACCCAGGTATTAACCCCAGTACCCATTAGTTATTTTTGATTCTTTATCAAACTGTCCTGTTTTTATTTTTATTTTTTGCATTTTTACCTTACCTTTTGTGTATTTCAACAAAATACGCATAAATATACTGTAGCTAGTTTTCAATAACTGAATGCCTCACGTCTTTGATTTTACTGGCTGTGGCTTCTGCTAGATGTTACATACACTGTCTTGTTTTCTTTCTTTCTTGTGTGTGTGCCTATTGTCTTACATTATGCACTGATTCCTGTTTTGCACAACTATACATGGAAACACTGTTAACTTAGACAGATGATGTTACCTTCTTCCAGAGAGTGTATTTCTTTACTTCTTTGAAACACAACAGGGCACTTCTGCCTCAGGACCATCTAATCCAAGCTCAATGCTTGAAACTCTCTGTACTTCCCAGGTGACAAACTCAGGATGACAGCCGAATTATAAGCTAGTTTATTCAATTTTACCCTTCTTCTTTGCTTCTATGCTTTTGTTATGCCAGTTTATATTTTGGAAAAGATATCAAACCCTTCATTTTGTATGTCAGGGGAACTGCACTTTTTTGTCCTTTGACTTGTGTGACCACGAAATGTTATCTCAGATTGGTAGCTGCTTCTTCTGAATTGTAAAATGCGTTCAGGGGAAGAAAATTGGACTCAACTCCCGAGTTATTGATTTCTCTCAGGTTTTGGCCTGATAACTCTTCATTGTCTGCTTATATAATTGATGACTTCTTAGGAGACATGTTTAATATTTCATCCAGCTTTTTTATATATCTTCAGGAGGGAGTTGGCTGAAGTTACCTAATTTATTATTCTTGAAAGTAGAAGCTCTCAGCTCTGTTAATATTGTATGTATGCAAACATAAACAGAGCTCTCACTTTTCCACATATGCTGATGGTCATGTATCACATACTGAATCCAAAGTGTTCTCAGGAAAAGGGGGAAGTTTCACTCATAAGGACTGATAATTTCAGAGTATTTGAAAATATTGTAATTGATAGTGGGAGTGAAAATAAAGGTGTATTGAGCCCATTGTACCATTGTAGAGACTTGGCTTTAAGGAAGATAATTTTCTCTGTGTCAGTTCTGATTGTTGGAGTACTTCGAGTAGAGGAAAGACATGATTCTTCATCAATTGTGAGAATTGCAAATTTCTTCTTCAGGTTTGTAATTTGTCTTTTTACTGAATATTACATGTTTTTGATATTTAAAAGTTTTTAATATTATCACAGTCAAAGATTCAATATTTTCTATTATATTAAATCACTTCTTGTTTTTTGTTTAGAAAATCTTTCCCTACCCCAGTGTTTAAAACATGTTGAACTACATTTCCTACTAAGATTTAGTTTTCTTCTTTGAGTGTTAGAAAATCAGGATGAGATTTATTTTAATTCTTAGTCATAACATTCATAATTGGTTTACACATAAGCACATTTTGGTTATTTATGTTACTAGTTCTTTTTAATAATGTTGTAAGCACCAATGCATGAACTCACCACCAAGGTCAAATTTAGGACAATAATCTATATTTAACTGTATAATCCTCCCCATATTTCAACCTATGGTCAATTTTTTAAATATCACTACCATTCTTTCTTTCTCCTATGTTTTATTACCTCTATATTCACATCTAAAATGTGCATATTACTTTAGACATGTTTAACTTTATAGAAGGAATATCATACCAATGTAATCTTTGGGGCTTTATTCAGTTTATATTATGTTAGTAAGATGCTTTCATATTTTTGAATGTTGCTGTAGTTAATTGGTTGTTCTTGTTAGTGATATTCATTTCCCTCAGTTCCACTCTTCTTTTGGTGTGATTAGTGTTATTTCTATATTTTGCAATTGGAAATAGTTTTGTTGTTAACATGCTTGTATATGGCTCCTGGTGGACACATGAAATAGTGTTTCTGTGTGCATGTTTATGTGCATTTGTGCTTGTACGTGTGTGTGCTTAATAGTGTCAAGAATGTGAATGTTCATTTTTAGGCCATTAGTCATTTTTTCCAAGTCATTGCACCATTTGCAAGCCTATCAGGAATGTGTAAGAGACTTCACACATATATATACATACACATTCTTTCCAACAACTGGTATGGTTATATGTTTTAAGCTTTGCAATGAAATCAATGTCAAATGGAACCTTCTTGTGGTTTTGATTTCTATGCCCTTTAGCTCTACAGATGTGGACCTTCACCATGTTTACTAGGCACACATCTTTTCTCTTTCCGTGACATACTCATCCATGTGTTTTGCCTATTTATTTTTTTACTTAACTATTTTGTGTGATTTTTGTTATTTAATTTTAGGGATGTGTAATATATTATTTGCAATAATTCTTCATCAGTTGTGGGAACTGCAATTTCTTCTTTCAGTTTATAATTTGTCTTATTGCTGAATATTACATATCTTCTGATGCTTAAAAGTTTTTAATGTTATTATAGTCAAATATTGAATATTTTCTATTATATTAAAGCACTTATTGTTTTTTGTTTAGAAACTTTTTCCCTATTCCACTGTTTAAAATATGTTGAACTACATTTCCTACCAATAATTTTAAATTTTTTTCGTCATTTATGTCTCTAATTCATTTAGAATTTTTTGTAGAGTAACGATGGGGTTTATAGAGTGACAATTTGTATAATTTTCTATTACTGCATTAATACTACAGTCTTTTAATTACTAAATCTTTATAACTAGTTCTATCTATCCCTAGAGCAAGTCTTTTTACCTTTTATTTTTTTTTATAGTTGACAAGCTTTACTTGGCCCTTTATATTTTATATAAATTTT
Source organism: Homo sapiens (assembly GCF_000001405.40). Classification (NCBI taxonomy): domain Eukaryota; kingdom Metazoa; phylum Chordata; class Mammalia; order Primates; family Hominidae; genus Homo; species Homo sapiens. The sequence goes on from NC_000008.11 coordinate 36,829,628, forward strand.
AAAATTATTTTATCATGTATATTATTTTATTATGAAAAACTGCAGAAATTTAATGCGAATCTAATTGAAAGTTTAGATGCAGCATTGACTGCTTTATGCTACAAACTCTTTCCAACTTTTACTATGCTGGGTTTATTCATTTATTTAGTTCTCCTTTAGTACCCCTGAATAA